>NC_000005.10:158185566-158488596 GCF_000001405.40 Homo sapiens
TGGGATGTATCTCAAAATAATAAGAGCTATCTATGACAAACCCACAGCCAATATCATACTGAATGGGCAAAAACTGGAAGCATTCCATTTGAAAACTGGCAAAAGACAGGGATGCCGTCTCTCACCACTCCTATTCAACATAGTGTTGGAAGTTCTGGCCAGGGCAATTAGGCAGGAGAAGGAAATAAAAGGTATTCAATTAGGAAAAGAGGAAGTCAAATTGTCCCTGTTTGCAGATGACATGATTGTATATCTAGAAAACCCCATTGTCTCAGCCCAAAATCTACTTAAGCTGATAAGCAACTTCAGCAAAGTCTCAGGATACAAAATCAATGTACAAAAATCACAAGCATTCTTATACACCAATAACAGACAAACAGAGAGCCAAATCATGAGTTAACTCCCATTCACAATTGCTTCAAAGAGAATAAAATACCCAGGAATCCAACTTACAAGGGATGTGAAGGACCTCTTCAAGGAGAACTACAAACCACTGCTCAATGAAATAAAAGAGGATACGAAGAAATGGAAGAACATTCCATGCTCATGGGTAGGAAGAATCAATATCATAAAAATGGCCATACTGCCCAAGGTAATTTATATATTCAATGCCATCCCCATCAAGCTACCAATGACTTTCTTCACAGAATTGGAAAAAACTACTTTAAAGTTCATGTGGAACCAAAAAAGAGCCCGCATCAACAAGTCAATCCTAAGCCAAAAGAACAAAGCTGGAGGCATCATGCTACCTGACTTCAAACTACACTACAAGGCTACAGTAACCAAGACAGCATTGTACTGGTACCAAAACAGAGATATAGATCAATGGAACAGAACAGAGGCCTCAGAAATAATGCCGCATATCTACAACTATCTGATCTTTGACAAACCTGAGAAAAACAAGCAATGGGGAAAGGATTCCCTATTTAATAAATGGTCCTGGGAAAACTGGCTAGCCATATGTAGAAAGCTGAAACTGGATCCCTTCCTTACACCTTATACAAAAATTAATTCAAGATGGATTAAAGACTTAAACATTAGACCTAAAACCATAAAAACCCTAGAAGAAAACCTCGGCATTGCCATTCAGGACACAGGCATGGGCAAGGACTTCATGTCTAAAACACCAAAAGCAATGGCAACAAAAGCCAAAATTGACAAATGGGATCTAATTAAACTAAAGAGCTTCTGCACAGCAAAAGAAACTACCATCAGAGTGAACAGGCAACCTACAAAATGGGAGAAAATTTTTGCAACCTACTCATCTGACAAAGGGCTAATATCCAGAATCTACAATGAACTCAAAGAAATTTACAAGAAAAAAACAAACAACCCCATCAAAAAGTGGGCAAAGGACATGAACAGACACTTCTCAAAAGAAGACATCTATGCAGCCAAAAAACACACGAAAAAATGCTCACCATCACTGGCCATCAGAGAAATGCAAATCAAAACCACAATGAGATACCATCTCACACCAGTTAGAATGGCAATCATTAAAAAGTCAGGAAACAACAGGTGCTGTAGAGGATGTGGAGAAATAGGAACACTTTTACACTGTTGGTGGGACTTTCAACTAGTTCAACCCTTGTGGAAGTAAGTGTGGCAATTCCTCAGGGATCTAGAACTAGAAATACCATTTGACCCAGCCATCCCATTACTGGGTACATACCCAAAGGACTATAAATCATGCTGCTATAAAGACACATGCACACGTATGTTTATTGCGGCACTATTCACAATAGCAAAGACTTGGAACCAACCCAAATGTCCAACAATGATAGACTGGAGTAAGAAAATGTGGCACATATACACCATGGAATACTATGCAGCCATAAAAATGATGAGTTCATGTCCTTTGTAGGGACATGGATGAAATTGGAAATCATCATTCTCAGTAAACCATCGCAAGAACAGAAAACCAAACACTGCATATTCTCACTCATAGGTGGGAATTGAACAATGAGAACACATGGACACAGGAAGGGGAACATCACACTGTGGACTGTTGTGTGTGGGGGGAGGAGGGAGAGATAGCTTTAGGAGATATACCTAATGCTAAATGACGAGTTAATGGGTGCAGCACACCAGCATGGCATATGTATACATATGTAACTAACCTGTACATTGTGCACATGTACCCTAAAACTTAAAATGTAATAATAATTTAAAAAAAACAAGGATTGGGAAAAATATATATATATCTGCATAAGTATTTTTTAAAAACTAAAACTTTCCAGTGTGGCAGAAAAAATATCCCAAAGTGATTTCAATTCATTAAAATCAGCATTTGGCAGCTTGTGCTGCCTTAGAAATCCAAATTCAGGATAACTCTAGCAGAAAATCATCCCCTCCCATTAAAAAATTCCTGTTTTTCCTCTTCCTTGTTTAAATTTCACTGTGTATTCCACAAAACACCTGAAGAATAACAACAAGAGCCAGCTCACTTCTCTCAGCCCCCGTCTGTCTGTTCAGGCTCACACCAAATATCCCTTAGAAACCTTCACCTCTGCTACAATCAGGAAATTGGGCCCTAATTTCAGGGCTGGATTTCTAGAAACTCGTGTAACATCCTTATGCTTCGTTCACTCCTTGAAAGATCAAGGGGGCTGTGTACCTGGCAGAGACTGGAATGCCTGCCAGGCTGGCCAAAGGGGGCTTTTCTTTTCTTTTTCTTTTCTTTTTTTTTTTTTTTTTTTTTGAGACGGAGTCTCGCCCCATTGCCAGGCTGGAGTGCAATGGCAAGATCTCAGCTCACTGCAACCTCTGCCTCCTGGGTTGAAGCGATTCTCCTGCCTCAGCCTCCCGAGTAGCTGGGACTACAGGCGTGCGCCACCACGCCCGGCTAATTTTTGTATTTTTAGTAGAGATGGGGTTTCACCATGTTGGCCAGGATGGTTGCAATCTCTTGACCTCGTGATCTGCCCACCTCGGGCTCCCAAAGTGTTGGGATTACAGGCATGAGCCACTGTGCCTGTCCAGAAAAGGGGACCTTTCTAAGCAAACATGCCCAAATACCTTGTAACTGAAAGTCTAACCAGGCAAAACTAGGGAGCAGCTGTCCCTAAAGGTGTACATCTCCCCACTTCAGCCATACAGGTAAAGGAGGTAAAGAGAGCCAAGTGAATATTTGACCTCATCTGTCTTCTGAGAAATGTGTGTATTTTGGGCCAAAGCTGTGTTGCAGAGAAAGTCATTTGGTCAAGTGATAGCCTTTGCTGTGTCTGCCTGGACAAAGCGGCCATTCCTGGGCAGCCTGTTTCATGGCTGCTTTACAGAAGCTTTCCACCCTCATGCAGAATACTTAAAATCAACAGGGAAATTTTCAATTCGACTTCATACCTGACAAATACTTTAACAGCAGTTTCTCAATAACCGTTAATGGAGACAGACTACCTCTCAGTTGAGGATCACAGCTCCTTCCGGTCAGTAGGCTTCTTGCCTGACTTCTGCAGCAGCTCATTGGTCTTAGAAAAGTGTCTACATCCAAAGAAACCACTATACGCTGACAACAGGGAGGAATGAGACGTTTGCAGTACATGGTGCCGCTTCCTCTCCATGGCACTGTCCTCTCCTGAGCATAAGAACCCCAGAGCAAGAAAGCAAGGCCATTGGAGTTCTGGCTTAGCCAGGACACAGTTGCATTAGCAGAGATTGCTCCCAGCCTCTCTCCTCATGAGAATTGGCTTGATGGGCTGGAACAGTGAGGACAGCGTTGAGTAAAACACCTTGTTTGACCCACCCAGATACATCTCCATGGCTGGGATGAACAAAGCCATCTATGTCTGTAGACAGCTCTTTATAAATGTTTTCCAAACTGGGCAGAGGTGGAACAGGTCTTTGAAGACTAAAGCAGACCCCACGAGCTTGATGGGGGGTACATGATATGGATCCTGTCTTGGAATGACATCCTTCACATCTCTTATGTCACACATCTAGGTCCAGGTGAATATTTGGTGTGGGAGAGGATAAACAGTGTAATCCTTGCTTTCTACTGCAACAAATCACATGAGCTTTATAAAATATGGTTTCCCAAATTCTCTGCTGAGATGCTTCTTCCAAATCTCACCAAAGCCCACGACCATGTTGTAGGTGTGAGTCTGAGCAGGGCTGTGGCCATGTTTCTCTGGACACAGATTAACTGCTCTGCTTGGTGGTGAGGAGGGCAGTGTCCCAGGTTCACCTTGCCAAGCCTGGTCCTTCTTGGCAGGGCTGGCTACCACATGCCCACTATCCTCAGCTATGGCAGCCACACTGGTCCCCAGGTCAGTGGACTTGGGACTCTGGGCATGTCACTTCCTGGGAGGCTAGGGGAGAAGAAGAAGTAGAAAGCCTTCTGGCTGATCTCACTGGAGCCCAGGAGGGGACCCATGAGTCTCATCCTGGCTGTGGCAGTCAGCAGTTGGCCTACTTTCTTGTATTTATTTATGATTTATTATTCAAGTATGCATCCCTAAACTGTATAGTTTAGTCTTGCCCATATATGTATATTATGTATATTTTTTAACTTAATGTGATTTTCAGGTCTCTTTTAACCTATGGTTTTCTACTCCACCTCTTTCTCTTTCTTATAATTTATCTGTTGACAGACCTGGGCTATTTGACTTGTCAAGTTTCCTGCAGTCTGGATATTTGACTGCTCATTCATGGTGCGGTTCAACCGGCTTTTGTATTTCTTGCAAATTGAGACCTGGATTGAGAGGTCTGATCTGACACTGGTTGGATCCCTTAATGAGGTTATAAGTGGTGTTGGGTCTTGTGTCTTCATCAGAAGGTATATAATGCCTGTTTTTTGCTCTTTTCTGGTATTAGTTGAGGTAGATGCTCAATGTCTACATTCATCAATTCATTAGGAGTTGAAAAATAGTAAAATTTTAATTCTATCTTTTGTTTTAATTTATTATCTGAGATACTTTTATAAAAAGACTCTTCCTTTCATCTACTATTTTGTTACCCAGTACTACAGTTCATATAGAATAAGTAGAATAAATATTTATTTCCTTTTATTTACCTAGTTTTAAATTAACAAACTGGATCATTGTTTCTTCGGAAGATGACCAATTAAAAATATGTATATGCTATTATGAACTCTTGGATTTATATATATTTGATGGGTTGCAATCCATTGCAAAGCTCAAGTCTTTGGCCAGTGGAACCCTCTTCAAGGTACTTTCTGACTCTTTTGAGACGGAGTCATGTTTGACATGACCCATGTAGTTTTTGACAGTTTCATTATGGACACACTCCATAAACTCATTATGGACACACTCTGCCTCAGACTTGAAATCAGCCATTTGTCCAAGAAATCCTGGTTTAGCTCAATGAGAAATGTCATATGAAGACCAACTCTGATGTAGAGAAGCTCATTGCTACTGGATTGGCCTTTGTTTCTAAGTCTCTTTAATCAAAAGAGCTGGAGTTACACAAATACTTCATGAGGTTGTACTGATACTTCCAATTAAGATTTGGATCTGCGTGGTATTTACTTAACATCTTCTATATTACTTCAGTAGCTCCTTTCTCTCACCTCAAAATCTTTGAAGGCGCAGTTCTTTTTTTTTTTTTTTTTTTGAGACAGAGTCTTGCTCTGTCACCCAGGCTGGAGTGCAGTGGCGCGATCTCGGCTCACTGCAAGCTCCGCCTCCCAGGTTCACACCATTCTCTGCCTCAGCCTCCCAAGTAACTGAGACTACAGGCATCCACCACCATGCCCGGCTAATTTTTTGTATTTTTAGTAGAGACGGGGTTTCACCGTGTTAGCCAGGATGGTCTCGATCTGACTTCGTGATCCACCCACCTCGGCCTCCCAAAGTGCTGGGATTACAGGTGTGGGCCACCGCGCCAAAGACAATAGGGGATAATAGAATATCCCATAATTAGTGTTTGCATTTTTTTCTACTTTACATATAAAATATTCTCAGAATATTAGTACTAGTACTGTAACAGGCATTTTTATTACTGAAAGCAGATAAAACTTTTTTCCATATGCTAATCATTTCCCCATTTTCATAAGTGTACTATAATTTCATTTTGAATCATACAGGCAGTACACACTACAGTCTCTTTCTTTTAACTTCTAATTACCTATATAGTAATATTCACCAGCAATACCTATCTGAGACTTGTTCTTTAGTAGATTCCTTAGGAGGAGCTCATGGGAACAGTGTTCTCTGAGTTTTTGCAGGTTAGTAGCTATTTGTGATTTTCTGGATATAAAATCCTTAGTTCACATTTTCTCTCTTTGAATATCTTAAATATACTACTGTAATGTCTCCTGGCATAATGAATTGCTGTCAAAAAAATTTGAGGATAATTAATTTTCCTTATTGAGTATGTGCCCTGTTTGCCTAGATGTCCAAATAATTTTTTCTTTTAAATACAATAATTTTTCTAGACTATGTCTTAGTTTTGGTCATTCTGGGTCAATATTCCCAGGTACATGGCATGTTCTTTTAATATACGGTTCAAATCACTTTTTTTTTGGTATCAGAAAAACTTTTTTGAACTATAGTTTTTAATACTGTTCCCTTGAGGATCATCTCTTCTCTCGTTTTCTTCTTCAGGGTCTCCTACTAGTGGTATATTGGATCATCTTTGCCTATTTTCCAGTTAACTCTTTAATGTAAGTTCCAGTTGTTTCACTTTTTTGATAATTCATCAGAGGATCTGAGCAAAATGTAAGCCTATTTTAAAACTGATTTATAATTTGGGGTAGTGATTGAGAGTGGTTTTTAACTATTATTTTCATTTTATTGGGGACCACTAGAGAAGTGGAACTAAAATCCCCAATGAACAGTATGCATTTACGGTACAACAGCAGGCCACTAGAAAAGACAGCTTGTTGCCTCTGAGATCATACAGTCTAAAAATCTAAGACTGGCACTGGAGGTAAAAGCTTCCTACTTTTATGGGATTAGAAATCTTTTCTTTGCTCTTTCTAATTACTAAAACTTATTAGAGACAGAAAATCTAACTCTCATCAAGCATCTCAATTGAGGGAGATTTTATTTATTGGTTTTACCATAATACCTAAAGTAGTGAGGATGAGGATGGCTTTCTAGGCAGGGGAAATGATATGAGCAAGTGCCTGGAAGGCAGTCAGAGGAAAACATGCCTTGTGGCTTAATGGAATACTTTTTAATGGAAAGGAGATAAAATAGTTATCTCCAAATATCCTAAGTTCTTTGTGGTTCAAAGTAAAACCATTCGTAATAATAGTGTAAGTTGCTGAACTCAGTGACCTGCACTCTTATTTCTGAAGTATATTAGTTTTCTGATGCTGCTATAATGAATTACCACAAATTTAGTGGCTTAAAACAATACAGATTTCTTCTCTTACAATACAGGTCAGAAGTCCAAAATGGGTTTTCCTGGGCTAGCTAGAATCAAAGTGTTGGCAGGGTTCCCTCTGAGATTCTGGGAATAGAACTTGTTTTCTTGTCCTTTTCAGTTTCTAGTGGCCATCTGTATGTCTTTGCTTATGGCCCCTTCCTCCGTCTTCAAATTTTATCACTCCAGTCTCTACCTCCATCACCACGTCACCTCCTTTCTGTAGTCATAACTCCACCTGTATTTCCCTTAGAAGGATACTTATGATTACATGTAAGGTCTACCTAGATAATCCAGGATAATCTTTCATCTCAATGTCTTAATTTTTTTAAATTTATTTTTAGATTCAAGGATACATGTGTAGGTTTGTTACATGGGTATATTGTGTGATGCTGAGGAGAAGCTTCTAATGATCCTGTCACTCAAGCAGTGAAGATAGTACCTGATAGGTAGTTTTTCAAACCTTTCCCCAGCTCCCTCCTTCCCCACTTCTGGAGCCCCCACTGTCTACTGTTCCCATCTTTGTGTCCATATGTATCCAGTGTTTAGCTGTCACGTATTAGTGAGAACAGGCTGTATTTGATTTTCTGTTTCTGCGTTAATTCTCTCAGGATAATGGCCTCTAGCAGCATCCATGTTGCTGCAAAGGACATAATTTCATTCTTTTTTATGGCTGCATAGTATTCCATGGTGTACATATACCACATTTTCTTTATCCAATCCACCATTGATGGGCAGCTGGGTTTATTCCATGTCTTTGCTATTGTGAATAGTGCTGTGATAAACATACACCATCTCAAAATCTTTAGTCACACCTGCAAAATCCTTTTTGCCATAAAGCAAGATTCACAGGTTCTGGGGATTAGGACCTGGATATCTTTAGAGATCACTATTTAGGCCTACCACACGCATAAGCTCTTTTTTTTTTTTTTTAAATCAAAGAATCCCTTATGATGGAAGGGAGTAAATTCATTTTCAGGGAGGTAATAGGGCTGAGCTCAAAATAGTCCCTGGAAATCTATAATTTCTTTGAAGACTAATGTTTTATCTTAAAAATCTGTTTGAATTTTCTGATTTACATTTGTGCTTGCTTTCTAATAAGAATAATCTACCTGCCCCACTGTTAGGCACTGAAAGAAAAATTGGTCTGGGAAGATGTATTGTGATTTTTTTTCATGGCTATGATGACACTGAGTATACCTTGGAGGTAACTGTGTCTAATTTGGATGACACGGCATCACATCATAGGAAAGAGAGCAAATTAAGAGGTGTCATTGGCCTTAACTCTGGCTGACTCAGGCCTAGCTCAATAACTTGGGGGTGAGGGAGAGCCCCATTGGATGTTTTTCACATTCTGATTGCCTCTTGCTCAGAATTCCCCATTCATGCCTGAGTCCCATGAGTGGAGCAAGGGGTCTCAGTGGGGTGGGAAGTAAAGGCAACCAGTAAGACTTGCTCTTTAATTAGAAAGTGAGTCCCTAGAGATTTTGAATACCATTTCCTCCACAGTGTTGAGTCAAGAGCTAATCCTCAGAACACTCATCTATGGACAGAGTCTCAGAATGGACCTTCCTGGCTTTCCTGACCCAGGATTTGTGGATGAGCTCTCTTTCCCATTAGACAGCTTGCTCCGCACATAATCAGCACCCTGGGCTTGGCTTCTACTGAAGGAGTGAGGAGCCCTTATTTCTGCCCTGCGGCTCTTTGCATGATAGATCATGCATTGTTATTGTGCACGCTTTCTCTGAATCCCTCCTCCTCTCCCTCCCTCCAGCCCCTTCTGCTACGTAACCGCTCAGGGTCCCAGGACAGTTGAAATCTGACCAGCCACAGTGCTATATTTAACTTCTGTGTGCATCACAGCTGAGGACTTGGCCCATACAACACAGGTGCACCCACAGCCGTTGTTTCTTCCTCTCTGAGGATGCAGGCAAAAAACCAGTGCCCCTGCCTGGAATGGAGGGGGCGTGGGAGAGGAGAGGCCGAGTCGTTCCTCAACCTCGTGGTCTGCCCAGCCCTGCTCACTGCAGCGTGTAGTGAGACAATATGGCAATTCATAAAATGTGACATTCATGTGTGAGGCACACTGCTGTGAGCCTGTTTTATTCCATGATAAAAACTACATCTGTCAGAACCTATCTGCTCATGTTCAGGCCAGGAGGAGAATTGTATCGCCTAGATTTGCTCTCTCCTTCCTCTTACTAGAGGCAGCTTCCTCCTGTCTCCTACCAGAGCCAGTTGAGGGGTCCCCTGTCATGGGAGAAATCCATGGTGGACCTCCATGTGTCAGAAAAAAGGATGAACCGACTTCAAATTATTTCTCTCTTTGAGGGTCTTGCTCTACAATGGCAGAGAATTTCTGTGACAGATTAAAAAAAGACACATTTGACATATGTACATATAGATAAATTATGACACAGGCATGTATATAATATACCTATATATTTAAAAATATTTTAAAAACTGACTTTGGGTTTGAAAGTTTTCAGCAGGCATTTTTGTTTCAGTTAATCACGTTTCTATTGCAGCCTGGGGACTTTTTAAAACATTTGTAGAACCCCCTATCTTGTTCCCAAAGGCTTAAGCATTATTTGATAATTAGCCTTCACAATTATGTTATACGTTTTGGAGAGAAGTGAGAGCTGGGGAGGGTGGGAGGAGAAAAGTTGTGTGTGTTAGTTAATGTGGGAGGAATGAGGGGTATTATCTGGGGATTGGAGGAATGCTTATGAGAGAAAGAAGTTCACTCTGTCAAAATCGTGTTGGTTGCCAGTTCTCTGTGAAACCCTCATTTAGGATACAGGGAAGGGGGTTGGGGGACGTTGGAAACTTTCTCACCTTTCCTAATTAAAATGATGTCAGAAAACAGGATCCAAGTAGAGGCCAGCTATATGCCATTTAAAAAGAAATATGCTTCATTACACTTTCTCTCCATTTCCCGGAACTCACTATGGGAACAAGAGAAAGGAAGAATCCTTGTTAAAATTTTGGAGATAGTATTTTGGTCTTTACCAACTGTGACCTTGATAGCACAATGCAGTGATCCTTGCTAAGATGACAGTTTTCCTTTCCTTCTCTCTGCCTGTGTTCATACACCACCTGCTTCTCATTGTCCACACACTCACATCAGCAAACTGCAGCATCTCGTGTTCTTGGTTCATGCTCTCTCTGACTTGCTGGAGAAAACAGTGATCTTTTCACCTTCAAATAGGTATATTTGCTCTGTGTTTTTATTTTGTGAAAATTATTTCCTTCTCTAAGGAGAAATGTTTGTTTTTGTTTATTTAATCAGATTCCAATAAAGTTGAGTATATGGCTTAGAGAGCGAGAGAATGAGAGAGGGGGATGTGTGTTGTGTTTTATTGTGTTTGGAGTGTGTGTGTGTGTCTGCAGAGGATATCTGAAGGATCCTACCACGAAAAATGATCCTCAGTCAAAATGTTAAAGTAGATGATGGTGTGTGCCAGGGGCCATTTCTTACTGTACCACTTTTCTTTCAAATCCGAGATGTTAGAGGAACACAGTACTTCTCCAAGATACAGTGATATTTCAGGCAGTACCAGACAGTGGGAAAGGCTTTTTGCTTTCGTTTGTTTGCCTGCTATTTATTACTATTATTATTAGCTTTTGATGGGGAGGGGATGGGAATTTCTGGTTTTGGGGACTTCTAGAATCCAATAACATAGAGAGCTGCTTGAGGTTAGTTGTGCTACATGGTTTAATGTGGCTTTTGTTGGGTTGTTTTTTTGTTTTGGCCAGGAGTAGGAAACCGGCTGCAAAGCAGGATGATTTGGTTTTGATGTCTGTCCCCTCCAAATGTCATGTTGAAATGTAATCCCCAGTAGTTGCAGGCAGAGCTCAGTGGGAGCTATTGGGCCACGATGGGTAGATCACTAATGAAAGGCTTAGCGTCATCCCGTTGGTGATGAGTGGGTTCTTGCTGAGTTCATGCAAGAGCTGATTGTTTAAAAATGTGGCACCTCCCTCAGCCCCTTGTTCCTGTTCTAGCCATGTGACACATCGGCCCTGTGGCTTTGCCTTCCGCCATGATTGGAAGCTTCCTGAGGCCTCACCAGAAGCAGATGTTGGTGCCATCCTTCCTGCACAGCATGCAGAACTTTGAACCAATTAAGCCTCATTTCTTTATAAATTACCCAGCCTCAGGTATTCCTTTACAGTGACGCAAAAATGGACTAACACACAGGAGTTACAGTTTAAAGGCCTGTAGGGGCCATGACTATGATGGAGATGATTGAACCCATCTGGGCGTGAGGCAGCTGGGATAGAAGGGGACTGTGCATGCAGGAGATGGAGCTACCGCATTCCAGCCCGCTGCTGCTGGGCAGGGATGCAAGCCCAGTGTTGGCAGATCTTTGATTTTTTTCTGGATTCTGATGTAAAGTTTCTTGACTTTAAAATGTTTATCACTCATTCAAATTAAGAGGAAAAAAACCAACTCACATCCTGCACAACCTTGGAAAGGTCTGTTTACTCCTTTATGAAACAAAAGCATTAGGGTGGATGAGCTCAAAAATTTCTACTTGACCAGACCTTTTAGGATTGTATAATTCCTGAATCCTGAGTTCAGACCTTCAAAATCCCTTCATTTCCTGTTTTTCTTTTTTTTTCACAAAGAGGTGGGCAGATGTTCAAAAGGAGAAAAGAGGAAACAAAACAGATGTAGAGAAGGATCAGGAAGGTCTAGATAGTGGAAGGTGGTGCCTGCCCATGTGCCACTCTGCTTTTTGGAGAAAAGCTTCTTTCTCTGAATTCTTTATGAAAGCTACCTTTCCCTCCCCTGAACCGCAATAGTCCTTTTCCAATCCCCTTTTCAACAGATATGCTTATTTAATATATTTATTAATTGCCTGCCTGGGGGCAGGCATACTTTTATGACTTCTGTAATTTTTCCACTTGTATTATAGTTACTTGAGTAAAAGGATGGAGAGAACTTTATTTTCCAAATTTCTTGGATACCAGGAAGGAGGCTGGTCTGTTGCAAGTACACACTGTGAGAGAAGCAGGGTGAGAAGAGGCAGAGCGGACAGGGCTTACGCTGTTTGGAAAAGAGTGCGTAGTGAGGTGGGTCACCTTTTGGAGAGCCCACGCTTTGAGAGCCAGCAGAGTGAGGTGGAGAGCCATCAAGACAGCCGACAGCTATGTGGCGTGAGATGCAATTGCCCTCCACTGTCCTCAGTTCTTCCACAAAGTTACCAAAGTTGTGAGGTGCTGGTGCCCGATCAAGGCAACAGGCACAGGTGTAGCAGCAGAGCAAAAAGGCCAGGAGTTTGCAGATGTCATGAGGAGAACTGTGGATTCAAACAAGCCTTGAAACTGTCCGAGCCAATTCCTGAGATGCAGTGAGGTCCCCAGGTAACATTTGGGTACATTTGGGCACATCTGGGCCCATTGTCACCTGAGCCAGGTTGTGAGCAGTTTGGGAGCAGGATCCTTGTCAAAGTTGTCTCTGGAGAAGATATGGGGACAACACAGTGCTTTTGCATGGAATGGATGTCAGTAAATACTTACTTACTGAATGAATGATTGAAGAAAGGAAGGCAGGCAGAAAGGAACGAGAAAGCTGTTAACTGCCAGTCCCTTAACATGGAATGCAGGCTTTACATGGAAAGACAGACTAAATAAACCAGCTTGGAGAGAGTTAATTTCTGCCTGCAGCATTCACAGGAAGGATAATGTATGCTGGGGCGGAAAAGCATTAGTTTTTCCCTTTTTGAAACCCCTAAAAGATTTGTCTGAAGCATATATTTAAATGGGCAGCGTACAGGTGTTTTCAGAGCTGCTCCAGCCCCAGAGAAGGCCTCAGGGCAAACCAGAGAAGACGGTACTTGGTAACGAGAAACACTCCTCAGCTACTCTGCATGCTTCAGTGGGAAAATGCAAATCAACTCATTCTCGCTTTTGAGGACAACTTCAGATAAAGGGTTCCCCAGGCAAAGTAACCCCTTCAATGTGCCTGACTGTCTTTCCCCATTGCTATCTTTTCCTGCACTACCTGCAGTGTGAGCTGTCGGGGGTGGGGAGGGGTTGTGGATGGGCTGCACCGGAGATGAGAAAGGAGTTGCATAGCAATGAGGAGGTGGAGGAGGAGAGAGAAGGAAGGGGCTTGGGCTTTTGTGTGGGTACAACTTTGTGGAAAAGGCCTTAAACTAGGAGATGGGATTACCTCTACTTCTGCCTCTGTCGGCCACCAGCTGTGGATGACCTTGGGCAAGAAGGGGGATTCATAGGCAATCAAAGCTGAAGTGAATAATGTTGGAAATCATATCAATTTCACTAACTAGTTTTTTGTTTTTGTTTTTTAACAGTTGGGAAACTGAGATTGAACAAGATATTAATGGAGAGTAAGTGGGAGGCTAGGTTTAGAATTCAGGTCCCCCAGCTTCGGGAACAGAGCCCTTTCCACCATCCCAAGTATCATGCTCAGGGGCATCAGTACCAGCAGATTTGGGTTTCAGATTTCATAATTTGTATATGAAAGTTGGGGTGTGTCTAGGGGCTCAATTAAGACTTTCAAAACCTGAATATCTAAAAAAATTATGGTGACTTTCCCCAACCCCCAGTGTAGGTAAAGTTGATCCTTGAACAACATGGGTTTGAACTGAACGTGTCCACTGATTTGTGGATTTTCTTCCACCTCTGTCATTCCTGAGACAGCAAGACCAACCCTCCCACTCCTCCTCCTTCTCCTCAGCCTAGTCAATGTGAAGACAAGGATGAAGACCTTTCTGATGATCCACTTCTACTTAATGAAGAGTAAATGTATTCTTTCTTCCTTATGCTTTTCTGAAAAACATTTTAACATCTAAAATATGTGTTAATTGGCTATATTATTGATAAGACTTCTCTGTTCAGTAGGCTATTAGTAGTTAAGTTTTTGGTAGTTAAGTCAAAAGTTATATGCAGATTTTTGACATGTAGGGGAGAGGAGATTGGCTCCCCTAATCCCTGCATTGTTCAAGAGTTAACTGCAATTGAAAATAAAAGCAATGCTAAATTGTTACACAAGTATAAGCAACTAGAATAATTGTTTTTTCTCCTGATGACTACTCTGATGGTTTTCAAATAATAAATTCAATAAAATTTTTTTATTTCAGGTGCCCCTGTTTTAATGGTGGCCCGGGCACATGCTTTTTCCGCTTATAGGGAAATCCATTTTATGACCCTGAATGTCATTATGTACTTATTTTTGAGTGAGTGCATGAGTGAGTTGTGTGAACATGTTTGGGCAATTATCTTTGGTTATTTTTGTGTTCATGTGATTTTCAATGGTTTTAAGTACATATTTTTTTTGGTGCAAATATGTATGTATATAAATGCAGATTTCTGTTTTCTTTTTTATAAAGAGTGAGGCAATCAAATGATTGCTAAAATTGTCAGGCTTTAGTTTGCTAAATGAGACAATGTATGTTACGAGAGCCTTTCACATGGCATGAAGGCCACTTTTTCTTAACAAGTAAAAGGTATGATTACTCCAGATGAATCTCAGTCTCAACTTGAAATGGTCTGGGTTAGAAAAGTACCTGGGACCTGAATTTCTAGAGAAAGTGATTATGTCAAGTCAAAGAATGGGCAGGTTTGCTTTAGGCTTTATTGATTTTCATACTTTGCTTTTCAGAGGTTGGGTCTCAGTAACTTTCAATGTTTCCTTGGTCGGCAAGGAGTTTACTGTAGTTTTTACTTGTTTATTTATCTGAAACTTGTGTGTATGGTATACATATATTAAAAACATGACATATGTTTTGATACATAAACACAAAGTATTTCATATTGGTGGCTCCTTTTGTTTTGGCTTGGCTTGTCTCTCCAGGGACCTGAGCTTGGGGCTGGATGTGAGATGAGTGCTGCGTATCTTGGATATAATCCATAACCTGGTGTCATTTTAGCCTCAGGCAAGTGCTCCCTGCCTGCGAATAAGACTTTGGCCCTGGCTACAGAGGAGCTCCCGCTTGTCAGTGGGGGATCCTCCTCAAACTGAAATCTGGACTTATTCCCTGTGATGATAACAAGAGTTGGAGGACTTCATCGTAGAACACCCTGCATTCTTTTTCCTGAGTGGCTTCTCATCTATGTTGCCAGTTCATTCTCAGAAAAGATTACTGTAATACTAAGATCGTGTTTGTTGAGTCTTTAGTGTGGGCCAGTGTTCTCAGGAGTAGCAACGGTGCCTGCCACATTCCTGTAGCCCCCAAAGGATATCTGGTAATATCTGGAGACAATTCTGGCTGGTAATATCTGGAGACAATTCTGGCTGTTCTGGAGAGGGGAAGACTGCTATGGGCACCTAGTGGCTGGAGGCAGGGATACTGCAAAATAGATTATAGTGCACAGTGCAACCACTCTGCCCCCAACAAATAATTATCTGCCTCAAAATGTCACTAGTGTTGAAGTTGAGAAACCTTGGTGTGTGCTCTGTGTTCCTTTGTTACAGGTGTGTAGGTGCTAATGTCTGCTGCCCATACTGAAAATGAAAGGCACTATGGCTTGGAGTTAAGAAAGGACATGACCGAGGTGTAGACCTGCATGGGAGCCAGGTCTGTCTGCTTCTGGATCCTCAGCTTGAAGCACCACTCTTGTTGCAAACATCCTCAGGCCTGTCTGAGCAGCATCCCAGAAAATGAGCTAGGATTTGCACTCAATGCACCAGCACCCCTTACAGATAGAGGTGAACTGTGATTATACCAGAGAAACCATGTCTACCTTTCTCATCCTGACTCACAGATAGTGGGTACTGTGCAATAAGTCTCCTGTGGTATAAAATTCATCGTTGTTTAGCCCCCTCCTCTTCTCTCTTTCCTTCATCTTACCCTTTTGATTTTGCTTGTGTTGCATCACAGTAATCTTATTCTCCTTCAAAACTACAGCCCCTTCCTGAAAGGGATCTCCAATAGCTGGTGGGTCAACTTCATTCATTGCCTAATTGGATGACTGTCCGTGGGGGTGAGGTTGTTGATTGCTGCCACCAGGCAGACCAGAGAAAAGGACAGTTTCATCTGAAACTGGACATTCAGTTTTAAATTCTTTTGATGAAAAATTCTCTGGTTGTTCAGAGGCTAAGGAAACTAACAAATAAACCTGAATTTAGGTTTCAGATTGTGCCAGGATTTCACAGGAAAGCTTTTCCTCCCACAAAAGCCTTCTGAGGGATTCCTTTATCAGGAGAGAAAAGCATTCCTGGAGATCTCATTAGGTAAATTACTCTCAGATTAACATATTTTATTAATTACCTATTATGAGATCCCAAAGCTAAACAATCATAAAAACAACAGAAAGAAGTAAATATAGTTCTCAGTGACTAATAGATGCCATGAAAGACATAATCAGTAAAATCAATTATATGCATTATTATAATGAAAGGTACAGTTAGTGCTTTAAAAAAATAATTAGGTTATTGGCTAAGAGGAAACTAGCCCCCTTCCATTGCCCTGAAGCAAGCCCCGGAGGCTTCACTCAAAGGCTTTTAGTATAGAAATCATTGGTTTTATTGGCCAGGCAAATTAGTGACTCCATTAGCTTCACCAGTGGGGGACCCTGGTGTTCCTAAGTCACCAGGTGCTTTTGATCTGGTTGCACATTTTCTCAAATGGAAAAATATAACATTGGAACCATGCATCAAAATGTGAACAAAATATATGTCAGGCTACATGGATGGCGAAGGTAGGAGGTGAGGTAGAAGCAGTAAAATAGGTGGTGAAGGTTTGGCTGTGTGTGAGTGGAGTGTGTGCCGCACGTGTGTCCCACCCAGTCCACACGCATGTGTCACTGGAGAGCTGATCAACAACATTTCCAAATCCCTTTCCAGAATTCAACTTGCCTATCTTGCTTTGTATGTAAAAATATTCCACTTAAACCTGTAGCAAAGCCACCTCCAAAGTGCTAATAAATAATATATGCAAAGTTTTTTTTTCTTATCAACATAAAGAAATGTGGAGTTGTGAGGCTGGTGAAAACTCGCATTAGACAATGTAATGAAGCAGGAATTAGAACAGCGTAGTTCCTCTGGCCATTATAAATGAGGACGGCAGCTACCTGGAGAATGGGAAAACTGATGAGTACAGTCTGTTGGGGAGAGCAGGAGGAAAATTTCCCTCAGGAACACATTTCAAATTACTTATTTATGAACTGATGAACTGGGAGACCACCTATCGAGACATCGGTGTAAGCAGTCTGCTGAAGACAGCTACAGAACTCCAGCTAATTGCGCGGCTGTTTTCTCTTAGAACCCCTGCTCTCCAGCTGGGCTTTGGAGGCAAGAAATTTAGGCTCTGACTAGAAGTTACACTTTTCCTTTTTCTTGTCATCATACATATATACATCCATATTTTAATACACTTGAATCGTTTGGCGAGAGCCTGGGACAAGGCTCCTGCCATTGGCCTGGGAGGGGCTGGCGTAGACAGGTTTTGGTGTTAAGGGTCCTGCAGGCTGTGCCCCGCGGTCAAGGTGTGGGAGATGGAGTTCTGGGCTCCTGCATCAGCTCCCCAAGGCGATTGGATCAGGCCATGGAGAGCCGCACCCCTTGCCTCCCCTTTTTGGTCAGCATCTTCCTCTCCATTGCCATGGCAACAGGGCATTGTGTGCTTCCTCTGTGCTGGGCTCTCTGCCATGTTTTACATGAATGATCTCATTTTACCCTCATGAGAACTTCTATGAAGGTAGGCACTGTCGTTATCCCCATCGTATAGGTGAATAAACTGATTGAGAGAAGTGACGTGACTACCAAGGCCATAAGCCCAAGTCCTTCTGATGACGGGCCTCAGATCCCGAATCATCTCCCAGAAGATGGTACATGTTCACTGGGAAGGAAGCAGCCTCTCCCATGGAGGTGGGCGACGGACTTATTCTCTCTGCTGCAGGCAGTGTGCTGAGCAGAAGAGGACCAGCAATCGAGAGATTAAATGTAGTGGGGAGACAGTGTAGCTGATGTTTAAGAGCTACATCTCTCATTGTTATCTTCGCTTTAGAGATGAGGTGACAGGGGCTCATCAAAGTGAGGCAAACTTGCCCTAAGTCACACATGCAAGTGGAAGAACCAGGGTGTGAACTGAGCCTGGGCTGTGAGCTTCTCACCAGGTAGGGAACTTCTTGAGGGTGGTGTCTGAATCTTATTCACCCTTTAATTCCCATTACCTGGCAGTATACCTATAGACATGGATCTTCAAAATGTATTTGCTGAATTAAATTTTCTTTTTTTTTTTTTGAGATGGAGTCTCACTGTATTGCCCAGGCTGGAGTGCAGTGGCATAATCTCAGCTCACTGCAGCCTCTACCTCCCGAGTTCTAGCGATTCTCCTGCCTCAGCCTCCCAGGTAGCTGGGATTACAGGCACACACTACCACATCTGGCTAATTTTTATAGTTTTAGTAGAGACGAGGTTCTACCATGTTGGCCAGACTGGTCTCAAACTCCTGACCTCCAGGTAATCTGCCCGCCTCGGCCTCCCAAAGTGCTAGGATTACTGGCATAAGCCACTGTGCCCAGCCTGAATTAAATTTTCAACCCCAAATTTGGGGAGCTTGTGGACCTCTTGCAAAGGTCCCCATTCCTTGGAAGGCACTGCAATAATAACAGCATGTAATATTGATTGCCCATCTAACTGTGCCAGTTCCTATGCCAATCCAGTACACGATCATCTCCTTCAGTTCTTACAGCCTGATGAAGCAGGGATGTTTATCATAATCTCCAGATTATAGGTTTAGGGCACTGGTGCTCAGAGAGGTTAAGTCAGTTGTTATCAACTAAGATCAAATTGCTGCTCACTGCCTCCCTTCCCAAGGGCCAGTTGGCAATGTCTGGAGATATTTCTGGTTGTCACAGCTGGAGGTGGGGTGCTCCTGGCATCTAGTGGGTAGAGGTTAGGGTCACTGCTAAATCTCTCACAATTCACAGGATGTCTCCTTACACCAAAGTATGACCCAGCCCCAAATATTAATGTTGTCCAGGTTGAGATAATCTGAGTTAAGTGCTTGCCCAAGCTATTAAGTGGCAGAGTCAGATTCAGACTTCCTTGTCCTATTCCAGAGCCTTTGTGCTAATCATATACTACATGATTTTCTCAGTCTCTCCCTCCTCGGGTAGCCTAGAGTTTGCTCAGAAGACAGTTACATTAGAATGTGAGTCACGGCGCAGTAAGTGACTTGGGGGAATGAATAGGGAGCCTCTGATGTGGATCTCTATGCAAAGTAAGTCCTCAATCTCATCTTGAGAGTTGGGTCCTGACTATATCAAATAAGTAAATTTGCCTGCATGGCAATTCTATTAGGGCCAGAGGTAGCTGGAGCCAGGAGGACTTGGGGGAAAGACAACAGGGCTGGGGCATCCCAGGTTCCAGGCTGATGTCAACAATTCCTGGTGTGTAGACTCCGGAAGGCCATGACACTCTCTGAGCCATCATTTCTTTAGGTGTGGGACCAAGACACCTCTGCCCTGCCTCATCACAGAGCTCTTTGTGAAAACCACATGAGAAAATGGCCATCCAAGCCTTTTGAAAAAGTTAAAGGGCTTCATGTTGGCTGAGTTTCCCTTCATTACTTCAACAAATAGGTGATAATAACAGTGACAGTTCACACCACTGCTGTTGAGCATTTACTGTTTCTCAGATACTGCTTTAAGGACTGAAATGCTCCTCTCATTTAATCTTCAAAACAATTCCGTGAGGAAGGCACTAAATTACAAGGGCTCTGTGCTCTTTTCAGTGTTCTGATGTTAAACGTTTTAAAATTCTTAACAATATTTGAACAAGGGGCCCAGTAGTTGCATTTTACATGGGGCCCTTAAAATTATGTGGTTGGTTCCTCCTTTAGAATGTCTGCTTCTAGCTCAGGAGTGTAATAACCTCTCCATAGTGAAGCTATCAGACCTGTTCCATGCCCTCACTGGATTCAGTGGAATAAAGGTTATTGAAATTGATCTGAACGTTTTCTAAGTTTCTTGTTTTCCCTATGAAAAGAAGCAGTGCCATTTGCCATACTTGTCAACCAGTTCCATCCACACATTGATCAGGTAGAAGGAATGGGAAACTAGACCGAAACAACAAAATAATGAAGAACTGGTGAAGTAGTCAGGCTCTGGGTTCAGGTAGCATCACAACAGCCATGATAAAAATAACAGAAATAGTACCGTCCACAGCTTGAGGTCTCCATGTGCAGAGCCCTGTGGCAAGTGTTTGACATGTATGATCTCATTTACTCCTCACAATAATTCATGTGGTACTCATTATTCCTATCTTTCAGATGCAGAAACCATGGCTGACTGGAGTTAAGTGACTTATCCACCATATCATACACCCTGAGGGGGAATCCCAGCTCCATTTGCTGGCTGTAATGCCTTGGGCGAGTAATGCAACCATTCTATGCCTCACTTTCCTTGTGTGTAATTGGGAATATAGCATACTCTATAGAGGTGCTACAAATTTTGAGTTAGGTATTGTAACCAGGAATTTAAGAGTAAGGGTCTTGTCCATTTTGTTTACTGCTATATATACTATATTTTAAAACAGTCCTTGGCACACAGTTGGTGTATCAGTTATCTAGTTGCTATAATACTGTATAACAATCACTCATGAAACTTTAATAGTATATAATAATTACTAATAAAATGTGAGTTTATTTCCTACATGTCAGGAGTCATTTGGGCATTGGCTAGGTCTGCTGATCTTGTTTGGGCTTGCATATGGGTCTGAGGGTCAGCTGGTTATTGTCTGGGTGCCTGGGACTACTTAGATCTGTTCCATGTACCTTTCTCTTCTTTTCTTTCTCTTTTTTTTTTTTTTTTTTTTTTTTTGAGACGGAGTCTTGCTCTGTCACCCAGGCTGGAGTGCAGTGGCACGATCTCGGCTGATGGCAAACTCTGCCTCCCGGGTTCACGCCATTCTCCTGCCCCAGCCTCCCGAGTAGCTGGGACTACAGGCGCCCGCCACCACGCCCGGCTACTTTTTTGTATTTTTAGTAGAGATGGGGTTTCACTGTGTTAGCCAGGATGGTCTCGATCTCCTGACCTCGTGATCCGCCCGCCTCAGCCTCCCAAAGTGCTGGGATTACAGGCGTGAGCCACCGCGCCCGGCCTGTTCCATGTATCTTTCACCCTGCAGAGGGCTAACCTGGCATCATCTCATGGTAAGGGCAGGGTACCAGAATGCACATGGAAAAGCACAAATGCTTTTTCAAGTCTCTACTTGTTTCACATCTGCTAACATCTCACTTGCCAAAGGAAATCGCCTGGCCAAACCCAGAATCAAGCGGAGGGACACGTCACCTTGCCCAAGGTGGAAGAGTGAAGAATAGGGGCCAATTTTGCAACTCGTCTGACACAGTTGACTCAAAACAGATGTTTGTAGAAAGGATTTGAAAGTGTTTAGCACATGATAAAAGATAAAAAAGAGAAAGCTCACAACTTTAATAATAATAATAACTATTATTATCAGATAAGGTATGGTTTTTGTAAAAGGGTTAACCCAAAGGAAGGATTTGATCACACATGGCTTTGGACCAATCATTTCTTTTTGTTGTTGTTGTTATTTTTCCTTAAAGCTTCCAAAATATTTTGGGGTGTCAACTGGATACGGTTTCACTTTTTCTTTTCAAAAGGAATAGAATTTCACAGGTCATAAAAGTAACAGAAAAAAACAGATTCTCCAGAAGCAAGGTAACAACAGGGCTCTTTGAATTTGTCAAAATGAATCCCATTTTCAGCAAATTTCCCCTGATGCTTTTTCGTATTATGGCTCCATTCCTTTGTTTTAATCCAACAGGGAAGGACCCTGGGCTTTGAGAATAGTGATTGTTTAAACCTTCCTTTCAATGACTCCTGACAGCCCCCAGGGTGGAAGCAACTCACCTCCAGCCTGATTTGGCGTGGTACTTCTCGGCATGCCCTGTCTGTCTGCCTCTGGGTGCTGGTTTAGAGCGATAGGCCCCCCACTTGTAATTTCTGGCAATGGGATGAAGAGCCCGGCTTTCACTGAGCATGTGTGTGTCTCTCTGTGAGCTGCCACTGCGTGCGACGACGACAATGACAGGTTGGTTTAATGCAGCTCTTGCCAAGATTAAGGGATTGTCAGACAAGTATCACGGGAGACTGAGGCATTGCTCTGAAAAGTCATTCTGAATTGCTAACTAACAGAGAGCTGGCACTTGGTTGGGGGTGGGTGCCTTGCATTTGAGGAGCTTCAGAGAGGCCCTTAGCAGAGCTGACTTCTCACTCCGATGACAGTTTAGGTGGGCCACTGAGACGCCTCCATCCTGGATTTATGGGCCCCAGGGAGGTCCAGGATTGGACAACAGAGGACCCATCCACCTTGTAAAACGGCCTAGAAAAGTGTATGCTCATAAACATGTGACCGCATTTTTCTGAAGAGATAGGCCATAGCCTTCATCAGAATCTTAAGAGTCTGTGACCCCCAAATAGTGGTCTGCCCTCTTCAGCCCTTTCCTAGTCAGAGGTACTGGCAGGGCTCTATAGGCAAGTTTAAGGGGTTTTGTCTGGACACCAAAATCAATGAATAGTCATTAAAGAGCTTAAAGAATTAAAGTGGTATAGGTAGGTCTGATTTTCAGAAAACTTAATGCTAGCTATAGAATCTAGCTATAGAATTGGGACAAAAATGGCATAGCTATAGCTATTTTCCTCTCATTTCTATATTCTATAAATATATATGCTGAGTGTCTACCCTGTGCAATGGGCAGTGAAGGTAATACTCAGAGATTATGGCAGTTAGAGTGCCTGCCCTCATGGAGAAAAAATAAGCCTCGGGGGACAGCTGAATAATTTTAATACAGCCGGACATCCTAGCACAGCTTGAGAAGTGCTATTTGATCACCCATTCATTTAATTAATACTGTGTGCCCGGCTCTGTGCTAGGCCTTGTGTATATCAGTGAGAGAATGTACAAAGGCAGTGAGGACAAAGGAGTAATGCACCCAGTGTAACCTCCCAGACTCAGGGACAGTGAAGGCTCACACACCATTCCAAATAGGGACAAAGGGGACACACTTATTGGGAGAAGTCCTAGCCTCTCTAAGTGCATTCCCTACGTTGTAGAAATCTGAATATCTTGGACTCATTGTCTGCTTGTTTACGAACAGGCACAGGGACTTGCTGAGGGCAGAGAGTGGAGAGGGCTGCATAGGGTTAATAGTCTAGCTTCTGCACCATGAATTGGATGTCAGAAGTCTTAGGTTTAATCCTGTTTGTACTTCTTACTGGCTGTGTGACCTTGGGCAAGTCACTTCATCTCTGGGAAACCTCCAGAGGGGCCATAGCTTTCATCAGACCACTATTTGGGAGTGAATCCCCCAACCTCATCTGTCAAACAGGGTTAATAATATCTGCCTTGCTGATGTCAAGAGGATATTATGAGTATCCCTGTCCTTCTATCCACGCAGAGACTGCCATTGCTCCACAAAAAAGGGTCTATGGCTCTATTGTCATAGCTGAGGAACTCCTCCAGGCTCTGCCTTCTAACCTCCACTTTGTCTCTTCTTATCAGGTTAAATGTACACTTCATTTCTCTCACCCTCTCTGAGTTCTTTAGATTGGTGAACCAGTTTTACTTTCACTCTGGCATGTTGGCTTCCAGAACACCCACCTTAGTTTTACGTGCCGTTGTTGACACCTGACCCCATAGCCTAAGTAGGCTTCTGGGACCCAAATAGTCCAACTGGAGTCCATATTCCTGGGCTTCTGCCTGTCTGGTAGGGTGACTGGACACAACAAATAAAAGGAGATGTGGAAAGATCATGCCACATTCACCAGACTGTTTCCTCTTTGTGGGCATGCAGGAAGATTACATTTCATAGCCCGCCTTGCAGTAAGTTGGGTCCATGTGGTTGAGTCTGTCCAGAAGAATGTGGGCAGGAGTGATTATACTAGTTCTGGGACTGGACCTCTAAATCCTTATGGGCAATACTCCAGCCCTCTCCTTCCCTGCTGTGGGGACCAGAGGAGGGCTGCCTAAGTCCTGTGGACTGTGACGTGGACAAGAAATAAATCTTTGTGTGCTAAGCTTTTAGGGCTCATCTGTTGTGGCTGTTTGTGTTAATAACCTAATGCAGGTTATAACATACAAAAGTATCTTTAAACTTTAAAACAACTTACATTTTAATGTTTTAATTCTTATGCATATTCCCCCACTGACAAATGATGTCAGATGTTTGTCACATTTTCCTAATTGCTCCCATTTTGCCTCTTTCAGTTGCAAGTGACAGAATCCCACTCAAATGAGCTTTAGCATAAGAAGGATTTTTTTTTATTTTTTTTATTTTTTTTTTTTTTGCGGGGGAGGATGCATATGGAGTTTAGTTTCTAAATGTTATCATGTGGCTTGATTTCCTCCATCTCTTAGCTCTCCTTCCTTCCGATTGACTTTATTTGCACTTATACCTTCTCCTCATGGTGGTTAGTCCCCTGGCTGCTCTAAGCTTACGTCCTACCAACTAGGAAGGGTAACAGAAATCTGAGACAACTTTTTCACCAGTGGTTCCAGCAAATTTCTGGGGAGTACTTTTCTGAGACAGTGTGGGTCACCTGGCCATCCTTGAACTGGCCAGTCACTGTGTATTTACTTGATCAGGCCTAAAACATGGGCTCATCCCTGAAGACTGAGTGGTAATGGCCTACTGAGATTGATGTGGAAATGTTCCTCAAAAGAAAAGTGGAGCTTTAGTATCCAAAAGGGTAATAGATGTTCACTAGAGTCAAATTATAATAATGAAAGGTAATTGTATTAGTCTGGTTCTTCTGAGAGACAGAACCAAAAAGACAGACAGATAGACAGCTAGATATACGGACAGATAAATAGATAGTTACATAGATAAATAGGACAGAGAGATAAGCAGGGATTTATTACAAAAATTGGCTTATATGATTATGGAGGCTGGGAAGTCCTATGACAGGCTGGAGTCCTAGGGGAGCCAGTGGTGTGGCTCAGTCCAAGTCCAAAGGCCTCAGAACCAGGGAAGCTGATGGTGTAACTCTCAGTCTGAGGCGGAAGGCTTGAGAACTAGGGGAATGCTGCTGCAAGTTTTGGAGTCCAAAGGCAGAAGAACCTGGAGTTATGATGTCTAAGGGCAGGAAAAGATTGTTCCAGCTGCACAAGAGACAGAGTAAATCCTCTGCCTTTTGTTCTCTCCAGGCCTTCAGCTGATTGGATGGTGCTGGCACACGCTGAGTGAGGGTGGATCTTCCTTTCTCAGTCCACTGATTCAAGTGCTGATCTCTTCCAGAAGCACCTTCACAGACACACCCAGAAATAATGCTTTACCAGCTTTGCCTTAATCCAGTCAAGATGACACCTAAAATTAACCAACATAATAATAATATTTAATAAGTGCTTGATATGTGTTACAGACAGTGATGTGCACTTTCTGTATATTATCTCGCTTTTACCTCCCAACCTCCCTAGGAGGTAGATTCTGTTATCTTTGGAGTAATATCAACGGAATCATTAGTCACTTTCCATAATATGAATTTGATGTGTATTAATACATACATTTTAGTACAAGCATGATTGCAGGGACTGTACCCATTGGTAATCTAGTTTCTCTTGCAATAGGAGAACAACGGAATTCTAAGGGGAAGACTTGTTTGGCATAGAAATGTTCTTGCTTTACTGGAAACCATCATTCTGAGCAAACTATTGCAAGGACAGAAAACCAAACACCACATGTTCTCACTCATAGGTGGGAATTGAACAATGAGAACACTTGGACACAGGATGGGGAACATCACACACTGGGGTCTGTCATGGGGTGGGGGGAGGGGGGAAGGATAGCATTAGGAGATATACCTAATGTAAATGACGAGTTAATGGGTGCAGCACACCAATATGGCACATGTATACCTATGTAATAAACCTGCACGTTGTGCACATGTACCCTAGACCTTAAAGTATAATAATAATAATAAATTTAAAAAAAAAAGAAATGTTCTTGCTTTAGTGGTTCAGGCCATTCTAATGAACAAGAAATATGGCACTTACACTGTATTTATTCATGGAAAGGTGTTCATATAACACTGTTCCAGTGTCATCTATATGATAGTAATTCATGATCCTGAAAACAGAGCAGTGTATTCTATGTTGTCTCACCACTGGGGAAACCTGACTTTGAAGCTGAAGCTACCAAAATAAGAGTCATAAATCACTAATATTCAAATTCTCCTTCTTCTGACAGGTACAATCTTAACATTTCAGGACAAAGGAGGTGGAAGGAAGCTTGTGTTTAACACCTTCTAAATTCTCCCCTCCAATTGCACATCAGATGGTCTGGCACACTTTGAAGCTGGTCATGGTGGGCAGAGAGAGATGGGGAAAGGGTCACAGCTGGGCTGCTCAGCAAAGTCTCTGTGAGATGGAGACAATAGGAGGGTGTGGAGACAGAAGTGACTCCATTTTGAATGCTAATCTGCCATGTTGACTTCTGATTAGCCCCAGTCCTGTGAATGCCTCTATGTTTCCATGTTGTTTACTTCCCTAGTATAAGAACATGTCAGCCTTGATGTTACTGTACTAATTATAGGCTATGATGCATGTAGCATTCTTGCCTGTCCTGGAGCCTAATTATAGGCTATGATGCACGTAGCATTCTTGACTGTCCATATAATTACCCTCTTTCCTTATGGTCTATAAGCCCTGGGTCTGGGGTAACAGGTTGGAGAACTACCTGTCTTGCAGCTTCCCAAGACCACGTTTCTGTCTGTAAATTCCCCTAACACTCTTTGCTGACAAACTGGATTTGTCTGTCTCTTTTTTTGATTTCTTGGCTCCTTGGCCATTTGGGGGTCATTTTGCATATATGGCCCTTTCATGGAACAGAGTGCCCCTTCACAAATGCATGAGAAGGAAGAGTGCAAACAAGGCAGCTTTCTCTCATCTACAGGCAAGGAGACATTCTCTCCTTGGCAATGAAGGGCGCTCTGTCCTTAGATGTTTGCCACAAATTTTCCCTCTGAATTCCTGTTTGGAGAATTGAATTTAGTGACACTTTGATTAATGCTATTACTATTTTCACTGAAAGAGCAGTAGCTTTTATTTGGGGCCATGTATATTGTGCTTTCCCCAGCTCAACTTCAGAATTCTGGCAGAAGGCAAATGCTGGTTGTGGCAAAGATGGATAGTTGTCCACCAGAAATATGTTATCCTCTTTCCATTCTGTGCACCTAGCTAGCACTGAGTGGCAGTTGCCTGGCCAGGGACTACATTTCCCAGCACCACTTGCATCCATGTGCGGCCACGTGACTAGTTCTCCAATGGAATGTGAGTGTAGCCCTTTTTAGTTGAGTTTCCCAAGAAGTCAGTGTATCATTTCTGCTTTTTCTCTTCCCATCTACTGTTCAAACATAAAGGCCTTCAAGGCCCTATGAGATGCTGTGGGGCTATAAAATGGAAGTAGCCTCGGTCCTGAATCACCACATGGAGAAAAAAATGCACTCCAACTAGGAAAAACCACCTTGGATTGTTACATGAAAAATAAATTTGTATCTTGTAAAGCTACTGAAATGTTAGGGTTTGTTGGTTATAGAAACTAAGTTACCCTAATGAATACATTGGCTGATCAATGAACTAGTAGATAATCCTTATGATTATTTTTTTACAAGCAAAAGAAGATATTTAACTGATAGTTGCTATCCAATCATGATCTCTTTGAAATTCAGTGCTGTAGAGAAATAGTCCTGAGCCTGTTATAAAATAAACAGAAACGGTTAAGCATAATTCAATATTCTTTTGATATAACAGACACCAGCCACTAATGAAGACAGTTAAGTAAATAGTTTTAGCCCAGAACACAATTGTACAGTCCCTGTTTTCAAATATGTTGATCCTTGATAAAGTACCTGGACATTAACCTTAAGTCTTGACACTTACAAACATAATTAAAATCCTTTTACAGTGAATTCCAAAGACAGTTGTAATTATTTTGCTATGCTGAATTTGATTGTATAATATACCAGTGAAACAATCTATTAAATATTTATGGAGTACCTACCATGTACAAATCACTTTGTTTGATTCCCTTCTCATTCATTCAACAATTCTTAACCACATATAACATGCCAGCCACTGTATTTTCTCCGTCTGTCTCTTTCTTCTACAGACATTTACTTATCACCTCCCATAGGCCAGAGAAAATGCTAAATGAGCATTGGAAAGATGAAGAAGTCCTCAGGCCACCATATTAAAAAACACTATGACACCAAAAACATTTTAAAATTGTGATAATGTAACATGCATATTAGGGGAGTGAGTGTGCTTATAGGCCCATTTTATCATCCCTTTCCCACATGGATAGGTCTTCCAGCTCTTTCCAGTCATGTCTGAAGAACTGTGTCCTGCTGGGATCCCATAGGCCTTTCCTTTGTTACCGCTATATAATATAGTTTCCTTTTTTCCGGCCTTTCTTTATTGATCACTTATATAAATTACTATCAACAATTTTGAAAACCTATTCTCTGATCTGCTTTTATTCCTCTTCTGTAAAACCAGTCATAATGCAAACTTTCAGGACACAGAAAACATTCTAGGGGGTTGGGCATTTGAACCCTAGCCCCCTGGATTCTACAGTCTCTTATCAAGACTTGTACAACCTGGAAACATTCCTCATTCTAGACCTGCACTCTTCAATGTGGTAGCCATTGGCTACATGTAGTTACTTAGATTTAAATTTAAATTAATTAAAATAAATGTAACAAACAACTCAGTTCCTTGCTTGCACTAGCCACATTTTAACTGCTTAATAGCCATATGTGTCAAGTATATGGCTACTGTATTTGATAGCACACAAATATGAAACATTTTCATCATTGCAGAAAGTTCTACTGGACACTGCTGCTCTAGATCATTGGGAATCTAGAGGGTGAATTTGTTTAGAAAGAATAGCAGGGAAGCCTGTGAGTAGTAATAGGGCCTCAGCATCTGGGCTGAGAAGTATTTATTTTTTACTTGTCTCTCTTCTTGCTAGAAACCGTAAGGGTTTTAGAGCAGGAATTACCTCATGCACGTTTGTATTGCTAGTATTTAATATGTAAGAGACTCTCAGTAATGTTTATTGAACAAATGAAGGAAGCCTAGTTATAAAAGGACAATTTGGCGGAGATGATGGGGAAGTACAAAGAGTTGGGTGCTGACATTGCTGAAGACCTTCCTGTCCATGCATCATGAGGACTCATCCTAGAGAGAGGGCCAAATCAAATGGTTTTAGGGCAGAGAGGGGAGAAAGAGAGAAACCAGACACTAGACAGCATTTGACATGATTCCAATTTCCTCAAGTTTATTAGGTCCCTGGCTGCTAATCTGATAAATTATTTGAAGTGACCACCTGGGTAAACTATCTTAGGATCTATGTTGAATTTGTAAAGAGTAGGCACTTGATATTTGTTGAATGAAGACATTTCATCAATATATTTATTTCTTTGCTTCTTATCTCCCAGCCCTGCCATCCACCCTTCTACTCAAGAGATTGTAAGCTTCATGAGGGAAGGGTCTATGTCTATTTTGCCTATAGTTGCATAGTTAACACCTGGAATAGTGCCTAATACATCATAGCTTAATAGATATTTCTGGAATAAATGAAGAAAGGACCTTTAATAACTTAACCCAAAGAACTTCATAAAGGTGGAAATTTCAGAGATTGTGGCAAGAGAGTGGCGGAAAATATTTTGGGGACAGGAGAGACAGTTTTGAGGACTCTCAACCTCAGAAATGATTCAGACTCTGCCTCTGCACAGGACTAGGCCAGCCCTCAAAAATGACGTGCCTCAATTTGAAATCTAAATCCCCACAGGACTCTAGGTGCATACAAGGCATAATACTAAATGGCTGATAACTTATGACATTTATTTCCCCACATGAAGAACCACAGGGCAGCATCTCTTGTCAGAAGGGAAACAGATTTGTCAGAATGGAAACCAGCCATCATATGCTCTTTGTATTTTTATGATTTATGTATTTATTGGATGCACCTACCACTTAACAACCTCTGGGTGCTTTTATACATTTCATAGACAAAAGACAGACACTGCTATTGTGGATTATGAGGTGGAGAGGAACCAACAAAATAACATCAATAAATCCCAAAGCACATCATAAAATCATCAAATGCTACAGAAGCTGTACATAGGCTCCCCAAGTAATCAGACACCTAAATGGAAAACTCTGAAGTCCTGAGCTTTAGTCCTGGCTCTGGCACCTATTAGATTTCACAGCCTCGAGTATGTTTCTTCATCTCTATTAGGTTCATTTTGTTCATCTCTAAGATGGGCATAATAACAATAATTGCCTGGTTTACCTTGTACAGTTGGAATATCTAATGCTCACAACTGCTTGTGAATCACAGAGAATAACCAAATGTAATAGACCAGCATTTTTAAATTTTATTTTTTATTTTACTTTAAGTTCTGAGATACATGTGTTAAATGTGCAGGTTCGTTACATAGGTATATATGTGTTATGGTGGTTTGCCGCACCTATCGACCCATCATCTAGGTTTTAAGCCCTGCATGCATTAGGTATTTGTCCTAATGCTCTCCCTCCCCTTGCCCCTCTCCCTGTAACAGGCCCTGGTGTGTGATGTTCCCCTCCCTGTGTCTGTGTGTTCTTATTGTTCAATTCCCACTTATGAGTGAGAACATGTGGTGTTTGGTTTCCTGTTCCTGTGTGTGTTTGCTGAGGATGATGGTTTCCAGCTTCATCCATATCCCTGCAAAGGACATGAACTCATTCATTTTTATGGCTGCGTAGTATTCCATGGTGTACATGTGCCACATTTTCTTTATCTAGTGATAGACCAGCATTTAAAAAAAAATAACTCCACGACAGTGTGAATTTGAATTTCCTTGCTGCTGTCTGTGATGTAAGCCTCCAAATGATGTTTTGCTATTACTCTGTTGCGATCTTCCTAAGATGTGATCCCTGATACCTACTTTGAGAGCATTGGTTGTTATCTTTCGTTTGGAATTTCTTTTTCCAATAATTCTCAATTGCTAAGATCTTCCAGAGAAATTTGAGTTTAGCCTCTGGGTTCATATATGAACTAAAAGAGATAAAACACAAATAATCATACAAATAGCTACCATTTATTAAGTCCTAACTGTATGTCTGGCATCATGATTTTATACACATCAACTTAGGTAATCCTGAAAAAAACCGTATGAGTGTATACTATTAGTATTCTCATTTTATGAATGAAGAAACTGAGGTTTAGAGATGGAAAGTAACTTGACCAAAGTAACATAGATAATAATTGGCCAAGTCAAAAGTGGAGCCTAAAACCTGTGTTTTTAACCTTTACTTTAAAATGGCTGCTTCAATGAAACAAAAATTTCTGCCTCTTGACTCTGGTTGAATGAGGTTTTGACGTGGTATAGTATTATACATAAGGAACACAGGTGGTATAAGGTGATAGTACAAAATTGAGCATTCTAGTTTCTAATTTTGTTTCTACACAGATGTTTTCTGTCTTTGGTTACATAATTTAATCTCCACAGTCTTAGTTTCTTTATCTGGAAAATGGCAGCTCATTTGCAATTGAAGTTGATTAGATAATCTGTGGTCTTCTTTATTTCTAATACTCTTAATCCTGTCTTTAAAGAAAAGCAAAACATAAACACTCAATTCTTTTATTATGCCAGAATATTGGCAACATGAGTATTAATTTTTTAGGTTTCAGTGGAATTGGATAAACCTCTTTTATCTGAGAGATTAACTTGCTCTATCACTTGGACAATTTTAATAGCCACCAACAGGTCTTCCTGCTTCTACTCCTGTTCCTCATGGATAATTCACCACCCACATAGCTGCTCCCCTTTATACCAAACATCTCAGAAGAGTTTCCTGTATTGTACCCACCATGCTCTTCTTTCTCTCTAATCATATTTTAATCTCCACCTCTCTCCATTGAGACTTTCTTGTCAAGGGCACAGCAGCCACCATCTTGTTGTAATCAAGGACCGGTAATCAGACCCCATTCTACTCTACCTATTAGCAGCATTAGTCACAGTTGACTACTCTTTCTTCTTGAAATACTTTCTTCACAGAGCTTCTGCTATGCTGCAGTCTTCTAGAGTCGCTCCTATCTCACTCCCTATCCCTTCCCAGTCCCATGAGCTGGCTCTGGGGATCTTCCTTTAGCCCTCTTCTTTTTTCCTTCCGTTCTCACTCCCTAGGTAGATGGATCTAGTCCCATGGCTTTAAATGTCATCTCTATACTAATGATTGACAAATTTATATTTCTAAACTTAATATTTCTCTTGAGTTCCAGACTCATACAATTGTTCTCTTCGTAGGTCCATTTGGCTATCTATTAGGCACCTCTAATTTCACATGGCCAGACCTCTTGATTTCCCTTTCACCTCCAAGAAAATTCCCATATCTCCCCCAGTGTGTCCTGCCTCAGAATAGATCACCACCATTCCCTCAGTTGTTTAATCCCCAAATCTAGGAATCACCCTTGATGACTTCTTTTTTCACAGCCCCAAATTTCTCATCTCGGTCAATACATACTATTGCCTCTACTTTTAAAGTTTTTACCCTCCATCAGAGATAAAGAAATAATCCTTATTTTAATACCCTTCAATTTTATCATGTTAAGGCCAGTAGCTACATGACCGGAAAGCAGACATTAGCCGCTAGTATAAATAATTTAGGAAATTCAGAGGTGAAATGCTTTTAAAGCTTTGGATAATGTGAAGCACCCATGTCATTTCATGCAGATCCAGGTATGATGGCGATGACAGGAGAAGCTGGACCTCATTTTTCTCTTTGCCACTTTCAGGGTGTTGTTCTAGTGTTACAATATCATTTTTGTTGGGGAGGTCTGGGAAGTTTTGAAACACTCATGAGTTCACAGGTTGGATTACAGAAGAGGCGTGTACTTAGGAAAGTCAGGGGAAGCTTCATGGGAAAAGTGGGACTTGAATTAGCCATCGTATACGGATTAGAATCAGTTAAATACAGAGGAAAGGGAGAGCATTATAGTGAGAGAGCAGTTCTGGGGACAAAAGTACAAAATGTGGGGACACACAAGTAATATTTGGGTAGCCCATGGGAGAAACAGGAAGGCTAGAGTGAAAGGTTTAAACAAGTTATAGGCAAAAAGATTCATGTTGTAGATTTGATTTTTTTAACCTAATATTTATGGAAAATGTGCTACGTAAGTAAGCACTGTACTGTTTATATGTGCTATTTTAATTATCACACCTACACTATGATATGGGCGCTATTTTTAATCTCATTTGCACAAGAGGAGACAGTGGCTCAGGGAGGTAAAGAGACTTTTATAAGATTATGTAGCAAGGACTAGAACTGGGGCACGAACCCAAGCATTTGGATCCTAGAGGCCTTGCTCATGACCACTATGAAGTCTCTTGAAGCCATTTTAATGCAAGATGGTAAAGGTGTAGAGGGAGTAGAGCTTTGAGATATGCAGAAGGTGCTTTTTTGGTTTTTAATATTTTTAGAAAGAGACAAGCTTAGATTATCTTCAGCAATAGAGTTTATTTCAAAGGTTACTGACCCTCAGTGAACAGGACATCCTAGGTTCTAGTACTTTCAAAACTGGGATATATTCTATGCTCCATGGAAACCTGACAGCTAGCTCAAGTTGCCTCACTCATAAGTCATACCTTCCAAGAGACAGGATCTAAATAAGCCATTTGTCACTACCCAGTATGAGGTATCTCTTGGGTGGGGTTTCATATCAAGGCAATGGAGGCATTCTTTTTTTACTTTGTTTACATTCAGCCTATAACATAGATTCTTAGTCAATTGGTCCCTGTCTACACAGGCACCAGAGTAACCTCATGACAGCAGTTGCAGAGACAGTGCCTACATGGGGACAACAGTAAACATCAACGTGTCAAGGAGGCCAATGGAGACCTTGGGGACAGAGGAGGTGGCTGTCGCTCTACTCCAGCTGATTTCCACGTGAAAATAGAGGATCAAATGATCTTCAAGAGATGTAAAATTCCTAGGAAATTTCAATACTGACAGCTAACTAAAATGAAAACAATAGCAGCACACTTTGGGTCAAAGAAAATAGACCAGGTTGCTACTGCTGACTTGAGCATGCCTCCTTGGTATTGGGAGATATTTGGCTTTTCAGAAATGGCTTTGGGATTAGTTTTTCTGGGAGATTTCTTAATGGAACATTGAAGAGTGACTTAGAGATCAGGTTGGCTTGCCCTTGGAGACCAGATCAGATGTATCCAAAAACTTCCTGGTCTTAAAGGCCACCAATTCTCCTGCATCCTTCAGCCCACCTGAACTCCTGAATACCTCTCTGTATCTGAGGGTGTTTGGGGAGTCTGGAATCGATGATCCAGCAGTGGGTTTCAGGAACATCACATCTGGAATGAATCACCCTTCACTTGCTTTAACAGATCAGTCTTCAGGGGAAGCTGATTGCTCCCTTATCCATATCATACTTTGATTCATTTACACTTAAGTGATGAAAGTGGTCTTTTCTCCTCTCTCTTTAAATGGATACTAACCCAGGAGGGGCTTGGGGAGTTGTAAAGGGGAGTGCTAACTCCTTGGACACACTCTTGGTTGCATTCTCAAATGGACCACTCAATTAGGGGTAATATTTCATTGACTTGTGTGTCCGATGGCTCCATAGCCAGCAGTGTTTTCTAAATGGTCCTGAGGCAAGACTTTGGGCTTCAAAATCAGCCCTTCATCACCTTTATATCTGGGGCTGCATTGGCACAGCCTGGATTGAAGCAGTTATTTCTATCCGGGAAACAGCCACAGTCTCAGGCTGGGAGGTCTTGACTTGGACTGGCCTCACTTGTCAAAAGAATGGGTATTCTGATGCTTTCTGGGGCTGGGCTCATACAGCTTCCTTATCTGCATGTTGAATCTGACCACTCTGGTACCTGTCTGGGTTTTCTATAAGGGAAAAAGATGGTTGGATTGGAAAACAAATCAGGCTGTTTATGTGTTTTCCTGGATCTGCATAGAAAGTATAAATGTGTTCAGATAAACAGTCTTATTTTTCCAGAAACCTCGACATCAGGGAATGCTACAAATTAGTCTTAGCTTCAAGGGTGAAGCAAGTAGTTGCTTTGCTTGATATTTACATAAATAGCACAGGTTTTGTTAAAGAAATTTAATGCAACGGCAGGAGATGTGTGTGTGTGTGTGTGTGTGTGTGTGTGTGTGTGTGTGCTGTAGTCCCTAGGTGCTATAGGAACCAGTGGAAATTTTCCTAGTGACTGGAAGAATACATGATGTAGATGACCTTTCACTCTAATTATAAAACTGGCTTGAACGAATCTTTGGAAGTAATTGATTGGGCTCAGTGATAAAATGTTCTCAGTAGATCAACCTCTAACTTCCTTATACGATTACACCTTTGTCTTTGAATTAGTGGCTGGGTATAATTTGTAGCAAATACAAAGTTTGGAAACTAGCTGCCCATTTGAAAAATGTGGAAGACTATATGGCAGCCTGGTAAGGACAGGAACTACAGTGATAATTGCTAAAATAAATTAAGGATACTAGTTACAGTCACCTTTCTGATGACATTGATACACTTTATTTCTGTGAACTCTGGATTCTCACAACAACACTACAAGGTGGTTGCCATTATTATCCCTATTTTAGAGATGAGAAAGCTGAGGCATGGAAAGGCAAGTCACTTGCTCAAGGCCACAGCAATAGAAGAAATAGCAAAGCTTAGATTTGAAAATGGGTGACTTAATTTCAGAGTTTATTTTCCTGCCTACCTTGCAATCATGCATTTCTCATTCTATAGTTGAATACCTGGGTCTTGTACCGTACTTGGCACCCAGTAGGCACGTTGGATAAATTCTAATGCTTAGATAAAGCCCATTAATAGACGTGAATTTCTTTATAAATGTCAGTTTTTATTGTTACTGTTGATGCTACTACTATTATTAATTGCAATAGCTGCTATTTATTGGACTCTTTCTCTGTGTCAGGCACCAAGCTGCACTTAGCATGTGTTATTTCATATCTTCCTCATAACAATTCCATGTTGCAGATAGGAATGCTGAGGTATTGAGTAGGTAATTATTTAAATTTATAAGTCATTCTACTAGAAAAGAGCAGTGTCAGACAGAAGTCTGTTCTTACTCCAGAGCTGGTTGCCTTGACTATCAAGGCAATAAAATGTGATTGCCATGAAAGCTTCCATTTTCTTCTTCTGTCAAAAAATACTCTTCTTGGGGTTTTCTAGGGATAAAAACAAAGCAAAACCACAATGATGATAATAATCCAAAAATAGAGTTTGAGATATCCTCAAATGACAATATTTACTGGATAATAAAGGAAGTCTTCATTATCTAGGGCAGCTTTTTCCAACACTTCAGTCCTTGCACATGGTCTTTATGATTTTTTACCATATCTAAATTTCACGTAAACTTTTAATGTTTTTCTATATTAATTAACTTTTGAAAACTAAAGTATGTTGATGTTCAATAGTCTTTTTTTTTTTTTTTTTTTTTGAGATGGAGTCTCGCTCTGTCACCCAGGCTGGAGTGCAGTGGCGTGATCTCGGTTCACTGCAACCTCCAGCTCCCGGGTTCAAGCAAGTCTTCTGCCTCAGCCTCCCAAGTAGCTGGGATTACGGGCATGTACCATCATGCCCAGCTAATTTATTTTTATTTTTATTTTTATTTTTAGTAGAGATGGGGTTTCACCAGTTGGCCATGCTGGTCTTGAACTCCTGGCCTCAAGTGATCCTCCTGCCTTGGTCTCCCAAAGTGCTGGGATTACAGGCATGAACCACTGCACCCAGACTTAATAGTCATATTTTGAGAGTTTTTGTATATATATATTTATTTATTTCTAGAATACATTAAAATAACAACATGGCTCATAAATAGAAAATCTTTTCTATATACTAGATAGTAATGTTTGCTATTTTTTACTGTTTTCTCTTTAGAAAATATCTGTACTACTTCCTAAAGTCATCTTTCACACCTCCTCTAGTTCACTTACTACTCCATGGGATACAAAGATGTACAAACACTCTCTACAGGCAAATAAACCAACCTCAGGCTCATCGATGAAGCAAGAAATAGTTTTGGAGTCAGGAAAGGGGACTATGTATGCTCTGAATGGCTGCCACTCAACTGTCCCTCAAGGAGCTCCCACTCAGAGAAGGCAAGATATGTGACACAATGATGGTCCAGTTAGCAAGGAGGGAGTTCAGAGCAGGCAGATGACTCTGTGGGCTGGATAGGAGAGCTTATTGTAGGAACTTTCTTTGGAAGGATGCACAGGATTAGCGTGGAGAGGTGAAGAGGGCACATCGAAGCGCCTGTAGGGGCCCAGCTCTCTGCTGTCTAGTCGCCGACTTCCAGGTCACACCCCACCACTTCAGGGTATGCAACTGTGAGCCAGCGTCACAAATCAGATCTGAATAGGGGTCTTCATGGCCAAGGGGTCAGGTTTCAGGTCCTCTCACCTCCAAGTTACACTGAAGCTGACCTTTTTCCACTTTTGCTGTGTTTTCTTAAGTCTATAGCACATACCATCTGTTTTCAATTTTGTGAAGAGTAATAAAAGAATCTAATCCAGTTTTTCAAAACACTTAATTTTTTTAAGGAAAAATAGTCTCTTTTTTCATTTTAGTACTTCAGCGTTTAACAAATGATATTTACTTACCAACACAATTTATGCAATTTCCCACCCTGATAATGCATCTGTTTTTCTCCTGTCCATTTTAACACTTACTGTCTTCTTGCGTTAGCTATTAAAGACTGAGAGGAGTTAAAGATGTAAGCCAAAGCAGGTAATTTCCTAAAGAGAAGAAATGTACCTTAAATGATTTCTCTTTGCTAGACCTGTTTGTTCTCCCTTCATTTGGCTCTTTCTGAAGAAAATAAAGTAAAATAAAATAAAATAATAAAGTTGGGGTTGTGGGGGGTAATTAGCAACAAATATCTTTTGGATCCAAAGAGGTGACAGGAAGCCTCTGAAAGCAAGATTTTTAAAACAAACCCTAATTTCCTAGAAGCAGAGTTGGAGCTGGCCTTTTAACACTGTTGCACATTAATGCAGCTTCCCCTCCCATTGGGAAGCTGAGGCCCAAGTGGCAGTCATTACTGCCAGTAGCACAGTTACCCAGTGGATTCCCGGAAGGGCTCACTTGCAAGATTCAGTCAGATCATCTCCAGGGGCTTCCAGTTCCCATCATCTCAGGAATGAAATATTCAGTATCATCTTTCTGCACCTGATGCTGCCATGGATTAAATTCTTGCTGCCTCCATTACTGGGGAAGCCAAGAGGTTGGGCTGTAGTGATTGGATATGAAGTACTTAATGACTGCACTTGGCTAAGAAAAGGCAAGAAAAAGAACCGGCCAGAACCACAGTCTCTACTGGTGGTTATGGGCTGGAGAACAGACCCTCCAGAGATGCTGTAGCTCAAGAATAATTTAGTTGAAAGACCTCCCCAACCTGCCCCAGACACAGCATATTTTGAAATCACATGCCCCATGACCTGTAGTCACCCACGATGACAAACAAAACTGTACAAATGGTGTTAGTTTTAACCTGGACAAGTTCACATTGGTTCCTCTATTCTTGTCTGCTCCTCATAGTTTCCCCAAACTGCTGGGTTCAGTCTTCTGCTTTTTACTCTCTATTCCCTCTTTTTACATAAACTCCCATCAACTATGAGCTATGAGCATGAGTCCCAAATCAACTGCTTTGGTGCGATTATCTTCTTGGCAATATTAACTGCTTAATAAACAATTATTGAATGGTTGAATGAATGAGTGAATTGAATTCATGAGTTCAATTCACTCACTGACTTACGAATGTCATTTCCACCAAGCTCTAGATTTACATTTCCTTCCTTCCTTCCTTCCTTCCTTCCTTTCTTTTTTTCTTTTTTAGACAGAGTCTTGCTCTGTCACCCAGGCTGGAGTGCAGTGGTGTGATCTTGGCTCACTGCAACCTCCACCTCCCGGGTGCAAGCAATTCTCCTGCCTCAGCCTCCTGAGTAGCTGGGATTACAGGCGTCCACCACCATGCCCGGCTAATTTTTTAAATTTTTTTTTATTTTTAGTAGAGATGGGGTTTCACCATGTTGGCCAGGCTGGTCTCGAACTCCTGACCTCAAGCAATCCACCCACTTCGGCCTCCCAAAGTGCTGGGATTACAGGCGTGAGCCACTGCACCTGGCCTAGATTTACATTTTCAACTGCTTATAGAACATCTCTTCCTGGATGTCTATGGTAGGCTGAATAATGACTCCCCCAAATATGTCCATGTTTTAATTCCTGGAAGCTGTGAATGTTACCTTATATGGCAAAAAGTACTTTGCATAGATGATTGTGTTAAAGATCTTGTAATGGGGAAAATTATCCAGGCTTAACTGGGCAGGACTGATGTAATCACAAATATCCTTGTAAGAAAGACGCAAGAGGTGTTAGGGACAGAAAATAACTATGTGATGATGGAAGCAGAGGCTGGAATGATGCAGTCCAAGCTCAGAAATGCCTGCAGCTTCTAGAATCTGGAAGAGGCAAGGAATGGATTCTGCCATGGAACCTTCAGAAGGAACTAGCCCTGTCAATACTTTGATTTTATCCTCTTAAGACTCATTTTGGACTTCTCATCTCCAGAACTGTAAGAAAGCAAATTTGAGTTGTGTAAAGCTATGTTTGTAGTAATTTGTTACAGCAGCAATAGGAAGCTCATACAATGTCTTATGACAACTCTAACAACAAATTTGCTATCCTCTTTCCCAAATCCCTGCCTTCAACCTCAGCTAATGGCTGGCTCATTCTCAGTTTCCTGGACTAGGCACTTCTGAGTCTCCTTCAGTTTTTCCCTGTCCCTTTCGCTTTCAGTCAGGACTGCCAGATTCTGTTTATTCTGTACCTGGAATGTTTGTCAATCCTATTCCTTTTGTTTGTGTCTGTAGCAATGTTGCCAGTAGCTAGAACACTGCCTGGTATATTGTAGGCTCCCACTAAATGTTGAATGAATGTGAGTTGCTACTCTCCTTTTCTGATTCCTTTTACATGTTCTTTCCATGGTGTATAATTTCCATTATGAAATCTCTGAGGGCGGGGCAGTGTCTTTTCCCAGCATTCCATCCAGGTCTGGAACATACAGTCACCCGTGCATGGTGAATGAATACATGGACTTACTCCTTGTCACCACCCAATTATTGAAAAATGTCAGCAGTGGTGACAAGCACCAGGTAGGGAGTCAGAGGGCAGTGGGTTTAGATCTATGCTCTGTAATTATCTCTCTCTCTCTATCTCTCTCTCTCTGTCCATATATATATATATATATATATATATATATATATATATATATATATTTTTTTTTTTTTTTTTCTGGCAAGATGCAAATCTTTTCAAATCATGGTTTGCTCCACTATAAAATGGGGACTCACCTTTTGGGGTGTTGTGAGGAATACACCGGGGTCTGGCTCAGGGTATCAGATAGCTGATAAGTATGAGTTCACATCATTATTTTCCTGTTGACAGAGAGCACCCAGGTTAAGTTCTCTTTATTAGCCAGTGGCTGGAGTGTGGCTGCAAATGCGCATTGAGGGGATGCAAGGGCACTGGCAGAAAAGGAGGGCAAAGAATGGGGATGGGGAAGGCAGAGAGGCAGGCGTTTTGCATTCAATAATTGAGTACAATTTGGAAACACTTGCCTTGTGTAGCCCTCAGCTGCCTGTGAAATTCATCTGAATCTTGTTCCGTTGGCCTATGGGGTATTTTCAAATACAAATTAGGTTGGCCAGAATTCCTTTTCTGCACCAACTCTCCTGGGTGCAACTTAGAGGTTATTAAGATGCCTAATAAAAGGAGAGAGCACATTTAATAACATTACCATCAGCTCCACGGAGCTGAGCTATGCGGGCCCACAGTGCCCCAGAGCCCACAGCCTCCCCCCACTGGTGCACTTGCTTAGAAGAGGCCCTATAATTATCCACATTTAAAAAGCACCATTAAATCCATCGAGGCAGTCATGTCCCATTTGCAGGGCCTTTCTGCCCACATTACTCGGGAGACCCAGGCCCTAGCTTCTTTTGGCGGGAGGAAAGGGGGAATAGATGGAGGTTCTTGGGCTAAAGTGATGGCTGGTTAAATTCACAAAATGGCAGTCTGCTAAGTGCCATTGTCATTCTTGCAGGAGCTTTTCCTCCCTTTATTTTGTGGATTTATTTAGCAAACCTTTCGTGAACACTTGCTAGGTTTCAGCACCATACCACCACTTCTCATACGGGAATCCGTTGAATCCTCCCAAGGACTCCTGCAGTAGATCAGTGGTTTTCAACTGGAAGTGTGCTGGGAGACATTTGGCAGTGTCTGGACATGGTTTTGGTTGTTACATCCTGATTGGGGAGGTGCTACCAGCATCCAGTGGGTAGAGGCTGGGGATGCTGCTTAACACCCTGCAGCACACAGGCAGGCCCTTACAGCGGTGAATTGTCTGGCCTGAATGTCAGTAGTGGTGAGGCTGAGCAACCCTGCAGTTGATGCTGCTCTTTTCCTCCTTTGCAAATGAGGAAACCAAGGCCCCAGAGAGGTTAGGAGATTTCTGTGGTGTCACACAGCCAGTCAGTGGTAGATCCATCGGAACCGGAGCTCTTTATTTATTTATTTATTTATTTATTTATTTATTTTTCCATGTCTTTTTTTGTTGTTGTGGTTGTATTTTAGAACTTTTTTTTAAAATTATACTTTAAGTTTTAGGGTACATGTGCACAATGTGCAGGTTTGTTACATATGTATACATGTGCCATGTTGGTATGCTGCACCCATTAACTCGTCATTTACATGAGGTATATCTCCTAATGCTATCCGTCCTCCCCACCCCCCACCCCACAGCAGGCCCCAGTGTGTGATGTTTCCCTTCCTGTGTCCAAGTGTTCTCATTGTTCAATTCCTACCTATGAGTGAGAACATGTGGTGTTTGGTTTTTTGTCCTTGCGATAGTTTGCTGAGAATGATGGTTTCCAGCTTCATCCATGTCCCTACAAAGGACATGAACTCATCATTTTTTATGGCTGCATAGTATTCCATGGTGTATATGTGCCACATTTTCTTAATCCAGTCTATCGTTGTTGGACATTTAGGAACCTGAGCTCTTAACATTGTGCTAGACTGCCTCCTGGTGTCTCACTCTGCACTCATTCTTTTCAGCTGAGCTCCCTCCCTGCCCCTGCTCTAGACTAGCTGTGAGCCCTCAGGAGCCACTTACAGTTATACTTACTGGGAGTAATATGATGCTTGCTCTGGTGGGAGATATTTCCTATAAAGAAGATTCCTTTGAGGAATAGAAAATTGTCACATATTTTGAATAAATCAATAACCTATGCAAGAGTGGAGTCTACGTGTAGCTTAAATCTGTGTGAAATGTGAACAAAGTGCTCGTTTCCAAGCACATGTCTACATGCAGTTTTCACTTTAAATAAAGAGCCTCTAGTGGTTCTAGAAGCAGTGATCTGTGGGAGGAGCATTTGGTGGCCTGGAGCACAGGAGATGTGGTGTGCTGGAAATGATGGGGATCTGGAATCAGGAGCCCTGCCCTGTTTTCAACCTCAGGGCCTTTGCACAACAGCTCCCTCCCTCAGGAACACTCTTCTTTCCTCTCTTCTCCTGGTTCTTTCCTTTTCCTCCTACAGGTCTCATCATTAAAAATAATCTCCTACTGGGAGGCTTTGCCCAGATCTTGGTTAGGCCACTCCTATGTGCTTCCTGACATGCTAACTCTTTCAGATCGGTTCTGTCCAAAAGGAATATAATGAACTGCATATGTAATTTTAAATCTTCTAGTGGCCATGTTATAAAAAATAAGGGACAGGCAAAATTAATCTTAATAATCTGTGTTACTTAACCCATATGTCCACAATACAAACATTTCAATATATAATCAAATTATACAAAAACTGTGAGTGAGATATTTTACATTGTTTTTTAACAAGGTCTCTGAAATCTGGTTTGTGTTTTATACTTACAGTTCATCTCAACAGTGAAATGTATAGTCCTCATAAAACAGCAAAGCTACGTTTAGTAGAAAAATACACTGTATAATTTTTAAATTTAAATATGAATGAATTAAAATTAAATTTAAAAATTCAGTTCATCAGTGTCACAAGTCACATTTGAAGTACTCAATAATCACACTAGGCACTAAGTCCTAGATTAAAAATTATGTTAAATTGAAGCTGCCTGTTAATTTGTCTTTTACTCCCACTAGATCATAATCTCATTGAAGTCAAGGATTATGTCATGTTCACCAAATTTGTCAGTGTCTGGCACAGATTTTGGCATATATCAAGCACTCAATAAATACCTGTTTGATGGCATGAGAGAATACTTCTAATCCTGGTGCCTTTGTAACCTTGATAGTTCAGGTTCTTCTCTAATAAAGTGAGATATTTGGAATTTTTGAAAATCCGTTCCACTGGCTTCATCCCTGGGATGCAAGGCTGGTTCAATATATGCAAATCAATAAATGTAATCCAGCATATAAACAGAACCAAAGACAAAAACCACATGATTATCTCAATAGGTGCAGAAAAGGCCTTTGACAAAATTCAACAATGCTTCATGCTAAAAACTCTCAATAAATTAGGTATTGATGGGACATATCTCAAAATAATAAGAGCTATCTATGACAAACCCACAGCCAATATCATACTGAATGGGCAAAAACTGGAAGCATTCCCTTTGAAAACTGGCATAAGACAGGGATGCCCTCTCTCACCACTCCTATTCAACATAGTGTTGGAAGTTCTGGCCAGGGCAATCAGGGAGGAGAAGGAAATAAAGTGTATTCAATTAGGAAAAGAGGAAGTCAAATTGTCCCTGTTTGCAGATGACATGATTGTATATCTAGAAAACCCCATTGTCTCGGCCCAAAATCTCCTTAAGCTGATAAGCAACTTCAGCAACGTCTCAGGATACAAAATCAATGTACAAAAATCACAAGCATTCTTATACACCAATAACAGACAAACAGAGAGCCAAATCATGAGGGAACTCCCATTCACAATTGCTTCAAAGAGAATAAAGTACTTAGGAATCCAACTTACAAGGGATGTGAAGGACCTCTTCAAGGAGAACTACAAACCACTGCTCAAGGAAATAAAAGAGGATACCAACAAATGGAAGAACATTCCATGCTCATGGGTAGGAAGAATCAATATCGTGAAAATGGCCATACTGCCCAAGGTAATTTATAGATTCAATGCCATCCCATCAAGCTACCAATGACTTTCTTCACAGAATTGGAAAAAACTACTTTAAAGTTCATATGGAACCAAAAAAGAGCCTGCATCACCAAGTCAATCCTAAGCCAAAAGAACAAAGCTGGAGGCATCATGCTACCTGACTTCAAACTACACTACAAGGCTACGGTAACCAAAACAGCATGGTACTGGTACCAAAACAGAGATATAGATCAATGGAACAGAACAGAGGCCTCAGAAATAACGCCGCATATCTACAACTATCTGATCTTTGACAAACCTGAGAAAAACAAGCAATGGGGAAAGGATTCCCTATTTAATAAACAGTGCTGGGAAAACTGGCTAGCCATATGTAGAAAGCTGAAACTGGATCCCTTCCTTACACCTTATACAAAAATTAATTCAAGATGGATTAAAGACTTAAACATTAGACCTAAAACCATAAAAACCCTAGAAGAAAACCTAGGCATTACCATTCAGGACATAGGCATGGGCAAGGAGTTCATGTCTGAAACACCAAAAGCAATGGCAACAAAAGCCAAAATTAACAAATGGGATCTAATTAAACTAAAGAGCTTCTGCACAGCAAAAGAAACTACCATCAGAGTGAACAGGCAACCTACAAAATGGGAGAAAATTTTTGCAACCTACTCATCTGACAAAGGGCTAATATCCAGAATCTACAATGAACTCCAACAAATTTACAAGAAAAAAACAAACAACCCCATCAAAAAGTGGGCAAAGGATATGAACAGACCCTTCTAGAAAGAAGACATCTATGCAGCCAAAAAACACACGAAAAAATGCTCACCATCACTGGCCATCAGAGAAATGCAAATCAAAACCACAATGAGATATCATCTCACACCAGTTAGAATGGCAATCATTAAAAAGTCAGGAAACAACAGGTGCTGGAGAGGATGTGGAGAAATAGGAACACTTTTACACTGTTGGTGGGACTGTCAACTAGTTCAACCATTGTGGAAGTCAGTGTGGCGATTCCTCAGGGATCTAGAACTAGAAATACCATTTGACCCAGCCATCCCATTACTGGGTATATACCCAAAGGACTATAAATCATGCTGCTATAAAGACACATGCACATGTATGTTTATTGTGGCACTATTCACAATAGCAAAGAGTTGGTACCAACCCAAATGTCCAACAATGATAGACTGGATTAAGAAAATGTGGCACATATACACCATGGAATACTATGCAGCCATAAAAAATGATGAGTTCTTGTCCTTTGTAGGGACATGGATGAAACTGGAAATCATCATTCTCAGTAAACTATTGCAAGAACAAAAAACCAAACACCGCATATTCTCACTCATAGGTGGGAATTGAACAATGAGAACACACGGGCACAGGAAGGGGAACATCACACTCTGGGGACTGTTGTTGGGTGGGGGGAGGTGGAAGGGATAGCTTTAGGAGATATACCTAATGCTAAATGACGAGTTAATGGGTGCAGCACACCAGCATGGCACATGTATACATATGTAACTAACCTGCACATTGTGCACATGTACCCTAAAACTTAAAGTATAATAAAAAAAAGTGCTATAAAAAGTGATAACATGAATATAAAAAAAGAAATGCTAAAAAAAAATTCTGTTCCACTGTATGGTAATAAATGATATGTGGTCAAAAGCATTTGTGGTCCAACAAGTGTGAGAAAACAGAGCTCAAGACAAGTAGCAGGTTCCTTTACTGCAGAACTTCTCAGAGTATTGATTGTTTCAGTGCCTTGTGACTCACCAAAAGGAGGCTCCTGGATGTCCTATTCCCTCAGTGTATGTGATCTCAGAGCATTTGTAGGACTGGTGCTCCCTGGAACACAATCCAGGAAATGGTGAGGTGGCCATAGGTGCTTTTGGCTCTGACATTCCTCTAGGTTTAGTTCATGTTTTGGGAGATGGTCTCAAGGACTAGTGACAATGAACACCAATTTCCTTTCAGTTTTATTAGATTTATCCCTTGACAAAGAAGGATGGTTGTATTAGTTCATTTCCACACTGCTGATAAAGACATACCTGAGACTGGGTGATTATAAAGGAAAGAGGTTTAATTGACTGACAGTTCCACATGGCTGGGGAGGCCTCACAATCATGGCGGAAGGCAAGAAGGAGCAAGTCACATCTTACATGGTGGCAGGGAAGAGAGAGAATAAGAACAAAGTGAAAAGAGTTCCCCTTATAAAACCATCAGATCTCCTGAGACTTATTCACTACCACGAGGACAGTATGGGGCAAACGCCCCCATGATTAAATTATCTCCCACTGGGTCTCTCCCACAACATGTGGGAAATACGGGAGCTACAATTCAAGATGAGATTTGGGTGGGGACACAGCCAAACCATATCAATGGTAGAGAAACAACTCATTCTTGGCCATCAAGTGACTCAAAATCAATGTATTATCTTATTCAAGAACAAGTTGTTTCCAGATTGGATAGTAGAATTTCTTCAAATACTTGCTCATTTTAAAGGGGAAGCCACCTCCCATTCTACCTATTTCCACCTCCCATTCTACCTAAAAAGGCACACAATACAAATAGGTGAATTGCCCTTTTCTGAACAGCCAGCACAGTATTTGAAGTGGAAAAGCAATATTTGGCTCTCATTAGGGATGAATTATTTGACTGAACTATATGAATTTACTGACATTCAACTGTTTTGACCTACAAATATGACAACTTCATGTGGTTCAAACTACTAGTCATAATACATCTGTCTACCCTCATACCTATTAGTGGGAATCCAAAGTGAAATTACTTTCTGGAGAATAACAGTTTGGAAGTATATAGTAAAGTTTTAAACGTGTGTATCTTTGACATTATAGTCCATATCCAGGAATTTATCCTAAGACCTTAATGGAAAAGTATACAGAGATGGATGTACAGAGATGTCTGTTGCAGTGCTGCTTATAATAGGAAAAACTGGAAGCCATCTAAACTTCCAATTGGTTAATAATAATATTTTTATACGGTGGAATATTATGAAGGCATTAAAATGATAATGTGTATTTATATTTATTGGCATAGAATGATGCCTAAGACATATTTTAAATAAAAAAGTAAATTTTAATTTTAACATGAGTAATATGATCTCATTAAATCAATATTTTTGAGTATATGTATGTATAGAAATATATTTAAAAGGATATATATAATGCATTAATAAAAATTCTACCTGGATAAGTATAAAAAGATTAGTTTCCACAAGGAGTAATACTTAGGTTATTCTTCATATGTAATGCCCTGTAATATAATAGATATTTCCTATTGTAGGAATTTTAAGGCTTTTGACTCAGAAAAGTTGGGTGAAAGGGAGATGGAAATACATTTGTTTGTTTTAACACTATGAACTTTTGACTTCTGCTCTCTGTGAGTTTAACTTATGGAAGAAAACTCTGGGTTGACTTTATAATCTTGGAAGCAATTCTATGTTACTCCAATATATAATGATACTTTACATGAATTCTAATGTCTTACTTTTCAGCTAACTTTTCAGCACACTGCCGTGCACGTTATATCATTTCCATTTACTCAGTGATTTTTAGGTAGTCATGCATAGATATCTATTTTTTACACTATCTCTACAAGGTAGGAATAATTTCCCCCATTTTGCTGGTAAGAAGACTGGGCCTCAGGGAGGGCAAGAGGCACAAGGTCCCACTGCTAATGAGGACAAACCTAGGCTGATGTTCTTTGCCATGTTTTGTTTATGCATTCGTTTATCTTAAATTACCATCTACATCTGACTCTCCTACCTCTGAGCCCTCTGTCTGAGAGGCCTCCAGACTTTTCAGCCAAGTATACAGAAGTAAAATGAACACAGTGTTGCAATGAAAAGCCTAGCTGTGGGGTCAGACTTCCTGAGACTGAAGCCTAATCCACCACTTATTTGCTATGTAACATTTAACCGTTCCAACAACATTTTGCCTCAGGTTTTCCTTCTGCAAAATTTGGATAATGATAGTCATACCTACCTTGCAGGCTTGTGTGAAGACTGATTGAGACCATTCAGGTAAAGTCACATAGCTTGGTGTCTGGTTCATTGTGAGCAAGGGATAAATGTTAGCCACTGTTGACTTCCTCTTCTTTATCATTATCCTTACAACAATTTCACATGGGCAAGGGAACAGAGACAGAGGTTACATGCCTTGGCTAAGGTTGTACAGCAAGATGGAGTAGCTGTTTTTAAATCTTTCCATTCTGCAGAGGACACATATAGATTGGCCTGGAGGGTAGAAGATATGAGAGGGGGAATCAGGGTAGAAGTGTGTTTCACTTCTTGCTACATGCAGTGGGTGAATAAGATGAAACAGCAACTAATCCAACCCAGCCCCAAACCACAAATGTCAACAGATATTTTATAGTGGGGTAGGTGCCAACGAACATGTGACATGCTCTTTTGAAAATAAATGAAGCCGCATAGGGACTCTAAAGTAAAAAATAAGAACTGGGCTGTTTATGGATCTCCTCTGGCTCAATTTATGGTATTCTAAATGCCATGGCAGGAAGAGGCACCGCAGGAGAAGCCTTGGGACGCAGTCGAGAGGTCAGGGAATTGTGTTGTCTAATTGCGTCACTATGAGCAAGTCATTCAGAGCCTCTGCTGCATCATTATCAGCAAGGGTAATACAATGCCTGCTCTTGGGTTTGTTAGGATGATTTCAGGATTAGAGAGTTGGTTTTACTTCCTTTGAAGCTGAATCTCAAGAATGTACTTGAATTTTATTTTATCTTTTTTTCCCTTTGTTTTACTTTCAGACAAGAACGGGATCTACTTTTCTTGATTTGTTTCACACCTGTCACCCTCTCAAATAAAATAAATGCGATGGTCAGTTCCCCAGAGGCTTTGACACCTGCTTCTCTTTGGAAGCAATGCAGGAGGTGCAGTGTGTAATCAGAACAGTAAGCTTCCTTAGAGATTATCTAGTGGCCCCAGTCCGCTGGTTTTCAACTTTTTTTTCTCGGTGGTAGAGCCCTTTCTGCAGAGGAAATTTAATATAGAGCCTCAATATATAAAGCATAAAAGGAGACTGCCTCGTCGAAACAAGAGTGCCACCCACCTCAACTCTGCCTTCCCCCAGAGGTCATCCCTGTGGTCCTCAACATAACGAAGTGCCCCAGAAGGCATCATTTGAAAATGTGCTCTTAAGGTTTGGTGGGCACAGCCTCACTGCTGGTTACAAAGCAGATGCCTGGGCCCCACCCTAAAACATCTAAATCAGAATCTAGGTTTTCAACAAGATCCCTAGCTCCTCCCTGAAATCTGAGAACCATTGGCCTCTCCCAATACTTTCATTTAACAGGTGAAACTGATACGCACAGTAGAGAGGTTCCTTGGCCATGGTCACATAGCCAGCGTGAGGGGGCCAAGCCTAATGGGCAAGACTCCTGGCCCTGCTATCCTGCTTGCATAGGCTCCTTAGTTGCAATCAGCAGAACCCTTGGCTAAGCTAAGCAGGAGAACTTATTGGAAGGCTATTTCATGGTTCATAAAATGGGAGAAAAAGCTTAAGAATCAAGAGCCACAGCAGCTCCCCTGGAGTGGATGGCAGGAACTAACAGAGGGTTTCTTCAGAGTACCACTGCTGGGATAAGTTAGTTTCCACTATTTTTCATCCTCACAGCACTTTGTCAAAATCTTGTGAGAGAGCATCTGATTGGCTCAGCTTGTACAAGGAGCCTTCCTTGGCCTGGGATCACAAAGAACCTTGACCAGTTGCCTCATGAAGACCTCACGCAATGGGTGTGCAAGAGTTCACTGAGGTGATGCTCTCAGTAGAAAGTGGAAATAGACATTAGGAGACAAAAGCCGACATATGCCCATGAACTCTGCCACCTTTTCCACCAGTGTGGACACTGTTCTGTCTTCCTGTTAGAGTCCATGCTTCATAGAAAAAAATCCAATTGAGACGAAGGGGTTAAGGTAAAATCTGTGGCTTAACTATCAGCCAAATGACATTTTAACAGCCTTTTTAGCATAGCCTGGCTGGGCTGAGACCTTCCTTGCAAAATGCCTTAATCCTTGGCCTCTAAATAGAGAGTTATTTTCAATTTCTCCAGTTCCTAGCGTTTTAAATGGAAGTACTGTTCCCCTTAGAGCACCCAGTGGCTGGCTGGAGACCTTTATTGATATATATATAAATTACTCCAATCCCCTCTGCTGCCTACAGATCCAATCATATTGAACTAATGCGCATATAAATAAAAACCTGGAAGTGTGGTTTATGGCAATAAGTAGTGCAGCCGAAGTTTATACCATTCTGCAAAGACACCTTGATACATTGCTGATAATCTTCATAATGTGTTTAAAGAGGCAGTGTGTCAGCTCAGGCCAGAGCACCCTTGGAACTGAATGGAAAATCTGATTCCCAAGTTTTTGATTGACCAAGAGAAGAATCTGTCCTGCCACGAGGAGGCCCACCCCAGGCTGTAGAGGGCTGAATGGCTAGAAATCTTTTCCCAAAGTCACCAGGCTGTAAAGAGATGGGCTGGCCTGTAGAAAGTGCAGTGGTTGGTCCAGGAGTTCCCCTGTCCTTATTTTTTTTTGCAAGCCACGATGTGTGGTTAATTCTGACGGCAGCCTGGCTGCAGGGGAGTCACAGAAGGCCTCAGAATACTGAGGAATAGGCTAGGAATGTTCTTTAGAACAGAGACATTTTGCCCTGCAAAGATGTTCCAGACAACAATCTGGCAATGCTTCCACTCCTAGAGGAAAGTGCCCAGGTGATGTAACCTCCCTTATCTGCCTTCCTACAATGCACTCTGCACAGTACAGCCAACCCATCTTTCTAGAAGGTGAATCTGATCATGGCTGTTCTGCACACTCTCTCCCTCAATGACTCAATTCACCCTGTGAGCTTTGCAGGGTTTGGGCCATGCCCATTGCTACAGCCCTATTAAGTTCTACACTCCTTAGACTGCCTGCTGCAGCCACTGTGGCTATTCTATCTTTCACTTTTATTGTAAATGTTCTCTCTGCCAGGAATGCACAGTCCATGTACCAGCTCTCACCTGTTGACTATTATCTTGCCCACATCTTTTGTTCTCTTTAGGAAGTTCCCCCATCTCTTTGCCTTTGCTTCTCAGTACTCCCTGGGCCTGAGGTGTATCTCCTGCTCTTTCTGAGTTCTGCCCCTGCCCTCAATTCAGCCTCCTTATTCATACACCTTCCCCTGAGCCTTCTAGCTGGAAATTATCTCTCCCATGCCTCTCTTAGTGACCTAATCACTTTCAACTTAACAACATATTGGTTAATATATATGGGTTAATTTGCCTCCTTGTATGGGTATGCCTGGGACTGATTTATCTTTGGATTCTTGGTCCTGCCTGTAACAAGTGCTTAGTGTTCTGTTCATTGGCTGCACGAAAGAATGAATGCACGGGCATTAGCCACAGCAGGAGATGCCAGTCCTGGACAAGGACTCAAAGGGGGGACTTTAGGTAGTGGGTGTGAAAAAGCCTAAAGGTATGGGTATGCCTGGGAGCCTGGAGAAGTGGGGTGTGGAGGGCAGGGGTTGGCAGATAAGGCTGGGAATGGGATGAAGGTAGGGTTGGGGTTGAAGGTAGGTAGGGAAGGGTGTCCCACTCTTGGACATTATGCCTAGGAAAAGCCCTGAAGCTGAGCCCAGAGAGGAAACAGAAGGAAAGAAAATAAGCAAAACACATTGTTCTCACTTGGGGTTATTGAAAGTGGCTGTATCTCAGAGATTGAACACAACAATCCCGCTGGAGTTTGGGGAGATATATTAGAATTTGTATTTATATATAGTTCTCATTAAAAGTTTTCGTTTTTCGATATGTTTTAATATGTATCTATAGTGTTGTGATATATGTATGAAATTTAAAAATAAATACATTAAGATATTTATATACTGGCTTGGATGACACAATTTTTAAAAAACTAATGGAGTATGTAATCCAAAAAGTTTGCAGGCTGTAGCTTTAGAGGCTCAATCCCTGTACTAAGGCAGAGACTGCCGACAATCTTCCAACCTCAAGCTGATGTTTAACAATTTCATCTATTATTTAGGAAAAACATAAGAAGGGTCCTTTGGTTTACTTTTATTTGTATGCTGTCTTAGGATCCCAGCTAAAGTTCAGTGTATTGTCATAATAAAGTACACTGCCTTGGGATTGCTTAGCCCTTGTTTTAAATTCTGGCTCTGCAACATAGTAGATCTTGGGCAAGGCAGCTTCTCTGGGTCTTGGTTTCCTTATCCATAAAATGGGTTTAATATTAGTACCTGCCTCATAAATGAGATAATGCTTGTGAAACCCTTAGTAAAATACCTGGTATATAATGGATGCTCATACATTGTAGCTACAAAAGGAGTCCAGAAATATCAATCAGCTAGTGATCACTTCTCCATCCTGTGACCATAGCAGACGTCACTAATTGATCCAGCTTGTTTTCCTTCTGGACCTAGACTAGACCTCAGAATTAGGTCAAATAATAAAAAATTTTTCCCGGGGGCAGTTGCAGTCTCTGAAAAGCATTTTTTCCAAAGCTGCTAATGTACAGAAGCAACCCTGTGGACCTCTCCAGCAGCAGGAGAGATCCCAGTGAGACTTGAAGAAGAGCTTTTCCTATTTAGGATCCCAGTGGGATGTTATCAAGAAGGTCTTTGAAAACTTTTCCCTAGGGACTTTTTTTGGGCTATGGCAACAACAATGAGGATAATGCCACACATTTTGAACAGTGCTTTATAGTTTTCAAAGCACTTTCATGCACATTTTTAAACTTCATCTTCATAGCAACCCTGCCTGACAAAGCAGAGAAACCATTAGAGTCAGACAAATAGCATTTTTTTAAAAAGTGAAAAGAACCCTAGAGACTGTCCAACCTCCTCATTTTATAGACAAAGAAATTGAGGCCTAACAGAATGACTTGTTCCAGGCAAGATTCTTGAAGTCCAGATACTGATATTCTGCTTCTTGGTATCACTCAATGTGCTTAGCACATGCTTAGTAAAGATTCGTTCCAAAAGGAATGAATGAATGAACAAATGGATAAATGACTCTGTGAATGAATGTAGTCTCTTAGTGGCCATATCAAGACCACTAGAACCTTTTTTCTGTGATGGGGAAAGAACTTTTTTTCCAGAAGCCTTCTATAGCTATGAATTCCTATTGCCTGTATTTTCACCTGGGAGTCCCTGCAGGTTCCAACTATGAGAAATGGTCTAACACAGATTTTGGCTTTGACCAGAAGCTGTGAACTTTTGGGGAAGGGAAACACCACCTTTGGGAAAAAGTGCAGATGGGGAGACTTAAAACTCCATGATGCCTGAGACTTGGATGGAGAAGGAACATTTGGTGGTGACCATTTTGAAATGTTAGGCTCTTGAAATTTTAACAATCTTGTAAGATTGAAGCTTGCTTTACCTAAGGCTATAGCAGTGCCTGGGTCCCCCTCTTTAAGGCTCACCCCAGTCCTTCCCCACCCCCAGGTCTCAAGACATCCCCACCTGATCCACTTGGTGTTTCCATAAGTTCCTCTTTTGGGGGGAAGTGAGCCCACATAAGGCTGACTTTGTGGGAAAGCCTCACTTGGGTTGGCTCTATGATATGAATGGGTCACATGGAAATAATGAGTGTAGTTTCTTTGGTGTTTGAGGAGACGGCCTGACCCCTATTTTTTCTGGGAGCTAATTTGAATGAATTTCTTCCTTTCTTTGATATCGACTCTCTCCTGGGCCTTATGAATACAGAATTTATAGACAGTCAGGAAACGATTGCGAAGTGAGGTAAGACATCCATAAGTGAGATAATTAAGTGAAAATTTGTAGATTTGACTGAAGTTGTTATAAAATGAGTCACAGTTATAGCAATAGGAGCTTAGTGAAGGAGTCACTGGGTTATAGCATGGAACTTGAACTGGATGCAAAAGAGTTTTTTATATATATATATATATATGTTTATATTATTTATTATTATAATAGCACTTACTACATGCCAAGCCCTATTCTTGGTAATTTGTCAATATTGATTTATTTAATTGTTGTAACAAGCTTATAAAGTAGGCACTATGATCATCATTTTATAGGTGAGGAAATCAAGGTAAAGGGAGGTTAAGTAACTCACAAAAAGTAGAGGTGGAATTTGCATCTAGACAACCCAGTGTCTATAATCTTATCCACTGTGCTGTGCTCTCTCTCTGGGTATGTGAGATTTGGAACGCAGAGGAGGGGGGCAATGTGTGAACAATATGAGGAAAGAGTTGGTATTGATAGTGCACCTTGGTCTGTTTGTGCTACTATAAGAAAACACAGACTGAGTATTTGTAAAGAACAGAGATTTGTTTTCTGGAGGCTGGGAAGGCCAAGGCACCAGCAGGTTTGGTTGTCTGGTGAGGGCTGCTCTATGCCTCCAAGATGGCACCTTGCTGCTGTATCTTTCAGGAGGGGAGGAATGCTTTGTCCTCACATGGCGGAAGGTAGAAGGGCAGGTGAATGGAACGCTGTGTGAAGTCTCTTTTATTAAAGACTTTAATCCCATTCATAAGGGAAAAAAACCCCATAGCCTAATCACCTTTTAAAGGCCCTACTTCTTAATACCATCACATTGGCTATTAAGTTCCAACACCTGGATTTTTGAAGGGGACATATTCAAACCATAGCACAATGGGTCCAGTCTATTCAGGAGAACCAGCTAGGTTGGAGTGCAAGAGGTTAAGCTGGAAATACCAGCCTAGAGATGTAAAAATAGGTCAGTGGGTTAGAGTCTGATAATAGTTTTCTTTTTCTTTTTTTCTTTTTCTGGAGATGGAGTCTCACTTTGTCACACAGGCTGGAGTGCAGTGGTAGGTCATGGCTCACTGCAGTCTCAGCCTACTGGGCTCAAGCGATCCTCCCACCTCAGCTCCACAAGTAGCTGGAACCTCAGGTGCATGCCACCATGCCTAGCTGATTTTTAAATTTTTTTGTATATTTTTGTCACTATATTGTCCAAGGTGGTCTCAAACTCTCAAACTCAGGAGGACTTGTAGAGACTAGTCCTCCTGCTTTGACCCCTAAAATGCTGGGATCACAGGCATGAGCCACCGCTCCTGTCATGATTATAGATAGTTTTGTGGTCGCACAAATTCTTTGATATTTTTCCCTTCAAGAGATGAAGGAATATGATATGAGATGGACTTAGTGACTGACTTCTAATAGAATATAGCAGAAGGAGTTGGGTGTGATTTCCAAGACTAGGAAGTTACTACTGTAACGGCATTGTGGCTTCCTCCTCTTTTTCTCTCTAAAGTTTCTCACCTTGGGAGATGCAGGCTGTATGCCATGAGGAGACTCAAGAAGCCCTTTAGAGAGATGTCCATGTGGGAAACCAAGCCATCCATCAACAGCCATGTGAGTGTGGCATTTTGGAAGCAGATAATCCATCTTCAGTCAAGCCTTCAGATGACTGCAGCTCTGGCTGACAACTTGACTGCAACCTTGTTTTAATTCCTAAGCTTCTGGATTCCTGACTTACAGACACTGGAAAATAATACTCATTTGTTGTTTTAAGCTGCCAAATTTTGGAGTAACTTGATCTATAGTAATAAATAACTAATATGGTCTTCAGTGCTATGCTGAGAATTGCGGAATTTGTTTTCTAATTCTAGTACTTTGCCTAATACGAAGTTGAGAAATGTGTCCTAAATTGAGTTGTTGATACTAGAGAGCTGCTGGAGGGTTTTGAGCAGGTGAACAACATGATAACAGTAATCTTTTAGATAGATTAATAAAGAGTGGGTGGGCGAGATGAATTGGGGAAATAGGGAGTGCTTGTGGTAGGGAGGCAATTCAGGATTTTGAAATGGCTCAAGCATGTAAATGGATTGGTCTAGGGTGAGGCTTAGGGTGGGGAAAAGAAATGAAGCAAATATAAGTTCTGTGAGAGCTGGGTCCTTGGCTTTTTTTTTTTTTTCCACCAGAGTCTTGGAACCTTCCATACTGCATGGCACATAGTAGGCACCCAGTAAAATTTATTGCACGGATGATTGAATATGTGAGTGAGTGAATAAAAAAGATGGAAATGTAGTGCCCCAGAAAACTTTGTTTCTGCTTTTGTTTAGAAATGAAAACCCTCCAAATATTGCATAGGTAATGTCTGAAGTAGATTTCAGTTACCTCAAACTCTATTTTCAATTTCCATGATTCTGATTGGGACCAGCTTGTTTTCAAAGCCCATTTCCATTCTGAAGTTGATTTTAAAACACTCTTTTTCTTTTCATATCATTCCTGACACAAACATTTATTGAGCATCTATAATATGCTTGGCATCGTGATGGGCCCTGGGGGAGAAGATGAGTGAGAAATGGTCCTGTGGAGTGTCAGTATTTCTTTCTCTGCTTTTATCTCTAGGCATCTCAGAAGTTTATTTTTGAAATAAAGATTCATTTTCTAAGTGGAATTCTTAAGTGGGGAGCGATGAGATGAATTCGGGCTTTTAGGAGCTGATTTTAGAACTTGTGGATGACTTCGACTGTTTCCTGCTCATCCTTGCTGATATGCCCTATTAATATTCAAAAGCTGTCACTTTATTTTATCTTTGTTCTTTAGTAGACTAGACTGCTGGCTGAGAGAACCTAGTTTGTCTGGTTTAGTCTTGTCACATTTGTGGGGTAGGACAAAAAGAGACATGGCCCAAGGTTGTTAGGTTTTTTTTTTCCTCCAGTTTTGGGGAGTTTCTGCATATTTCTCTTGGCATCACACTTTATTTAATTGACTTTTGTCCCTTTTTCTTGTAAATAAAATTTGCTGTTGCTAGGAAAAAATCCCAGACATGAGCAAGACCTGCTGTTGAGTGGATGGTTGCTGCAGGATGTACCATCTGGATTTGAGGGAGTCCGAGAAAAATCTCTAGGACTGATGATAATATATTACAGGCAGAGTCCCCCTTACTAGCAGGCACTGCCAGGAATGCTGTGTTTGAAAGGACTCTGATGTGCACTTGGGCTTGGCAGGAAAGAGGAGAATGCGGCATTAGGGATGACTGTCGCTGGTCATGAGCTGGGGACTAGCAGAGCGTGTGTTTGGAGTAACTGTTGAAAGTCTGGGTCTCAGCTTAGGCATTCACAGTAAGAAACCAGATGCATGGAGGCTGAGATAATTTCATTTTCCTTGACTAATTTTTCTCCATCTCTTTTCCATTTTCTCTGTCATCATTTCCATCTTTCTTCGCCCACTTCCGTGCTCTTTTTTCTCCTGCCCTATTGTTTCTCTTTTTCTTCTCCCTTTGCCTCTGCTTACCTCTCTTTCTACTGACATGAAGAGCACCTTTCCATACCCACCCTGGTCACACACTTTAGAAAGCTATGGCTTTTCTCTGCTAGTCTTGGTACAGTTCAGAACTACTTAGTGCTTAGGTTGATGGGTGGATGGCTTTACAACTGCCAAGGCTTCATTTTGCCTCTGATCCTTCTGGTCTTCTTGACATGCTGGCACAGGCACTAGAGGAACCCTAAGACGTGCAAGTCCACAGCCACATACCTGGTCAAGAAGTTGCTGTCAAGACATGGAGGATATACAAATAGTGACCCTCTGTTTCCTCTCTCCATTTGTACCCACACTATGCATAATCTCTGCGGGGTGTTCCTCTTGGCTCTTCTCATCAGAAGTAAATTCGTTTAACATTAAAAAAAAATCTAAAAATATTCAGACACTGGACTCTAAAGGACAAACTGTATTTCATTTAAATTTGCCTTCCATTTAATTCAAGGCGGGCATGCTCGAAGCTGCTTCCTCTAGCAGTGGCAGACTCAACTATTATCATAATGCTGTCTCCCTTTTTTTCCCTTCTCCCCATTTGATAACCACATTTTACTCTTAAATATTTAGTTTTCTTTTATTCAACCTTTTAGGTTACTATATTGGTGTAGAAGGGAGGGGGGAGAGAGTCTTTTTCTCATTCCAGTTGATATTCATCTGTCTGCCTAAAATTATTTTTTTTCTTCTTTTTTCCTTTTTCTTCTTTGTCATTTACCACCATTTTGGCTGGTGGGTGTAGGGTATGTTTTTTTTTTTTTTTTTTTTTTTTAACCTCTAAGCACATTGAACGTCTTTAGCTTGTACATTAGACAGGAGACTGATAGGATAATGATGATGGAATGTTAAATGCTATCTATGTAAATCAGCTCCTTCAATGGGTACAAGATTCAGCTACTTTAGGTCTTTTTTTATTTGACATACATTTTCATTTTTTTTAAGGAGAATAATCTTGGATTGTTATTAACCTACTTTAGAAGAATCTTTGCATTACCAGACACATTACTATTTTGCATAAAGTCATATTAAATTTTGGTATGATGTACAACATCATTTTCTCTTAAATGTCGCTTTTAACCTCCAAGTAGTTTCTTTTGTATCTTTGGTCTAGGATTGGTTTCTTGTAGCCAGATTGCAATCAGGAAGTAGGAAGGAAGAAATGAAGATCTTTACATGCTCTCTGTTGGCAGGGGAAAGGAACTGATCTTTTCTCCATTTATTTGAGGCATGGAAATCAGCTGGCTAGATTCTTTAAGGGTATGTATATTTTGAGGTAATAAGAGAAACCCCTGGTATATCTTTGAGTTCCAGAACAAAGCCGATGAGAGCCCAGCTTGCAATAGGATTGGATTCAATTAAGGCCATTAGAATAGTTATCATGCTTTTGGTTGCCAGTGAAAGACCCAACACGATCTGATTATACACAAGGATGCAGGTGGTCTCAGGGATGGCCTGGAACCAGGATCTCAAGAGACCTCATCAGGTTTCCCTCTTCTCTTCTTTTCCCTACTCTTCGCCCTCACCCCTTCCCATTGTTCTTTTTGTATCTGTCTCTATATACCTTTCTTTCCTTTTTCCATTCTCTCCCATCGGTTTCCCTCCCTCTCTCCCTCAATTCCCTATCTCCTCCACCTCTCCCTTTATCTCTCCTCATCTCTTCTTCCACCTTTCTCCACTCATCACTCTGTACCTCGTTTCTCCCATTTTTCTCTCTCCATTTTCTCTTCTTTCTTTCTCTCACCCCATTTCTACTCCCATCTTTCTCCCTCATCTTCCCCCTCTCTTTCATGGATTCTTTGTCTCCTCCCCATCTCTTCTCCCATGTCTCTATTTTTCCATCTTTCTCTTACACTTTCTCCCCAAACCCTTTCCCATATTTCTTTCTTTCTCTCCTCCAACTCATCATCCCTCTGCCCCACCTCTAACCCTCTCCTCCACACCTTGCCCCATCTCTTGCCTGCTCCACACAGACCTGTTTAGTAACTCCCTGCACATATTGGGAGACATGGCACAGGCAGCTCCAGTTTTACATATTCCCAGCTTGGCAGCTCCAGAGAAAGGACTGTGCTCTTTCCCTAGGCTTCAGTTTTATATAAATTTCAATGGAGATTTTAATTGACCTCGCTTGGGTTTCCCATCCACTTCTTGGGATTAATTCATTTATGCCAGCAAAATAAGAAGCTGTCTTGCTTACTTGGGTCAAATGCCCATCCATATGGCCATTGGTGATGGAGATGAATGTAAGGTGTTTGATATGTGGCCCCACTATAATCATTTGTAGTAGAAAAGGAGCTGTTTCATTAAGCACATGAGAATGTTACTAACAGAAGAAACAGGAAATAGACTCTGGGCAGAGAGAAGCAGCAGATGTCTACTACAGCCACCAAGGCAGGGGTATGGGAAGAAGAAAACTGCCCTCCATACCATTACACTGTCCTGTCCAGATGGTGTATATTGATAGTGGGGTGGGAGGGTATGTCTTTCTAGTGGATATAGCTGACCTTTTCTCATTTGGTTTTAGGAATCCTTCCAGTTTGTTGGAAAAGACTCATTTAAAAAATCCCTTTAGTAATCTTTCCACCTTGTTACTAATGTCTTCCACTTCCCAGCCTGTTATGAGAGGGTTGCTCCAGCTAAGTCAAAATAGCCACACATTTCTCACTCTTGGTTTCTTTCCCCAGGCTTCTTCTCATTCTAACTGTACCAACTCTATACTGTTTCCTGAGATGCCTCAATTCCCACAGGAGACATGAGCTAAGCCCTCCTTATCCGTGGCTCAACCTGAAATGGGTGGGCATATTTCAAACAAAGAAGCAAAAAAAAAAAAAAAAAAAAAAAAAAGAGAGAGAGAAATGAAATAATCACAGGAAGGAAATAATTATCTAATATAGGGGCACTCAGAATTGCAGTGGGAAATTTGGGGAGCTGGGATGTAAAGGTGCATACTCAGTCTCATGGTGCATCAGTGGTTTTGGATTGATTTACACAGAAGGAGATGGAATCTATAACAAGATAGGAGAAAGAGAACAGAACAGTGAGGCTGGAGGGTGCTGATGATACATTTTGCTTTCTTTATACTAGTTTGGAGGTGAATGTCCTTTGCTCAACAGAAACATGCTAGGATTTTGGAGCTTGGGTGGGGAGAGTGACAAGCACACCTTTAATTAGGATGGAAAGCATTTCGTTAGATTTACTTCCTTCAAAATACTTTAACTGAAGAAAGCCAACCCCAAAGTTGAGTTGAGGCCAATTCAATTTCTTCCTAACAAATAGAGCCAGGAGTGCTGATGATGTATGTCAACGGAGAATGCAACCTCATGGGTCCTTCTCAACATGCTTATGGAGGAGGTCATGGGGCAAGAGGGAAAACTGGGCTCAGCAGGGTGGTGCTGAGAGCTCTATTTCCTCCACCAGGCTGTTAATAGCAGTTTCTGGCCGAGCCTGTGGCTCAAGCTGCCCATTTTGAATTTGGCTGGTGACTCCTCTGGGCAGGCTCTGTGCGTTTGCCTGTTTGTGTTAGAATGCGACACATGGACCCAGCAGTCAGCCAGGTGCCAACCATGTAATCCGACGCCATATGTTCCCAAGTCAGGAGAGAATAGAGCAGATTTTTTTTTCTCAATTTTGGAAGTAGGTTAATTACATTCATCTACATTTTCAGCTCTAGGGGTCACAGATGCTAAATTATTTCTGACATATTTAGGTGGTCATTTATGACCAAAATTATTAAGTGTGAACTTTACCATCTATGGGAGGGTGCAAAGTCCATATTCCTAAAATGAGACCACATTTCAAAAAGATGTTCCCTTGGTGAAAATGTTTCTCATTGGCACTGCTTTTAAAATGGATTTAAAGTGTTGTTTTGAGGGTAAATTGGTGCTTCTCATTTTATCAGCCTGTTCCTCTGCCCGGATGTTGGTTTGTTTGTGGTATTTACCCAGTTTTCCAGCGGATGTTAATGGATACAGCCAGTTGTGTCCTTTCTCTGCTGCTTTATGTTCTTCAAGCTTTAAGTACAAAACCCTAACTTTTGAGTGAAAAATGCCTGTGTGACTCAGGGTATTTAACCAAGGCAAGTGAATGGCGGTCTTTCACATGGCTAATATTTATGGAGCATTTGATCCGTGTCAAGACACTGCTGAGATGTTTAAATGCAGTATCTTATTCAATTCTGGAACAACTCATGTGGCAGAAACTCTTGTTATCCCTGTTTTGCAGTTAAGACATTGGATGTGCCTATTACCTTCCATTAGCCTTTCCAGATGTGGACCTCACACTGCACCCTGCTCTGTGTCTCAGTAGGCTGATCAATATGGATTACATCTGCAGTCCCCTGCCCTCTGGCTTATTTTGAGGTTTGGTCACTGAGGATCTTGGAGAAGGACATTGGAGGGATAAGGGGAGGAGAGTGGAGTAGAACTAGGACTAGAACTTGACAGTTTGCATATGAATCCAATCCCTGTGCTTACAAGCTATATTCTCTGAGTAAGTTTCTAAGCATCTTTGATCCTCAGATTTTTGTCTGTGAAATGGAGATGATTCTTCTTATTTCTTGGATAGTGGTGGGGGACTATTCAGTTAGATGACGTACATAACAATATCTAGCCAGATTTCTCATTGTAAATATGTATATATACATATATATATACACACACACACATATATGTTTGTATTTATGTTTATATACATAAACATATATATGTGTTTGTATTTATATGTTTATATACATAAACATATGTTTATGTATATAAACATATATATATATGTTTGTATTTCCTTTGCATTTTGAAGTAGTCTGTGGGGGTGATACTTTGTTACTATAGTCTATTCTCTAATGCATCAGATGCCTGTATCCTGCCCAGATCCCCCTCACCCGTCTGGGAGGTCACCTGCATACAACGAACCACTGCCACAATCTCCCTGCCAGAGGGAGTGTGCTTTGCCTTCAAGAGGAGCATGCCAGGGATGCCCATGTTTCTGTTGACTCCTGGATTTTAAAGGTTTTCTTAAAATTTGAGATTTTTCAGATTTTACAAAAATTTGAATTTTGTCAACTGCCTTCTCAGTATTTATAGTTCACATGATTTCCCTCTTTGATTTATTAGCATGTCGAATTACATTAATGGATTTCCTTGTGTTGAACTCTCCTTGCATGTCTGGAACATTATTTTAATTAGCTATTTGGTTCTCTTTGCTAATATTTTATTTATTGTTACATCCCTATTTACAAGTGAGATTGGTCTGTAGTTTTTGATACAATCTTTACCAGATTCAGGTATCAGTGTCATACTTGCCTCAAAAGGAATTGGGAAAATTTTATTCCTTTTTAATTCTCTGGACCAGCTTAAGTAGCACTGGGATTACTTCTTTTTGGAAGGTTTCGTACAGTTTGTGTATGAAATAATTTAGGTTGAGTGCTTTTTTATTGTTAGTTTTTGTTTGTTTTGAAGTAGGTCTTTGATAATTTTGTCTATTTCTTATAAGAAATTGGTATGTTTAAACTTTCTCTAACTGGAATCAATTTGGGAAGTTGCCTTTTTAAATAATTATTTGGCCGGGCGTGATGGCTCACACCTGTAATTCCAGCACTTTGGGAGGCCGAGGTGGGCGGATCACGAGGTCAGGAGATCGAGACCATCCTGGCTAACATGGTGAAACCCCGTCTCTACTAAAAATACAAAAAAAAATTAGCCGGGCGTGGTGGCGGGCACCTGTAGTCCCAGCTACTTGGGAGGCTGAGGCAGGAGAATGGCGTGAACTCGGGAGGCAGAGCTTGCAGTGAGCCGAGATCACGCCGCTGCACTCCAGCCTGGGCGACAGAGCAAGACTCCGTCTCAAAAAAAAAAAAAAAAAAAATAGAATTATTCATTTATTTAGGTTTTTAGATTTCTTACAGAGTTACACAAAGTGTTTTCTAATGTCTTCAGTTTTCAGTTTCAGTGGTTGTTTGCCCCTTGCCATTTCTTTTTTATGCATTTGTGCTTTCTCCCATTTTTTTCCTTGATTAAGCTCGTGCTTTGTCTGTTTTGTTGATTTCTTGAAAGACCAGTTCTGTTATTCAGTTTTATAAAGCATTAAATTCTGCTATTTATTTTCTTCCTTCTGCTTTGTTTTGATTTACTTTATTATTCTTGTTCCAGCTTTTAATTTGGTTGTTTAATTTATTTTCATTCTTTTATCTCTACTGGTTTCTGCTTTAGTTGTGTCCTATAGATTCTGATATGTAGTTTCTAAAAATTATCATTCTAACATTTTCTTTAGCACATATTAAATTTTTATATATCCTCAAGTTTATTCATGTTCTGTCTCATCTGTATCATTTACGTGTCCATCTATTTTTTCCAGGATGAAAATTTTTAAGTCACTATAGCTGTATAACACATTTGCTATATAACATATATGAAGCAAGTCAGTCCTCATTCCCTTCTTTTTCTTCACATTTGTTTGTGTGGTTTTACTTGCTGGTGAGTAGTTTTACTAAAATTGACATTTACAATTACTTGTCAAATTTTACTGGGATTGCATTGATTATGTAGATTTGCTGGGGAGAACAGATACGTTTATAATATTGAATCTTCTTACCCCAAAACAAGTTATATCTCTTCATTGTTTGTTTTTTAATGTCCTTCAATAGTTTTATTTTTACTTTTGCACATGTTCCACCAAACTGTTGTTTTATTTACTCCAAGTTTTAGGCTTTTCATTCTTTATTATTGTTATTATTATTTTTGCTAGTGTGAATGGAAAATTTTCCCCCTCTATATTCTGTAAGTATTTACTGTTCATTTATAAGAATGGCATTGATTTTCATATATTTCTTATGTAACTGGCTTTATTAAATGCTTTTATTTTTTCTATGATTTTTTGTTATCTTATGCTTTTTAGGTATATAATTATTAAAATAATGATAACTGAGCATTCATTTTTTTTGAATAGTCATATCTATTATTTTGTTGCTTTTACATATGCTGACTGGCACCTTTTAGAACAATATTAAATAAAAAATGTAAAAGCATGTCTCACATTTATTGCTGACTTTAATGGAGATGCTTCTAGTATTTCAGTAGTTAGCATGTTTCTTAATTTGAGAGGTTACATATGTCTTTTTTCAAAAAGGAAGTTTTTTAAAAGAGGGAGCATAGCCCAGTAGCAGAGCATTTGACTGAAAAAAGTAAAAGTCAGGTTTTTTTTTTTAAGTTATAGGTGAATTTAAATTTTATCAAATGCTTTTTGACAATTTTCTAGGCAGTCATATTTTTCTCCTTTGACTTATTAATATGATGAATTTCATTAATGAATATTCTAAGATTGAAATATGTTTGAATTCCTGGAATGAATCAATTTGCATAATATGTTGTATTCTCATTGTTAACATTTTATTTAGGATTTTTTACATGGATATTTAAAAAATTAGGTTGGTTTGCCTTTTTATCTTTGTAATATTTTAGTATCAAAAATTTAACTCAATGAATTTCTAATAGTCTTATCATGTGAACATGCCATAAATTAATGCTTCAAATTGTTTCTTCAATATTTAAGGACATTTATTTTGCTTTCAGTTTTCACCACTGTAAATACAGTAACAATGAATACTCTTGTTAATTCCTCCTGCCCTTTAGGTCTCGGCTTATTCACTACTTCCTAAGAGAACCCTTCCTGTCTCCTTAAGTACACTGAATTCTCCAGTTACATGGAGGTATGTTTTCTTCACTGCACATTTTTGCCAGGAATCTACATTGAGTGCGTTTATTTGACTGATGTTTGCCTTTTCCAGCAGATGGTAAGTACCGTAAAGTCACGGATCATGTCTAATAGTGCTCATCACTACATACTCCAAGGATTTCTGTTCCTGGCCCATTGTATATGCTTAATAAATGTTTGTATAGAACACCAATTACTATCTGTCTAAAGAGGATAGGCCTGTTACATAAAAGAGAATATGTTTTTTTTCCTGGCTGCTTGTGTATATTGAGATGGCAAATTTGTTAGTTGGAGCTGGGGCTGGACTGAATTGTTTTCATAATTTAGGAGAGAGGAATTTGGTTGGAGTTGGAATGATGGAGAAGGGTCAGTGGACAGGATTAGAAAGGCTGAGATGCATGATGGGGAAATGGAGCCAGAGGCGCTCTGGAGCTGGTATGAAAGGAATAAGGAGCTTCAGAGAAGGGGATTTTCTTTTCTTTTTTCTTTTACTTTAAGTTCTGGGATACATGTGCAGAGCGTACAGGTTTGTTACATAGGTATACATATGCCATGGAGGTTTGCTGCACCTATCAACCTGTGATCTAGGTTTTAAGCCCTGCATGCATTAGGTATTTGTCCTAATGCTCTCCCTCTCCTTCCCTGCCACCCCACAATAGGCCCCGGTGTGTGATGTTCAGAGAAGGGAATCTTCATATGAAATTCTATATAATGGAATCCTTCTCTATAACTCCAACATCTTCAGCAAAGCCTACTTAAATCTTCAACTGCTTAGTCTATGTAGATTTCTTATGAAAATCATTGTTTTGGGGCTCAGGCAGGGTTATTCGCCAAGCACAAAGACATCCACTATCATCTGAGCTTCACTAAGACTAAATTTAATAGACGCAAATGTAAAGCCCTGCATGTGGCTAAAAAAAAAAAGTCAGATACCCAAGTAGACGTTTTGAGGAGACCTGACTTTGACAACTCTCATTTTGAAAAATTCAGGCAATTATCTGAGTATGACATGAGCCAATTCTGTGTCATCATTATTAAAACCAAAACAATGAATGTAGTCATTAATACTACAGGATTCTGTTCAATGTAGATCATAGTTCCACTTCGCTCTATTGATCAGACCACACTTAAAATATTTTTCGTAGTGCTTTACTTTAGTCATTGGCAAATTCTATAGCACCCAGTGCCTGCTACTCAATTAAAAAAAAAAAAAAAAGACTGGAAGCCATGGCCTAGGAGTAATGGTTGATGGAAAAGGAGAAATTTAACCCCAAAAAGAGAAGACTTGAAGGCCATTGGATACCTGTCCTCAAGTATGTTGAAAGAACATGTTGAAGAGAGATAGATTCTGGTTTATGGGCTGCAGAAGGCAGATTTGAAACAATGGCAGATATTATAGAGCAGAAGAAGTAGACTCAGTATATGGAAATGCTCTATGATTAAACTGTAATGTACTGTTGTTGGAAGAAGGAGCTTTCTGGACTTGAAGATTCCAGCAGAGATTGCATGACCATGTGAAGGAAAGATTGTAGAGGAGATTTCTGCATTGGGTGGGCTGGATTACATGACTTCTTCAATCTTTTTCAGTCGAGAGTCTGTGAAAAAGCCTGGCCTTATTGCTTTCACTCTTGTTATTACTACTTTAATATATGCTTTACCCTTCAGGCTACAAGCTCTGTGAGGACAGGACTGTGTCTGTCTTGTTACCAGGGCACAGCTTAGAGCTTTGCACTGCCTAGGTGCTTGGAATTACTTGGTAAGTTGAAATGAATGACTGCCTTACTCAATAGCCAAGGCTAGCGGAGCAGTTTAGCTAGTGAGGCAGAGAGAATTAATCAAAGGGATTGGGTCAGTTGATTACGTATCTCCCTGGAACCTATCCTTAACGTGCCAAATATTGAGCTGACAGGACACCTGGTCTTATTGTCAACGTCACTGTTTAGGTGTGGACTTCAATTTCTCCATTTATGGTGTGATAAAGCAGCATGATGGAGTGGTTAAGAGCACAGTTTCTGGAGTGAGACTGGCTTGCATTACTTGGAAGTTATTTAGTCTTCCCATATCTCAGTTTTATCTTCTGTAAAACAGAGAAAAGAATAGTACCTTCCTCACGGGGTTGCTGTGAGGATTATGTGTGTGTGTGTGTGTGTGTGCACGCGTGCACACATGCACTTGTAAGTTGTTATAAATCGGTGTGAACTTTTTTCCTTTAAGTTAAGCTATTGGAGCAAATAGAAAATATAATAAGACTCTATGTAATATTCGTGGAGGATGATTCTTTCTATATGTAGGCACTTATGAAGAAGGCTTCTTAAATTCTTTTTTTTGAGAGGTCTTACTCTGCCACCTAGGGTGGAGTGTAGTCATGTGATCTCAGCTCACTGCAGTCTCAACCTCCTGGGCTCAAGTGATCTTCCTACCTCAGCCTCCCAAGTAGCTGGAAGTACAGGCATGTGACACCAGGCCTGGCTAATTTTTTGTACTTTTTTGTAGAGATGGGGTTTTGCCATATTGCCCAGGCTGGTCTCAGCCTCCTAAGCTCAAGCAATCCTCCCACCTTGGCCTTCCAAATTGTTGGGATTACAGGCGTGAGCCACTGCTCCCGGCCTCAAATTCTTATTTGTTCATACACATACTAAAGAAGTAAGGAGGAGACAGGGGCTGAGTTTCAGTCTAGCTTTGCCACATGCCACAGCCATGATCTTGGGCAGGCCATTCTCCTTTCTTAAATACAAGTAACATGGGGCTGAGTACACCAGTCTTGATCTTCTTCCAGTGGGCTTGGAGCATGAAATAAAATGAGCTAAAACATGTGGCAGGGTCTAGCTAACAATATAGAATAAAATGCATACCTTCAGCTCTATTATTGCTCCTATCTTTGGCCCATATACACACTTTGTTGTGGGGGCCTGGCCCAGCTGCTAGTCTGCAGGGAAAAGATTTCTCATCCTTCCAGGTTAGTTATCCTACTCATAATTCTTTCCTGGGAGAAGGAAAGGAGGGATGTTTCCTCTGTGCTTTAAAGTTGATCAGGATGCTCAGGTGCAAGGTCTTAGATCAGAAAGAAAAATTGCTATTTAGATTTTTATCCCATTTCTTCCATGCTATTTCTTTCACAGTCACTTTAGAAATTTCCCTAGTTCTCCTGTGGCATAAAGTGAGTCAGAATGGCAAATGAAACATGCAGAAGACATAAATTCCAGGCATAAAATATAAATCAAATATACATCTATCAATTGGCTTTATGCTATCCGAGCTGCCCCCAGGGTGTCAGTGGATCAGGTGAATGGATTTCTGCCACTGTGGGTAATTCCATAAGGTAATAGGGTGGGCTCTAATGCAGTGGAGAGGCAATATTCTCCAAGTTATATATCATGGTTTTAGAGGGGAATTTGTATATTTTGATTTTGCGAGTCAATGAAGTTGAGTCCCTAAGGCACTCTCGGAGCTCAGCCTCTCTGAGACTGTGGAGAGAAGCTGGCTCAAGGCCAGGAACACGGCCTGAAGAAAATGAAGCCACCTAGGCTCCAGAGGCCTGGTCCAGAAGGGCTCAGTCCTATGGCCTCAGGGAATGCTCAGGGTAGAGAAAATTATCATATAAATATTATATGTTTTTTCATTTAATGGGCTAATTTAACTATTATACCAAATAGTGAATTTGTCAAACCAAGTGGGAAAAAATTCAAGCTATTTGATTGACAACACTCAACCAGAATGGTCAATCAATTAGTTCTAGTAATTGTGATGATGGAGCTCTGTGATGATGTAGTGAGAGAGAGAAGAAAGATGGAGAAGGAAGAAACACCAGGAAAGGCTAATACTCACTGAGCTGACATTTTATTTTCCCAGGTACTGGGTTTAGCAGTTTTCATGCACAAATTCATTTAATCCTTTCTACATCCCTATCAGGTAGGAACTATGACTTTCATTCACATTTTATATTGAGGAAATTAGGCATCAAGAGGTTAAGCAACTTGCCCAAGGACCATCAAGTTAGTGGTATAGCAGGGATTTGTATGCCCTCTTAACCACTATACCATGTCACCTTCAAAGAAGAAAAGTTATTTCCAATTTGGAGAATAGTATTTTAGTCTCCAGGAAGTCTGACAACTTAGGTTTAGAAAAGCTTGATCGGAAATGAAAGTATTAGAAATGTGCCTGAAAGCAAGTTAGTGCTCTTGAATACATCAGTATGCTTAAGAATTGTTTCTACAGTTCTGCAAAATTAGTGGGCGGTAGGAAAAAACCTGTTTTGACCTCACTTTAGATAAAATCTGTTAGCAAAACCCATGTTTGGATCTGAGTTCAAGTAGAGCTATAGAGATCTGGTGAGCTGGCTTAGATTTAAGTGTTTTTGAGGTTCCAAAAATAGGGTCCTAAAGAAGGATGCAGACTTTGATTTGATTACCAATGTAGAGCTGTGCTGAACATTTCCAATTGCTGAGGAACCCCAAGTCCAGCCCATATTATGCATATGGCAATAAGCAAGATACAGCAAATGAATAGCTATTATCCAACCCCATCTTCCTAACAGAACTCAGTTATATTCAGTCAGTTACCCTTCCCCCATGCAACCATTTACCTCAGAGACAGTTGACCCCCATCTCAGTCCCCAGGTTGCCTGATTGAGTTTACGATAATCTAATCCCACTAGCTTAAGATTGGTTCAAGAGTTGACATGTGACCTAGTAGTGACCAATTAAAGTTGAGAGGAAGTGGTGGAGAGAAGGGGAAAGGTTGGGACTTTTGGGATAAATTTTCTTCTATTTAAAGAGAAATCCCAGAATGAAATCAGCTTTCTCTTTTCTCCAGAAGTAATTGTGTCTGTGTAGTGATAACTATATATCACAGTGCTTTGAGCTGTTTCTCAAATACCCAAGTAGAATCATCTTTAAAAATAAGAGCTTATTTTCTAATTTATCACAACAAGAAGTTCAGAAGTAGGACAGTTCTAGAGTTGGTTAATTCAAGGAACACAAGGTTCCTTACATCTATTTACTCTGTGTGTTAATACCTTTCTCCATGGTGACAAGGTGGCCATAGCAACTCCAAGAATCACCTTCTCACACAGCTGTGTGCAGAGGCAGTAAAAGGGCAAGTTCCTGACTTGTGTCCCTTTATATAAATATAAATGTTCCTGGAAGGGCCAAAGCCCACTTCCCCTTACAATGCCCAGATTTTGTCAGATATGCATTCTTTAACTGACTGTGGGCAGACCAATGAAATATCCGTAATTGGCTTAGATCATGAACACCCACATTGGGAAGGAGTTAATGACGTACACTAATCTCTGATACATGAACAAAACTGGGCTTCTGTTAGAAAGGAGGAAGGTGGAGAATATGACTGTTGGGTAGACAACCAATAGGGTCAACCAATGCCTGCAACAATGACAGTGAATGGCTGCCAGTTTGAATGAAGCTAACACTAAGGATGGCAGAGTGGCGAGAGAGAAAGAATCTAGGTCTTTAATGACATAATGAGCTGCTAAATCAAACCAAACAAAAAACCTGAGCAACTATCTGTGGACCTCCTGTTATGTGTCGTAAGAAGTTTCTTTATTATTAAACCTGTGTGAGGTTTCTGTTATTTCCAACTGAGATTATTAAACATGGAGTTTGGTGAATGAATACGTGAATATAATGTTTAAGTTCCTGGGGTGAAGGTCTCATTGTATCTGACTTTGGGATAGGCAAATTTATAAAAAGGTGAGGATAAGTAAACTTTTGACATATTGAGTCATCGTTTAAATGTATCAGGGAACACAAAGTGAATTCTTTTCAAAAGATATCATCTTATATTTTATTCATCTTATGAAGTTATTCTTTTAAAAAGAGTTAGTGCATACGTGTGGCCATTAGGGTTGAGGGAAAGTATCTCTGTGAGTAACCAGGCCTCTCCTGGATGGATATAAAGTGGGGAGATTATTTGTGTATGTGGGGGGAGTATTCAGTTTACACATTCACCAAATATTTGTTGAGTGCCTACATTGTGTTGGGCACTGTGCTTGGCTTCAAGGATACAACAATGAACAAGACAAACATGATGCTTGCTTTCAAGATTTTGGAATCTGTTATAACAATAATATCCTCTATGTTTTAAGGATTTAGACCCAAAGATCCCTAATCAATCCTAAACATATAGATAATATTAGTGACAATTTTGTTTTACTAAATATTATACAAATTTAATATGCAATATCTGCTGGTTATATAGCACTTACAAAGAGCAAATTTATAAATCACTTAATAGTAATAAATATCTATTGTTGAGGACTCACTATGTGTCATGTGCTGTTCTAAGTGTCTTATATACATTGCCATGTCCTCCTATAATACTCCTGTGTGATAGATATTACTAGTCATCTCATTTGGCAGATTAGAAGCCTGAGAGATGTTAAATATTTTATTAAAGTTATCCAGTTAATAAATTGCTGAGTTGAGACTTGAATCCTTGTTGTCTTATTCCTGAGCCTATTCTCCTTATCCCCGCTATATGGGCATGCATTTTACTTCCCCATTGTACAGATTTGAATCTGAGGCTCAGACATGGGACATGACTCACCTTTTTTACTGTTGAGGAAGTCTATGCCTATCTCACAGGGTCTTATGAGGATTAAATGAGACAATATGTAAAAAAAAAATTAACATGGTGCCTGGTATGCAGGAAGCCTTCAAGAAATGGAGGGCTTTGGTTTGTTATTATAAAACCAGGTCTTAAGTTTTCTGGTCTAATGCTTGAGGATATTAGAAGCCTCTGAATTTTAAAAAGTCACAACATCTTTAAAAATACCATACCCAGTTCTTTTAAACCCTTTGTACTTATAGGAGTTTATTTGCATTGTAGGAGAAATTGGAGATGGAGATACAGACACATAAACAGTATCAGAAAGTCTCTACTGTCTCCTTTCACTCTTTTCAGAACAACCATGGTTAGATCCAGAAATCCAGGACTGTGGGCCATTGGGTTCTGTATCAATTTTCAAAAGGTGACATCATAGAATCACAGAATGTTAGAATTGGAAGGACATGGAATCTAATCTCTCATTTGAAACCTGACCTCCTTTTTGTTTTTTACCTGGATGACACTTTCTGAAATTTGGATTTGGGCTTTTGGGTACACATGAAGATATTTACCACTCCTTTATCACATAGAGAAAAATCAGGCTAACTCTTTAAAAAAATGTTTGCACTATCACATACATACAGAAAAGAGCTCTAATCTGGGACATATCTCAAAATAATAAGAGCTATCTATGACAAACCCACAGCCAATATCATACTGAATGGGCAAAAACTGGAAGCATTCCCTTTGAAAACTGGCACAAGACAGGGATGCCCTCTCTCACCGCTCCTATTCAACATAGTGTTGGAAGTTCTGGCCAGGGCAATTAGGCAGGAGAAGGAAATAAAGGGTACTTAATTAGGAAAAGAGGAAGTCAAATTGTCCCTGTTTGCAGACGACATGATTGTATATCTAGAAAACCCCATTGTCTCGGCCCAAAATCTCCTTAAGCTGATAAGCAACTTCAGCAACGTCTCAGGATACAAAATCAGTGTACAAAAATCACAAGCATTCTTATGCATCAACAACAGACAAACAGAGAGCCAAATCATGAGTGAACTCCCATACACAATTGCTTCAAAGAGAATAAAATACCTAGGAATCCAACTTACAAGGGATGTGAAGGACCTCTTCAAGGAGAACTACAAACCACTGCTCAAGGAAATAAAAGAGAATACAAACAAATGGAAGAACATTCCATGCTCATGGGTAGGAAGAATCAATATCGTGTGAAAATGGCCATACTGCCCAAGGTAATTTACAGATTCAATGCCATCCCCATCAAGCTACCAATGACTTTCTTCACAGAATTGGAAAAAACTACTTTAAAGTTCATATGGAACCAAAAAAGAGCCTGCATCACCAAGTCAATCCTAAGCCAAAAGAACAAAGCTGGAGGCATCACGCTACCTGACTTCAAACTACACTACAAGGCTACGGTAACCAAAACAGCATGGTACTGGTACCAAAACAGAGATATAGATCAATGGAACAGAACAGAGGCCTCAGAAATAATGCCACATATCTACAACTATCTGATCTTTGACAAACCTGAGAAAAACAAGCAATGGGGAAAGGATTCCCTATTTAATAAATGGTCCTGGGAAAACTGGCTAGCCATATGTAGAAAGCTGAAACTGGATCCCTTCCTTACACCTTATACAAAAATCAATTCAAGATGGATTAAAGACTTAAATGTTAGACCTACAACCATAAAAACCCTAGAAGAAAACCTAGGCATTACCATTCAGGACATAGGCATGGGCAAGGACTTCATGTCTAAAACACCAAAAGCAATGGCAACCAAAGCCAAAATTGACAAATGGGATCTAATTAAACTAAAGAGCTTCTGCACAGTAAAAGAAACTACCATCAGAGTGAACAGGCAACCTACAAAATGGGAGAAAATTTTTGCAACCTACTCATCTGACAAAGGGCTAATATCCAGAATCTACAATGAACTCCAACAAATTTACAAGAAAAAAACAAACAACCCCATCAAAAAGTGGGCGAAGGACATGAACAGACACTTCTCAAAAGAAGACATCTATGCAGCCAAAAAACACATGAAAAAATGCTCAACATCACTGGCCAACAGAGAAATGCAAATCAAAACCACAATGAGATATCATCTCACACCAGTTAGAATGGCAATCATTAAAAAGTCAGGAAACAACAGGTGCTGGAGAGGATGTGGAGAAATAGAAACACTTTTACACTGTTGGTGGGACTGTCAACTAGTTCAACCATTGTGGAAGTCAGTGTGGCGATTCCTCAGGGATCTAGAACTAGAAATACCATTTGACCCAGCCATCCCATTACTGGGTATATACCCAAAGGACTATAAATCATGCTGCTATAAAGACACATGCACACATATGTTTATTGCGGCACTATTCACAATAGCAAAGACTTGGAACCAACCCAAATGTCCAACAATGATAGACTGGGTTAAGAAAATGTGGCACATATACACCATGGAATAGTATGCAGTCATAAAAAATGATGAGTTCATGTCCTTTGTAGGGACATGGATGAAACTGGAAATCATCATTCTCAGTAAACTATTGCAAGAACAAAAAACCAAACACCGCATATTCTCACTCATAGGTGGGAATTGAACAATGAGAACACATGGACGCAGGAAGGGGAACATCACACTCTGGTGACTGTTGTGGGGTGGGGGGAGGGATAGCATTGGGAGATATACCTAATGCTAGATGACGAGTTAGTGGTTGCAGCGCACCAGCATGGCACATGTATACATATGTAACTAACCTGCACATTGTGCACATGTAACCTAAAACTTAAAGTATAAAAAAAAAAGAGCTCTAATCATATAGCTGTATTGATTTCCACAAAATGAGACAATAGAAAATAACTGGATGAATTTTCACAAAAAGAACACCTGAGTAACCAGCACCCAGAGGAGAAACAGGACCTTATCTATGTCCCAGAAGCCCCCCTCTGCCCTCTCCCGGTCACTAACTGTTTGAAGGAAATTACTATCCCACTTCTGATGCCATAAATTGATTTTGCCTGTTTTTGAATGTAACATAAATAGAGTCACACAGCATGTACTTCTTTGTGTCTGGTTTCATTCTGTCAACATAACATTTAGGAGATTTACCCATGTTGAATGAAGTTACAGCTTATTCATTAACTCATTGCTGTGTAGAACTTGATTATGTGAACATACCACATTTTATTCATCCGTTTTTCTTTTGATGAACAATTGGGTTGTTCTCAGTTTAGGTTATTAATTACAAGGCTTCTATGAACTTTCTCAAACATGTCTTGGTGGGCATTTGTTTACACTTTTGTGTGAGTATATACCCAGCATTGGAATTGCTGGGTCATAGAAATTGCATGTTTTCAATTGCAGTAGATTCTGCCAAATAACTTTTCAGAGTGGTTTTCTAGTCTAGAAAGATTATATTTAACTTTTTCAAGGACAAGACCCAGGGGGAAGCATTGGAAGCCCTGTTGTACGTGGGCCTGTAGCATTAGAAGTATCCAGTTAATAAATTGATTGCTCAATGTGTCTTGATTGAGCTTTTACTATGTGCTAGACACTGTGCTAGAGGCGCTAAGGACCTTATGGACTAATGGAGGGAGATAATTTAAATATATAATCACATTATTGACTTTATATTTACAAACTGTGTTAAGTGCTATAAAGGAGATGTACAAAATGCCATAAGACCAGCAGACTAGTGTCCTTTCCCTTTTGATTCTTTCTGAAAGGAAGGGGAGAAGGGGGAAAGCAACCTACCTCTAAGTGTAATAGTCTTAATTGTGAACCAGCTTCTAAGCTATCAGGTTGGAACCTAACTAATCACTGAGGGTGGTATAGAATTGATGAATTACTTTGGTGCTCTTTTACTAGTATAAATCTTTGATTTAATGATTGCTGCTCTCTGATTCATACCATACTACCCTGGTGATCAATATACATGATGAATGGCTGATTTTCAAGAACCACCCACTTTATAAAGCTCCTTTACATGTACAGTGTGTGTATGTATGAATTAGTACTCTAGACAGATTTCTGACAAAGAGGCAGAGGGTGAGGTAATATTGTGGGTGAGGAGGAGGGGAAGAGATGGGGGAGATGAATGGAATTTGCTCGCAGAAGTTAAGAAGAAATGTTCAGAACAGGCGAAATAAAGTACTACATGAGAGGGCTCCTCTTCTGTGTTGACTTTTTGACAAGTCTCTCTTGGCCCAATCCTTGGGTTCAAGGATCTGCTGTTGCTTGAAGGAGATTTACTGTCCACAGCTCCTTCAGAAAGAGAAACTTCTTGTAGGCTAAGAGCTTCATGTAATTTACTAGCTCTGGATTTCTGGGCTTTATTTCAGAGTTTCTAATGCTGAGTGGGGATGAAGTTGGGAAGTTGACTGCAGTTTGCAGAGGTCCAGGAAGACTTGTTTTGTGATTTGCTCATTCGTTCCTTCATTAAACCCAGAGCCATTTATTGAGTACCTATCATATTTCAAGCCCCAAGCTAGTCACCAGAAACATACTGGTGAGTCAGACAGGTATTAGCTTTGCACTCAGGGAACTTTTTTTATCTGCAAGGATGTGCTGGACTGCCAGGCTTCTTTTGGTCTGGTGGACATGCACCTGCTATACTTCATTGTAGATTTTTCAGGATACCTGGTTTTAGTTTCTGGGAGCTATCTTTAGGCCTCCCTCTTTCTCATGCTCTTTTATATACACATATGTTTTGTGATTGGATTTCCTCATCTGTCAAAGTTTGCTTTCTCAAATTTACTAGGGAAAGCTAGGTGTCTTTCATGTAACTATGAAACAATGAGACCAATTTTGATGTGAGTTTTACAGAAATCAGCCTCTTTCTTGCTATCCTATGAATATGACACCAACTTGAATAGTAAGGTATTAATATTATATAAATGTGAGGTGTTTTGAATGCCCAGTGACTTTTATCTGGAACACATAATCAAAGCAATGTTAAAAGGCTTCTTATTGTACCATTGTTTTTGATTGCAAGGAGTTGGAAAAAACTTAAAGGTCTATCATTGGAATTATGGTGAGACACGATGAAATGACTCCAAATCATCATGTAGATTTCTGTTAATGTAAAAATAAGTTCACATCATTTTATTGAATAAAAAATGGTCGAGAATAACATGCATAGCTATGATCTCTGAAACATAGTAGGTATTTGTTCAATAAACTAATAACCAGATTTTTATAGCTGTCCCTATCAGCAAAAAGAGGTGTGTGGAATGATGCCCCCAAAACATTAACAATGAGGGGTAGTGGAACATCAAGTGTAAAAAAGGCATTTGAAAATATGTTTTAAAAATAACTTGACATTCTTATAGCAAATGTAATTTATGTACATACCCAGAAAATACAAGCTATTTTCATTATTAAACAACAGTATTCTGAGTAAGAACACCTTCTATTTGTCAAAAGGGAGGCTAGAAACTTCTCTTCTCTGGGATCTGATCTTCTTCAGTATGTGAAAGAATTAAGAAAAACGACTCCCAGGCAAGCAGTAGAGTCTCTTTGTACAAGGCCTGGAGGGCTGATTCTGTTAACCAACCCCCTCCATCCCCCTGGAGAAATCTGAGCGATTCTGCATCTCTCCTCCTGGGAGGTGGTTTGCTCCCCTCTCCTGAAAGTAGGGGATTCTCACATTTATTACCACTGTGGCTTCTCTTCCCCTTCACTTATCCATCTCACCCGGGTGGGTTTCTTGTTTTATTCGGCACCCAGTAGAGCCCTGCTGAGCTGTGGGCCTCTCTTTCCCACCAATCCTCATCCAATTAATTGATAAAAAATTAATAATTTAACTTTAGAGATGGGAATTATACACCATTCTCCAAGATCCCTCTTCACCAGACCTCCTCGAGTCACCTCAAACAGACAAGCACCTGAAGCGACAGGAAGGAACATTTTCCATATTTTAAGTGGATTTTACCACTTGAGCATCCTTGATTGGAGGGCAGGAGAAAGAACGGGAGGCACAGAGCAAAATCGGTCCCTCTAGAAATCAGGAGGTTAAAAGGAAATTGGTAGGAAAAAAATCACATTTGTTCCCTCTGTGCTTTTGGATATATTTGGGACTTTTGCCAACCTACTTACTTATTTTAACCCTGAACTGCATATACGTGACACAACTCCATTGATTTTGCATTCATTTAAAAGCATGTGCTCTGAAATTCAGACAGTCTTCACTAGTGGTGGGACCTTTGGCTTCAGTGTTTTTGTCTGTAAAATAGAACAACCTACCTTCTAGTCTTGTGACCGTCGGTGATATAAAACACTTATAGCACTTAGCATGGCAACTGACATAACACAAGGGCTTGAAAGTTTTAGATGTAATGATGACTATTGTTTCTGCAAGTCAGTGTTAGTGATTATTTCAACAGAGGCTTAGCTGAAATTTATCATGGTGCTGGGAGGGTAAGTGTCTTCATAAACTACTGTTCATTTAGGAAGGAAGTTTTCTTTGAAAAAGTTGCTCTTTAAGAATGATATAATTTGGGAGGCCAAGGTGGGCAGATCACCTGAGGTCAGGAGTTCGAGACCAGCCACGGCTAACATGGTGAAATCCTGTTTCTACTAAGAATACAAAAAATTAGCTGGACATGGTGACACATGCCTGTAATCCCAGCTACTCAGGAGGCTGAGGCAGGAGAATCACTTGAACCCAGGAGGCAGAGGTTGCAGTGAGCTGAGATTGTGCCATTGCACTCCAGCTTGGCCAACAAAAGCAAAACTCCTTCTAAAAAAAAAAAAAAAGAATGATATAACATGATTATAATGGTTAAATGACTCATTTCAAGTCCCATCTGGTGTCTTAGACACACCGCTGATAAGCAACTGACATAGACACGACACTATTCTTAGTAGGTTATACAAGTACACCCTCTGTTAAATGTCCTGTCAACTATAATCTGAGTTACAAGGTTTTAATACTACTTCATTAAATATGCTGTCTAAATTGGATGTTTACTTAAACAAAGGTACCTTTACTTATTTTGAACAAATTGGGGATGTGTTAGTGTACAATAGAATTGGCAGTTTAGATTGTATTAAGATGATACAGTGACTTGAAGCAAACTCTTTCGGGTTTTTTTCATATAAATTTCATGGTATGAAGAGCCATGAAGTTCTTTGTAAGTGTCTTACATCTCCTTTGTGCTACAGTAAACCCATAGAGGTTAATAATTGCTAGCTCATCTTTTTATCACACATGCAGCATTCATAGCCTGGTGTTTAGTGCAGAGGCTCAATATATGTTGAATAAATGATGTCCAAGAGTTTGTGTGAACAGTAATTTGTAGGGCTGGTTAAAGGGAAGATGATCTTAAACATGAGCATTTCATGTCAGCCTGTTTTTAATCTCCCACAAAGCATATAAAACCCACGTGCTCACTCTGTGTTTTGTATTTCTTTTGTGTCTCTTCTGATGACACCTAGGATGGTAGATATTTGGTGAATACTTACTGAATTGGACCAAATTAAATACAGGGAGCAAAAGTAAAATAGGCTGCTACAGATCTTAAACTGCGAAAGCAATTACTCTGATTTCAGCTCCTCAGTAGATCTTTTGTGGGCTTTCCAGTGCATGGGAACAAAAGTTATCATCCATGGGAAACTGGTCATATCCAGAACAGAGTCTCATCTCCTCAACTGTTTGCACAAATAATTGTGATTTATTAAAGAAAGTCAACTGTTAATGCACAGTTTGAATTTTGTAGCCAACTGCCATATTTTCTCAGACCTTGCTTTCAGCTGGGGAAGGACCCTGGAGCACAGTTACCTGGGTGAGTGTATTTACCCAGCTCCTCCTCAAATGGAGACAGAAGAGCTTTGGGGAAGCATTTGCTTCCCTTCCAAACTGAGCTTCCTCTGTCTATGAAGCAGAGTGAAGCTATAATTTCAGTTTCATAGTCAGAGTCTCATGACAATTACTCTAGCATTGGAAAGATATCAACTTTTCCTCCCACCTCCAGGTGATAATGCTGGCTTGTCTAGATATCTCAAGTTTTCATAGCTAGGAAGATTGATGCTGGGGAACTGATAGGAGAAGGAGTTGAGGGTGGAGACATGGGAGTTGGTTTGTTGAGGAGCTGAAAATAATGGTTCATCCTCAGTGATTACAGAGAGGATGACCCTCCAAATCCCACAATAAAAATCATGTCCTGTGTAAAAGGGAGAGGCCATTTCATTCGTGAAAAATATCCATGAATAGACAGGCAATGGGAGAACAGCACTTTGGAGGTCAGGGCTTCTGGATGTTTTTCTCTCTTCATTCTTAGACAGGAGATACTGTGGAATAGTTTGATGTAGAGTGAAGAAGCTACTGAATTGGATAGCAACAGCTGAGTGCATGCAGCCTCACAAGCAGTACAAAGCTCACCAGCCAGTGTAGCTTTCATGACAGCTGCAAAAGCAATGGCTACATAAACTTTCTCGAGAGGAGGGGGAAAACGGAATGTGAGAGACGCTCTTGCAGTAAGAAAAACATAATAAATCCAAGAGCTACATATAGCCTGGGGTTTTTATGACCATAGCCAGGCATGAAGGAATGACTGAACTTAAGTAAAGCTGTTAATTACCTGGGTGAGATCAAAAGCCCAAGTAAGGGAAGATATTTATGATGCACCTTACAGGATATGCTTCAACTTCTTACTTTTTTTATTAATTAGTTTGATTAAATAGATTTAAAGAGGCTGGGCAGAGCCCTTTAAATCATATTCCATATTGATCTAATGAAATAGTCAATAAATTTACCAACATAGCCCCTTTCCTTCGCACAGTCTGGAGGGAAATGCTTTACTGAATGGTTATAACTCAACTCCAAACCTCACTGCTATTCCCACAGTGACTCATAGAGAGCAAGAGGATGCTGGGAAAATCTTTTAGGCCATTTGTGAGAGTGCTTGAATAAGTGGTTTAGCACCTGTTTACAGACTACTCACCACCCTGCACCCTACCTCCACCTCAAGCCCTTTAGTGGACTTTACTTGAGCCAGCCAGGGTTGGGTGCCTTGCAAATTCTATGCATCATTTACCAACTTTACTAACTCATGCAACCATCTGTTATATCCCTGGTTTAGGCTTCAAGACTCCAGTCATATTTCAGAGCCTTTGATTTTTATTCATTTGTCTATTTAGCTTTTTAGGTATTGACAAAATGCAGCTCATAAATACAATAAAATATGTGCAGGTAAATAACAAATCTATAACAAAGAATCTTTAATTTCTCAATAAATCTGGACTAAGTCATGGGAATCTTTCCTAAAGTCACTTTTTTTGTGTCCCTTTTCTCATCTCCTACAACAGTGAAGGGAACCTAGGCAGTGGAAAGCACATGAACAGGGGAATTTTAGATGAAATTTTAGACCCTAGTGTTTCATGAATTTCTTCCTCTGAGTGTGGAATGGAGCATGTTAAATTAAAAAAAAAAAGGCATTGGCCTGAGGCTGTCTCCCTACTTTGAGTTTGTGATGAACTGCAATCTTAGTACATACACGAACCTAACTTAGAAGTATATTATTTGCAACAGATAGCTGGGTCTCAACCAATCACAAGCAGTCAAGCTTCAGCCAATTACAAGCTGTCAGCTAATCAGACCATGTCAAAATAAGGCAAACTCCAAGCTACAACCAATCAAGCTATTTCTGTACCTTCTGTTTTCTGTCTGTAAATACTGACTGCCTGGGTTGCAGAGAAGAGCTCTCTGAACCTCTTCTGGTTCAGAGTGCTGCCCAATTCATGAATAGTTCTTTGCTAAGTTAACTCTGTTAAATTTAATTTGTCTAAAGTTTTTCAATTAACAAGCAAGATGTACATTTGTCTGATAGTCACTAATGCTAAAGGCAGATGTAAAAACGGTATTCTGGGGACATGATTTCCTCGGGCTTAGAGTGTCAAGTCAGCACAGAGGTGACAAAATTAACTTTAAAAATACCTTAATGTGCTCATACAGGCAGTGTTACTAGTTTTGTGCCTACAGCCCTGCAAATAATTCTTGTTTACATTCAAGTATGAGAACCTACAAACAGGAACAAGAACAAATAAGTGTGCAGCTATGGGGAATCCAAACCATCCTATCATGAAGATGACTGTCCAATTCTTAGCCATGACTCGGGATGGGTTGTGGGTCCTAAAGTGGTCCTGGTTGCCTTCAGGCTTTTATCTACACTATTTTAATATTAAACCTCTCTTAACCTTAATGCAGTTTCATATATTTATTTGTGATTGTGAGACTTAAACCAGGAATCATATCCTGGAGGATGGGGCTGGTGAAGTGTGGGTATCTAGGTTTGAAAACCTGGAAGCCTAGGTGAAATTGGGCCTCGATACCCCTTTACTGTACTTGAGAAAGCAACTGAATTTACTATCTCAACCAAAGCAGTTTATGGATGTAAAATGATGTTAAAGAGGAAACGCCATCATGAATTGGAATGTTGAACTCATTTGGAGTGATGGAGAAATCTGTGTAATTGAGGCCTTTCCTTCTCCGCCCACACCTACCTCATTCTATCTTCAATTATCTGGGTAATTTGGTCCTGAGGGCATAAATTCCTTTATAACTCAAATCCATTATGCGAGAAGAATCATCAGGAAATTACTCAGATTGCATCCCAGAAGCTGTGCCTAGGGTTTTGGAGCAGATCCGGCCTTCCATTAGCCCAGCACTGCTCTCGATTTTAGATACGAGCCTGGAGGCTGGACATCCACAGCTCTTCCCTTCATCTCTCTTTGTTTCAGCAAGAGCTGCCTGTAGGGAAGCCCCGTGCTGGTGCTGGCTGGCGGTGGCTTCTCTCCGCCCAGGGCCACTGTCGCTGCCAGCTTTCCTTGGCTGATGTAGATGCATTCATTCCAGGCCAGGGAGAGCTGCTGCCAGGCGGGCAGGCATATGCTTTTGCCTTGTCTAGCCATCTCCAGGAGCCAGGGACACAGGCCTTTTAATTCAGCTAAACCTCAGGCCTTCTGGTGGAGAGCTGATTTTCATGTTTGTGCCCTGACAGGAGATGTCTCTGTGTTGTTGATGGTCAGGAGCTGCCTGCCTTTGGGCTTACAGGTACCCACGCCAAATGCAAACATTTTTCGATTTAGATTTTGGATGAGGACGTTTCAGTGTTTTGAGCAGACTCATTTATCTGGCTTTACTTTTTCTAGATTTCTGGTTTACTAGGGATACTCAGCTTGGGTTTGGGGTATGCATGCATTTTCCCTTGTATTCTTTTCTTGCTTTCACAAAGTGATGACTCAGAAGAAGGTAGCATATGGAAGGGTTTTGGATTTTGGTGTCAGGGAGACATATGTCTGTTGCTTTGTAATGTCTTTCCTCACAATTATGTATGTGCCATTTGAACAGATATTTTGTTCATCTTATTTTCTGCTGTCTCCCAGTGCCCAGCATAGTGCCAGGCATAATAGGTGCCCAATAAATAATGTGAGTGAGTGAAAGGGCAGGCTCAGATTCTGCTACCAACTTAGAAGCCTTGTGATTTTTGGTGAGGTTTTTAACCACCCTCTGTCAGTTCGTCACTTGCAAAATGTGTAAGACTATATAGAAAGCGACTGCCACAGTCCTGTGAGCAATAAATGTTCTTCAAGGGCAAAAAAAAAGGTGTAGGTTTTTTTTTGTTGTTTATTCAACAACTGTTTATTATAGTTCTATTTTGTGCCAGGCACTATTCTATGTACTATAGATACTGCTGTGAGCCAAATATATAGAATTCTTATCTTTAAGGAGCTTACATTCTAGTACTCAAAAGCAGACCATAAATACATAATTAATATATAGTATGTAAATGTATACATTTAATGATGTAATGCTTCTTTTTTTATTATTATTATATTTTAAGTTTTAGGGTACATGTGCGCAACGTGCAGGTTTGTTACATATGTATACATGTGCCATGTTGCTGTGCTGCACCCATTAACTCGTCATTTACATTAGGTATATCTCCTAATGCTATCCCTCCCCCCTCCCCCCACCCCACAACAGTCCCCAGTGTGTGATGTTCCCCTTTCTGTGTCCACGTGTTCTCATTGTTCAATTCCCACCTATGAATGAGAACATGTGGTGTTTGGTTTTTTGTCCTTGCGATAGTTTGCTGAGAATGATGGTTTCCAGCTTCATCCATGTCCCTACAAAGGACAAGAACCCATCATTTTTTATGGCTGCATAGTATTCCATGGTGTATATGTGCCACACTTTCTTAATCCAGTCTATCATTGTTGGACATTTGGGTTGGTTCCAAGTCTTTGCTATTGTGAATAGTGCCGCAATAAACATACGTGTGCATGTGTCTTTATAGCAGCATGATTTATAATCCTTTGGGTATATACCCAGTAATGGGACGGCTGGGTCAAATGGTATTTCTAGTTCTAGATCCCTGAGGAATTGCCACACTGACTTCCACAAGGGTTGAACTAGTTGACAGTCCCACCAACAGTGTAAAAGTCTTCCTATTTCTCCACATCCTCTCTAGCACCTGTTGTTTCCTGACTTTTTAATGATCGTCATTCTAACTGGTGTGAGATGGTATCTCATTGTGGTTTTGATTTGCATTTCTCTGATGGCCAGTGATGATGAGCATTTTTTCATGTGTTTTTTGGCTGCATAAATGCCTTCTTTTGAGAAGTGTCTGTGCATATCTTTTGCCCACTTTTTGATGGGGTTGTTTGTTTTTTTCTTGTAAATTTGTTGAGTTCATTGTAGATTCTGTAATGCTTCATTTTTTTCCCCACAGCTTTGATTTAATCAATGGAAGAAACTGGTCTTATTACTCTCCATATTCCAAGGCCTAGCACAGGCCCTGTACATAGTAGGTGGATCATTTGGAACTGTGGATTATATGGTTTATTTGAAATGGAGATTAATGTTGGAATTTCTTCTTTTCAGCCAAAAAAGATCCTTCACAAGATAAAGTCCCAGGCTTTGCGGCAATTAACAGAGCATAATTCTTTACATATTTATGAGGTTTTCCATTTTATATATAACTTCTTGCACCTTTGTAATGTTATGGTATTTGACCCACTCTGTGAGTTAAGTACACCTGCCACCATTTCACCCACTCAGCAGGTAAGAAAACAGAGGCAGAGCATGGGGATTTGCTAATGTCAGAGAGTTATTTTAGTGGCATACACATTAGAAACCACATGTCCTGGCCCCAAGCTCTTCTCACTGGATCATGTACCTATGATTATTGAGCCTAAAGGAGGATCCAGGTATTTTCCACCTTTATTCACTCTGTCAGTGCTGCTTATTTGCAAAATTTCCTTGCCTTGTTTTTTCTGGTTATATGGCCTGATGTTTGTGTCTATCACATCATTTACAAATTGCTCTAAACTCTGTTTTTACTATTATTTCTGACATGCAGTCAATTTCTTAGCTTACAGCTCGATTAATCATGCTTGAATAATTTTGAAGGGAACTTTTGTGTAGCTGGAATTTGGAAAGTGTTGAAGCATCAGTCTTCTAGCTTTCATCACTACTTTTCCCAGACATAAACCAGCTGAGAAATTCTACTTCATTTATCATGATAGGATGTCTATCTCAATGTTCATGAGGATTAACATCATTAATGGTATCTCCAGTTCAGGAAAAAAAGAAAGAGAAGAATCTCTTTGTTTCTGTCTCAGAATAAACTTTCCTAAAGATGATTTTATACTGCAATTTGAAACCTGCTTTTTTTTTAACTTCTGATAAAATAGCATGTAAATTGCTCACAAATCAAATGTGACATATGATTTATTTACTGTTGACAATCCCGGACCTGTCCAAAGCCACAAGGAATGATAAATTAAGTGCTTCTTCACTTAGTGCTGCTGATGTTCATTGCAAACCTTTTTTAAAATGATGTTGAACATTTTTACAGAGGGGACATAGCCCAACACAATAGCCCAGTGAGGAGACAATTACTGAAATGGAGGTACATATATATTTTTTCTTTATACACATGTGCACGTGCAAGCACACAATCTGGGGCCCCACTAGCTTCATCCTGCTTTTACTCTACACGTTGCTCATATACTTCATTCACATTGGTCTTCTTCCTGCAACATACCAAGTTCATTCCTACTGCCGGGCTTGTTGAAGTTTCTCCCTCTGAAATGCTTTTCCCCAAATCTTCACATAGCCTAGTGATTCTCAGTCAGGGGCAGTTTTGTCTCCTAGGAGACATTTGGTAATGTCTGGAGATATTTTTGAGTGCCCTGACTTGGAGGTGGAGCTGCTGCAAGATCTAGTGGGTAGAAGCCAGGGATGCTGCTTAACATCCTACAAGGGACAGGGTAATTCCACATCACAAAAACCGATCCAGTCCAAAATGTCACCAATGCTGAGGTTGAGACACCCTACATTATAGCTGACCTTTCTCCACATTTGAGAATTAGTGCAAATGTCAACTCTCCTTCCAAGAGAGGCCTTCCCTGCCACCCTCTCTAAAGCAACCTTATTTTCTTCCAGTACTTTTTCTTTCTTCTATGACTTCAAGCACTATCTGAATTTTTAAAAAATATGTTTGTTTACTTGGTTTTTGCTTGTCTATCCTCTGTAGAATGTACACTATACTTGAGGGATCTTATCTGTTTTTTGTACCACTGTCTTCCCAAAGCCCAGAACAGTGCCTAGCATATAACAGATGCTCGCTATACATTTCTTCAAAGGAAGAAAGGAAGGAAGGAAAAAAGAAAGAAAAAAAAGATGATAGATGGATCAATAATGAATAAAGACTGAAAAAACTTAACAACATAAAAAAATACTCCCCTTTGAAATGATATGTGCCAGAAATATGTAATAGACAAATGCCATTTGACCATCACATGTAATTGGTATGTTATCATAAGAAAACGTTTGGCAACAGTTCCTGATAAATGATGGATGTATATACTGTGAATAGCCATCAACATAGCACTTAGTTTTTAGATGAAGCTCACTGAGTTCATTAACACTGGTTTTCGGTCTGAAAGAGCCATGGGCTCCATTCATTTGTTAATAGCACAGCTGGAATCAAGAAGACTGATTTTGGGATCTAGTCAATCAGTATGTTTGTCTCATCCGGACAATATGAGATTCTTTTCTGTGTATTTGTTCTGAAAACTGTAGGGTTTTTCTCCATTTATTTGCTTAGTTATGGCTGTTCTTAATTTCCACTGCTTTGTTTTCACTGCTGCTGGTCATTATTTCCTGACCTCTTTACATGTTGAGACTACACTTTTGGGCTTGGCTGCAGCATTTATAGGAACCTGTCTGTTCTTTGGCATCATTTATGAACAGTTCAATCATATATTAAAAAAGAATTATCATTAAAAAGCCACCTGGGTTATCATTTTCAAAATAAAGTTAATGCAACGGAATGCACTTAGTGCTGATAATTACTGAACATAACAGAATGGGTATTTGATGACTGAGAAAGCAACTCAAGATAACAATGGTCTCACAATCATCACAATGCATTTGAATTGTCCTTGCCCCACAGGTGGGTGAGAGTGCTATGGTCACAGAGAGATTCCCTGTGTGTGACGGCAAATGCGTTTACTCTACCATGGAAAACACGTGTTTCGTGAAGACATGACTTTATCGACTTTTTCTCTGGCTTCCTACTGAGCCTTTAAACTCTGGAACTTTCATCATGCTTCCATCCCCCACTCCCAGCCTCTGTCTTTATCCCCTAATTACTTGAGCTTAACTTCCCTGACCTACAGAGAGTCAAGAAAAACTGGCATATAAAGCTCCGTTGTGTTTTGGTCTGACCTGTGGGTCCTTTAAATGAAGCCAGGATATACAGTGTGGGGGTTTGAGCTGCTAATGTCTGGACGCTTTTAAGAAGCATAAATCTCTCCAAACCCAATGGGGACTTGAATGTGGTGATTTCCAACCCTCTTGGATTTGTGACACCTTATGGTTTGATTTGCTGACACCTTCTTCCCCCTTTTTAAAAGTAACAGGTGTGTCATATGTTTATGTAAAAAATTAAATAAATCATCATTTATATCTTTTTATTATTTAGCTTTATTTTTGAGGGTGAGGGAAGAGGGAGGCACTTTGGAGAATTTTTTATAGCCATAATAGCTGTGTTCTTTGGGGCTAGCTGAAATTTAATCCTGTTTGTATCCTCAAGCCTATTGCAGTGATGCTAGCTAATTTACCCTTGCTTTCTTTGAACTGTTGTTTGTATTCTTTTGTGTGATCCTTCACCATACGCTATCCCATGTTGTTCTCAAATTACTTCTAATATATTCTATAGTCCCGGAAATATCATTACTCTTAGATCTGACCCAGTTTGAAGCATAGAGTAGATGCACAATAAGAAATCAATTGAGTAATTGGAGACATCTTTGGATGGGGCTGAGGCACAACCCGGGTTTGGAACACAAACTCTCACTGCTTTGAATAAGTTATAGAGAAGAGAGAAGCAAATCTACTCCATGATGGACTAAGTACAGGCTTTCTCATTTCCATGGAGAAAGCAGTGACAGCCACAGCATCAACCACACTTGAAGGAAATCAAATCTTGCAAAATGGAATTCAGAGGGCATCAAATGAAGGAATGCCATGATGTAGCCTAGAACTTTTGGTTTATTATTCCAGCTGCTTGCTTGTCTTCTTTGGTTATGTGGGAAGGACAACCATAGCCATCCTGGCTATCTTGGTATCTCACCAGGCATCATAAATGGTCATGGCCTCTATCGCTCCTCGCCTATTGCTTCTTTGCTCACAATGAGGGAGTGAGGAGGACTCTCTCCCTGCCAGTGTTTCAATCCTTGCATAAGGATTCTAAACGGTGTGGTCTTAGTCTTTCTCACCTCTCAGTTTTACAGTTTTGTATTCAATTTATTTCTTTAGCTTTCATCTCAAGGATTCTGGGACAAGTTTTTGTCAATGAGGTTTAATTGGAGATCTATGAGAGGCATCCCATTGGGTACCATGCTGAAGTCTTCCTTGACATCTATAGTTGGTCAGTGACCTGGGGTTTAGTCAGCATCTCCAATCCTTCTTTCAGGATGAACTTTCCATGGGGGGATCTCTCCAAACAGAGAGTGAACATTCCACTTACTCTTCTTTGAATGCTAAACCCAATGTTCTGGGGGCCTCCCTTTACTAGAAAGCTCAGCTGGTACCTCCCTACTGACAGTACTTCCTAAGAGAAACTTCCTTACTCCTGTACCTCCCCTCAGTAGTCACGACTGGCTAGATTAGGAATGGCTACCTGACTCAAGGGTGAGCCATTAATCAGCTTTCCAGTGACACAACTCATTGTGAGAAATAAGCTGGAAAAATCCAAATCTTCCCCTTAGGAGTTTGAACTGGGGAACTTGAAGAGCTCAAGACAGGTAGAAGCAGGGACAGAAAAATGTCCCATGTTAGAATCATGGCCAGGCAGAGGTACATGTGAGTAGAATTTCAGATGGAGCAGAACGTACAAGTAAACAGAAGCATCAGTTGACAGATAAGGAGAATGGTCCAGAAATGCAGACAGAAGCTAAAATAATATGAGAAAGAGACCATGAGATCTGCGTGAAAGGAAAGCTGTGGAAAGTATTCAGCCCCTGGATATGACTCTATTCTTGATAGCTTCCCACTTCTACTCAATACATATCTTTACAATAAACTCCCCCCCTTTCATGAGCTTATTTGAGCCAGCCTTTCCTTTGATATCAAAAAAGCCTGACCCTATCACTCTCCTGATCCTCACAGGCTGTATGATTATTTTTACCTGGGAAACCCCTTGGCTTCTTATAAAGGTGTGACTTCTAGTGACTGACCCTGGCATGCTAGATTCCTCCAAAGGGATGGGCCAACCAGGTTCCAACTCTAGGTATGTTTGAAAACATACAAAACAATAGTTTAGTTCGAGTGAACAATGTCACTTTTTACTTGTGGACAATACAAAGCGTCCTATGAAATTGCTGCAGCCACAGTCACAGTTCTGATCCCTTTTTACCGCTTTTCTACCCATTGACCTGCACAGCCTAGCCTTGTGACTTATTTTAGCCAATGAAATAAAGCAGAAGTAGTAGAGTGCTAGCCTGAGACTACGACTTAAAAGGCATTGCAAGCTTCCATATGTTCCTCTTGGGCTTCTGCCATCAGTAGGAGAAGAACATGCCTCATGGCACTCACTGGTCCCAAGAGAATGAGAGATACGTGGAGCTGAGCAGCTACGGCCAATGCCTGCAGCCTGAGCAAAGCCATTGTAGCTGACCTGGGAGCAGGTTAATACATGCTTGTTACCGCATGCACCTGAGATTCTGTGATTGGTATGTAATCATAGCTGATTAATAATATCTATCTTCTGCAGCTTTCTCTTTCCTTTGACTTTATACTTCCTCTTGATTTTGCCTTCCTTTCTGGCCACTCCTTCTCAGTCTTCTTCATGAGCCCCTCTTCTGTTACCCTTCAAATGTTGGTATTGCTCAAGCTTCTGGTCAAGGCCTCTATTTTTTCAATATACATTTGATACATTGATGAACTGCATAGGTGAGTTCAGTATCTTTTACAACCCGATGACTCTCAAATTTGTATCTTTGGTCCAGACTTCTCTTCTTTACATTAGATTCATATGTATTTATACAGATGCCTCTTGGTCACCTCCTTCTAAATGCTTTGCAGGCTTCTTGAAGTCAGTGTATCAAGGGAAGTAATCATCACTTTCTCCATACCTCTACTTGTTCCTCCTTCTGTAACCTTTCTCAAGTGACTAGCACTATAATTTGCTTAGTTGTCCAAACCAGAAGCCAAATTTCACCTTGATTTTTTTTCTCTCTCAAAGTTTTTCAGTTTACTGTGTACTCAGTCACGAACTGCACAGATTTCTGCTTCCTAAATGTCTCTCCTAACTGACCATGATTCTCCATCCCTAGTATTCATGGTTGTAGATCAGGCCTCCATCCTCTCTGACCTGGCTCACAGGAATCATTCCCTAAGTGGTCTCAGTGCTGCTAGTGTGGACCCCTCACCGTCTATCCTCATCCTCTGGAGGTCCATTTCTGATGTTGCTGATATGAACTTTCTGGTGAGGTATATATGAGCATGACAAATGTCTCCAATAGCTTCTTTCTATACCTTTCAGGATAAAGCCCAAACTTTTTAGCAAGGCATATAAATCACTTTCTAACTTGGCCTCCTCTGCTTTTTGCTGTAATAATGAAGACCCAGTTTCTGTCCTCAACGCTGAAGGGAATAATGCTTACACGGAAAAGTACTTTCACTATAAGCAGTAAGAAAAGGGTGCTATCACCTAAAAGGGGCCATCTAATTCATGGACGGTAGAGGGAGAGGGAGAAGGTTTCCTTGATCCCCCAGTGTGAACCAAGGCCTGAAGGTAGAGAACACATCAGCCACAGCAAGGGGCGAATGAGCTGTGGGGAGGGAGAAAGAGTGGCCCATGCAGAAGGAACTGTGTGGGCCAAGGTCTGTGCTTGAAGAACTAAAATAATCAGTCTGGTAGAGGATTAAGTATGGTGGTGCTAATTGGGACTTGTGGGTCTTTCTTCTGAGCTGTATTAAGGAGCTTGGAGGCTCTTAAAGCAGCAATTGACAAGCAAGATTAAATTGTTGATCAAGCAAAATCACCTGTATAATTACTAGAAGAATTTCTATTTGGGGGATTCTTGGGACAAACTTGATTACGTCTCAGCTTTGTAGTTTTTTTCCGGATTGTGCAGTTGAGGTTACTTTAAAACGAATTTTTATTGACTCTCTGAACACAAAGGTGAAAGAAATCCCCAGAGGTCATTGAGATTTTTACCCCTGGCTTCAGGCAGAACCACACATAAATCTTTCCAGACAGATGGGTGTTTGTTGGCAAAGGTATTCAGCCGCAAAGAAGTAATAGCTGCTTTTGTTGACAGATTTAGAGATGTTTTGCCAAACACTATCTTAAAATACTATGATTAGATGTAATTTTGCAAAAATGAGTCTATAATGGAGGTGATTCGCTTGCCGTATCAGCTTAGGAGTATCTTCTATTTACAGTTTATTAAATTTACATTTGATTAATTTACACTGAGTGCAAGCAGTTACTCCGTAATTATCTCTTTGCCTGCATCAGAATACATGCAACATTATGTTTGGAAAATTGTGAAGTCAGAAGATGTTAACATTGGAAATACCCATTAGTGATCTCTTTTACCTCCTTACCATCCAAACAAATGCTTTATGCATTTAGATTCATGAGGGGTTCTTCAACTCTGTATTTCCCACACATTCTAACACAAAATTTTATTTATCTTCCATTTCATAATTTAATAGCTAATCTGTCACAAGCAACAATTTTTGTTTGTTTGCTTAGTTCTGCTGAACCCACCGTCATTAGACAAAACCATTATTTGAAAAATCTCTTTCAGGAAATCATATACATGGATATCCTATGAAGTTCTCATAAACAAGAGCTGTGTTTTCTTTAGTTGTTTATTCTTAAACTTTTCAAATATTTATTGCACACTTGAGACATTGTGGTGGATGGCATTTCAATATACATTTAACCCCAAATAATGTAAGTGACGGGTCAGCAAACGATAGCCTTTTGGCCAAATCCAGCATGCTGCCTGTTTTTGTATGGCCTTTGAGCTAAGAATGATTTATGAAATGGCTGAAAACATTTAAAAGAAGAATACTGACATGTGACTGTTATATGAAATTCAAATTTCAGTGTCCATAAATAGTTTTATTGGAACATAACTATACTCATTCATTTACATATTGTCTGTGGCTGCTTTTGTAACACAAGGGCATGTTGAGTAGTTGCGGCAGGCACCGTATGGTCTGCCAAGCCTAAAATGTTTACTATCTTGCTCTTTCCAGAAAATGTTTGCTGATCCCTAGCCTAAGGTAATCATGGTAATCTCATTTCCTTTGTGAATGATTGGTTTGGGAATGAACATAAAAACCTAATCCTGGGAAAATGAATATCAGAGGTCTGAGGGGGCTTCTTGGAAAGGTTTCTTAGCTGCTCTTAAGGAGGCACAGGAAAAGATGGTTCCTTTCTTTCTTTGCTGTTGTTGCCCCTGGATAAGGAGCCTGAAGATGTGTGTGGCTGCCTTGTGGCTATGACGGCTGTGGCTGTAAAGGCTCTGTACTGAAGGCATGGCCACCTCACTGAGTATGACAGCAGGGAGATGGGAAGAGCCAGATTTCTCATGCGGATATGAAGACATTAACTGAGCCCTGGATCCTACTCTGCCTTTGAACTTCATGTTGTATGAGGTAACATGCTTGCTTCATGTTTAAGTCATTTTGAGGTAGGGGTGGAGGTAAATTTCTGTTCCTTGGTGCCAAAGCTTCCTACATGGACATCAACAATACACTAGCCACTGTGTCAGGTGTTGGGAATACAGTAATGCCAAAAATAATATAAAGTAAAATGTTCCTGTTCTTCACTAGCTTAGTGTAGTAGGGAGACTTTCTAGAAAAATAGGATAGGGAACGTTTAAGGCTGTCTTGAGGAATCAGGGTAAAGCTCACAGAAGTACTAATGCTTGATCTGAGATTTGAACGGTGATTTGGACCTCAGCAGGCCATTTTATAGGACACCAACAATCCAGGAAAAAGAAGAATATAGAAAAAGAAGCAGGACAGATGAAACAGTATGGTGTTTGTTTGGGGATAAGTAGAAGCAGTTCAGTATGGCTGAGATGCTGAGGATGGAAGAAGGGGCTCGAGTTTCCTTAGCATAGAACTTGGATGCGCTGTTGTAACAACGACTACTATCATTGCTGCTAGTACAGAAGCAATTCTTACAACTATTTTAAAACTGTGACAGGTACACCTCATTTTATTGCACTTCACTTAATTTTGCTTCACAGATAATGCATTTTTTACAAACTGAAGCTTTCTGGCAACCCTGTGCTGAGCGAGTCTGTTGGCACCATTTTTCCAACAGCGTGTGCTCACTTTGCATCTCTGTGTCACATTTTGGTAATTCTCACAATATTTCAAACCTTTTCATGACTATTCTATCTGTTATAGTGGTCTGTGGTCAGTGATCTTTGATGTCACTATTGTAATTGTTTTGGGGTGCCACAAACCATGCCCATAGAAGATGAAGAATTGAACTGATAACTGTTGTGTGTGTTCTGACTGCTCTACTCACTGGTTGTTCCCCATCTCTCTCCATCTCCTCAGGTTTCCCTATTCCCAGAGACACAACAATATTCAAATTAGGCCAGTTGATAACCCTACAATGGCCTCTAAGTGTTTGAGTGAAAGGAAGTGTGGCACATCTCTCACTGTAAATCAAAAGCTAAAAATTATAAAGCTTAGTCAGGAAGGCATGTTAAAAGCGGAGAGAGGCTGACAGTAAGGCCTCTCCAAACAGTTAGCCAAACTGTGAATGCAAAAGAAAAGTTCTTGAAGGGAATTAAAAGGGCTACTCCTGGAAACACATAAATGATAAGAAAGTGAAACGGTCTTATTGCTTATATGGCAAAAGTTCTACTGGTCTGGATAGAAGATCAATCCAACCACAACCTTCCCTTAAGCCAAAGCCTAATCCAGAGCAAAGCCCTAACTCTCTTCAGTTCTATGAAGGCTGAGAGATGTGAGGAAGCTGCAGAAGAAAATTTGGAAGCCAGCAGAGGTTGATTCATGGGATTTAAGGAAAGAAGCCTTCTCAGTAACATAAAAGTGCAAGATGAAGCAGCAAGTGCTGATGGAGAAGCTGCAACAATTTATCCAGAAGATCTACCTAAGATCATTGATGAAGGCGGCTATACTAAACAACAGATTTTCAATGTAGATTAAACAGCCTTCTGTTGGAAGAAGATGCCATCTAGGACTTTCATATCTAGAGAGAAGTCAATACCTGGTTGCTTTTCTTTTTTCTCCTTTTGAGACAGAGTTTCACTCTTGTTGCCCAAGTTGGAGTACAGTGGCACAATCTCGGGTCACTGCAACCTCTACCTCCGAGGTTCAAGCTATTCCTCCACCTCAGCCTCCCGAGTAGCTGGGATTACAGGCACCCACCACCACACCCAGCTAATTTTTTGTATTTTTAGTAGAGACGGGATTTCATTATGTTGGCCAGGCTGGTCTCAAACTCCTGACCTCAGGTGATCTGCCTGCCTCGGCCTCCCAAAGTGCAGGGATTACAGGCGTGAGCCACTGCTCCAGGCCCGAGAAGTCAATACCTGGTTTCAGTGCTTCAGAGGAATGGCTGACTCTCTTGGTTAGGGGCTAATGCAACTCATAATTTTAAGTTGAAGCCAACATTCATTAAGCATTTCAAAACTCCTAGGGCCCTTAAGAATTATGCTAAATCTACTCTGCCTATGCTCCAGAAATGAAACAACAGAGCATGGATGACAGCACATCTGTTTACAGACTGATTTACTGAATATTTGAAGCCTATTGTTGAGACCTATTGCTTCGAGAAAAAGATTCCTTTCAAAATATTACTGCTCATTTATAACGAGTCACCCAAGAGCTCTGATGGAGATGTACAAGAAGATGCATATTGTTTTCATGCCTGCTAACACAACATTCATTCTGCAGCCCGTGGATCAAGGAGTAATTCTGACTTTCAAGTTTTATTATCTAAGAAATATATTCCATAGGCTATAGCTGCCATACATGGTGATTCCTCTGATGGATCTGGGCAAAGTAAATTTAAAACCTTCTGGAAGGGATTTATTCTAGATGTTGTTAAGAACATTCACGTTTCATGGGAGGAGGTCAAAATATCTACCTTACCAGGAGTTTGGAAAGTTGATTCCAACCATCATCAATGACTTTGAGGGGTTAGAGACTTCAGTGGCGGAAGTGGAGCCTAAAGACGTGAGTAAACTGCTGCAATCTCATGTCAAAACTTTAATGGATGAATTATTTCTTCTGGATAAGCTAAGAAAGTGGTTTTGGGGATGGAATCTACTGGTGAAGATGCTGTGAACATTGTTGAAATGATAACAAGGGATTTAGAATATTACACAAACTCAGTTGATAAAGCTGCAGCAGGATTTGAGAGGACTGACTAATTTGAAAGGAATTCTACTGTAAGTAAAATGCTATCAAATAGCATCATATGCTATAGAGAAATCTTTCATAAATCAATATGGCAGACTTCATATTTGTCTTATTTTAAGAAATTGCCACAGCCACCTCAACCTTCAACAACCATCACCCTGATTAGGCAGCAGCCATCAACATTGAGGCCAGAGCCTCCACAATAAAAAAGATGATGACTTGATGAAGGCTCAGAAAATCATTAGCATTTTTAAGCAATAAAATATTTTTTAACTAAGTTATGCACATTGTTTTCTTACACATAATGCTATTGTACACTTAATAGACTATAGTGTAGTGGGAACATAACTTTTATGTGCACTGGGAAACCAAAACATTTTTGTGACTCTTTATTGTGATATTTGCTTTTTTGTTCTGGTCTAGAACCAAACATGCAGTATCACTGAGGTATGTCTATATACTACTAATGTATTGGTATTAATAACCAATACTTAACCAATACATGATATCAACCAATACATTAATATCATTTATTGAGTACTTACTAGATTAGGCACTTTAAGTATATAATCTCATTTGATTCTTATCAGAGTTCTAAGGGGAGAGTCCTGTAGTTATCCTAGTTCTAAAGATAATTAACCAAGGCAAAATGAAGTTAAAGGATTTGTCCAAAGTCACACAGCTAGTAAGTGTAGAAGTGGGAACAAATCTTTGGTCTTTCTGATTCAAAGCCAGTGTATTTGAATAAAGACCGTATGCATAAAGCCTTTGGGATCCTGTAGGATAGAGTTTGGTTATATCTTGCTGCATATTTCATATCCAGTGGATTCTATGACTCTTTCCCATAATACACAACCATTATTATGGCTTTCAGGAGCTACAATATATTTGCGTTTCAAAGATGTTTTTATCTTTTAAAAAATACGCATTTGGAAGTGAAGTGAATTATGGAAATTTCAGACACACACACACGCACACACATATACATATATATGTGACTTAAAATGAAAATTTTCAATACCCTAATTTATGAAATAAAATTCTGAAGTGCAAGGAGAAAGAAGACAATTGTAGAATTCAGAGGTAGTGGTAAATAGCTGGATCCGATGAAAAGCAGAGCAGAGACTGAGCTGTCAAATATCAGGGTGTCAAAGGCAATTAAGAAGAGTGGTTTCAAATAAGTGAGGCTGATGAGAAAGTGAAAAGGAAGAGGGAGAGTCTCTGGGGTCATATGGGAGAAAAGTGACAAAAAAAGGGGCCAGAAGAAAGGCAGTGGGAAATACAGGAGGTCACTTGTGGTTGGATCTGAAAAGCATGGGGGGCACTCGCAGATAGGGCAGAATCCAAGAGGGAGTGAAGGTGAAGTCTGTAGTTGTGTACAGCCACCTGGACTGTGGGTCAGATGGCCAGCATCCAAATCCCAGCTCAGCCACTGTACCGCCTAAGGAGGGTAACTAAATCTTTGAAGTCTTGTTTCCTCATCTGTAAAATGGAGATAAAAGTAGCACCTAACTTGTAGGGTGTTAGGAGGATAAATGCACTCATGTATGTTAAAAGTGCTTAACACAGTGCCAGACACACAGTAAAGTGTTCAATAACTTTACTGTTGATATTATTATTATCCTATCAGGATGGAGCTGATCAGTCTTCCAAGCTCCATGCACAGTCCTCTCCACAAGGCAGACTGGTGGTGCCTGTCCAGGATAGCCATTTAAAGTCATCTGTTGCATTAATGAATGGCGCTTACCCCTTAAATTGTTATCATTATTATTTTTTTGGTTGGACCACTTCTGCAGTTGATTTACCCATCCTCGTGCAAGAGTATACAGTGGTGAGAATTTTAATGCACGAGTGGTTTGGGCAACAGCCTCAAAATGTCTTATTTTTACTACGTATTATTATAGCATTACATTCATAGTCAGGGGTCAGCTGCTATTTCCTGAGGTTTATAACATGCCTGTTTTAATTAACATCAAGCTAAATTTTGGCATACAGGTGGTCAGCCCAGATGTGAATGTTATTTTTAAAAGTGCCTTATGGCTGTTAAATCTCTTTCTTTAAAATAGCAAAACATATATGGGTGTGTGTATGTGGTGGGGGAAGGGGGGGTGGAAAGCAGTAAAAATATGAAATACTGATTAGTTCAGGCCTTCTATAGACAAGCTTCAATGACGAAAAGATTTCTTCAAAATTGTTAAAATATGCTTACATAGGCCACAAACTAATACATTGAATAGAAGCCAGAATAACAATAAAAATGAGGTGGCCACACACTGGATAGATAAAAGAGAGTGTATGGAGGGCTGCATATGCACTCTGCAGTTTAGAAAAATAAGCACGGGGCCTGAGTAATATGTCACAGGGATGCAGTTAGTAGAGGCGAGAGGCAGATACAAGGTTCCTAACTTCTAGAGGCAAAACAGGGCTCAAATCTTTAGTTTATCTAAATAGTATATCCTGGATATGTGCGTGTGAACACACAGCATACACATAAATACTTTGTCTTTCTCTCTTATACACACATATCACACATATACACACCACATACATATCATAAGCTCGGTCACTAATCGATGTTTGTTAATTTAGGAAAATTAATTTGCTCTCTCTAAACTTTATTATTTTGTTTTGCATCTAGCATGCTGATGGCCCATGCAAGTCATCATTGATACCCCCTTCTTTTTTATGCTTATGTCCAACCCATTGCCAAGGCCAGTTAATTTTACCTCCTCCGTATTAATCAAACCTTTCCATTTCTCTGTCTCTACCACTGCTTTCTCTAAACTACTGCAATCTCAGTCTGGGCCACTGGGGTAGCCTCCAGCCTCGTCTGGCTACATCCACTCTTGCCTGCCTCCATCCACTCTTGCCTGCCTCCACATCTATTTTCCACACCCCTTCCAGGGTTATCTATTTGAAATGAAATTGAAATATATCACTGCTTGGTTTAGGACACTTCAGTGGCCTTCCACTCATTGCTTTTGGATAAAGACAAAACTCTTCACCATGGCCTTCAAAGTCTTGGCCCTCCTATTTCTCCTACCATGACCTTCTGAATGTCTATGCCCTAAATAGAAATCGGATTTCTTCTATTCTCTTGTATTTCTCACATTCCCTACTAACACAGAGCCTTTGCACAGCCTGTCCTTTTTGCCTAAAATGATTTCCTCCTTTCTTTCTTCATTATACAATTAATTGGACCTAAAATTACTTAAACTGGGGACAGAGTCTTCCTCTCTGCAGTGAAAAGGCCTATGCAAGTGCAAATAACTATGGGAGAAGGAGCATGCTGATTATTTGAAAGTATAAATGACATATCTTGGTTTTCTGACAGGGAGCCTATTTAGGTAGAGGAAGAAAAAAGTAGAATCACTGACTAACCATTATTTAAGGACATCAATGCCATAAAAATTACAAGTTATATGTATCTCTCTCTTCTCAGGATCCTATGTGATCTATACTATGAGGTAAATGCTATTATCATCCCCATTCTATAGGAGAGGAAACTGAGGCTAGGAGAAGTTGAATAACTCAAGCACACTCAGTTCCTAACTAGTTGACCTGGATTCAAACACAAGTTCCATTTTATTCTAGAATTATAGCCCATTCCTGTTATCGCTCAGCTACCTCCATGTGCAAGAACAAAAATGTACAAGCATAGAGTTTTAGGCACCAGTGCTAATAACGATCAATATTCAATACAACTTCTAGTGTCTAGCCTTGCAAATCAATTGTTTTTCCAGTGTTAAAGGAACAAAGTCTAATAAAATTTGACCCACTGGCAGGGCATCGTCATTAGTCTCCAAAGTTTACTGTGTAACTGGAAATTGTTTCCAATGGAACTTCCCAATGGAAGCTTCTCTATCCTTGGATGATACTCTGGAAATACCAAAGTAAGCAAGTCCCACCCACAGAGAAGGTAACCCTGGCTCTCTTGCCATGTTTATGGCAAACATTCAGTGAGTCTGCTAGAATTAAATGGCAAAATTCATCACAACTAATTTCTATTTGTCATCTATTAAGCTACATTGTTTTGTCCTCAACGTCAGGTTAAATAATGAACCTCTTGCAATGGAGTAAATTAACTTCCACTTTATGTTCATGTCATTGTCAAATGGAAACATCACTTGCACAAATGAAAAAGATTCATTAGTAACACAAATGCACAAGCTCCACTCTAGTAAAAGATAAGAGCGATTGAGACCTTGTCATAGTGGGCTGTCGCTGAGCCTCTCGTTATTTATGACGCCTGCTGTAGTCTTTGGAGATTATTTTCAGCAATGGCAATTAGCCCACCGTGTATCAGGGGCAATTATAGGGCAGAGTCTGCCTCTGACAGGTATGCTGCCTTGGCTTCCAGGGGCTGTGATCTTTGAGAAATGCATTCTCATCTGCTTGCTGCCAAGAGAGACTGGCATCCCTGCTTTCTCATCGGTGGAGGCTAGGGAAGGGAGCTATGCATGGCCAGCTACTCCTAAATGCTCAGCTGCCTGACATGAAAGGCCCTTCTTGATCACACTGCTACCTGATTCGGGAAAGTCACAGCCCTTGATCATAGATAGGACTAGGATAATCTGTCATTTCACCTGAATTTAATTCCTAGCTCGTCAGTCCAAACATTTCTCAGATGTTCAGATCCTGATTGTCTAAATGGTCATTTATTTGGGTCCTTTACTTCTCTTTACTGTTTCATTTGCCTTCATAGGCTGTTTTATTACATGTTCACCCTTCAATTAGGAAGCAAATAAAAATAATGATAAAGCATTCACATATAGGTGTGAACATATATTTGTACTTCCTTTCTGAAAAGCAGGTTAGCAAAGGAGATCAAAAGCTTCAAACAAACAAACAAACAAAAAATTTAATCTAGGTATTTCACTTCTAAGAATTTATCCTATGGAGTCAAGTGTGAATGTGCACAAAGATTTAGCTACGAGTTATCTTTATATTAGAGTGCTTAAGACAGGGAGAGAATAACGTAGGTTAACATATACCTCTTTTTGCAGTTTAATTTTTTAAACTTTTAATTTGTTATGGTTACATAATAATTGTATATCTTTATGGGGCACATGTAATGTTTTGATACAGGCATAGGATGTGTAATGATCAAATCAAAGTAACTGGGGTATTTATCATCTCAAGCATTTATCATTTCTTTGTGTTCAGAACATTCCAATTCCACTCTCTTAGTTATTTAAAACTATACGAGAAATTATTGTGAACTATAGTTACCCTATTGTGCTACTGACTACTAGAATGCTAGATCTTATTCATTCTTTCTAACTGTATTTCTGTACCCATTATGGCTACTTCTTAGTTGCTGAGGTAGAAGCTTTCTTGACCACACAATTTTGGGTGGCTGCTCAGCCCACAGCGATTTCCCAGCTGGTTATGTTTATGCTAGCTCTCTTTCTTCTTCCTGGTAATGTTCTCTGCTTCCATTGGCCATGGGGGTGACCATGTGACCCAGACCTGGCCAATCACAGTATCTCTCTCTCTGGCCACAGAAATTGGTCCACTTTGGCCACCCACCCAAATCCCTCACTCAGATTTCCTCTCTGAAGTTTTCAGAAAATGAAGGTGGGATGGATGCATTCTCTTAATAGTTTTATTTATAGAATTGTAAAGATGTGAGCTATCAGCTGTCCATTTGTTTTCAACCTAGTGGGGAAGGCATATAGTGACCAACGAAGCAACACCTTGAGTGGAGTATTTGCAAATGAAATATGTCTGACATATTATCTCAGCCAGTGGCATTTATAAGGTCTGTGATTTAAATGAGCCACGCTGTTCCTTAATTCCTCTTGAAGTGGGAAATTGGAAATGATGGCATTCTCATCTTTCTTGAGAAGGTCCTCAGTTTATCCATATTGTAAAATGAACTCAACAATACCAATCTGTTTCCACCAAGGGGTGAAGCAAGGTTGTGTGAAATGAGAGTTCATCACATACTTTGAGATCCTGGACTGAAAAAAACATCTGAAGCTCTAAAGTGCAATTAGCACTTCCCTCTTTCTTTTCTTTTTTTCTTTTTGGCATAAAGTTTGAAAAAGTTACTTTAAAACGTTCTGTTAAATTGATTTTCAGGATCGTGAATGCTGAAAGATTGACAGCTCTGGGAAGAGCGCCATCTCTCAAGTGTGCATTTTACAAGGAGCAGTGAGTTGAGATTTCCCCGCTATGAGGCCTCTGCTGAGGTGACGTGCCCAGCACTCAGCGCAGGAGGGAAGCGTTTCTGTGACTTCTGTAGCTTTTGCTCTATTCACCATTGATTCCAAGTTACTGTGACTTCACAGACATCTTCATGAATGTGAACTGAGTCACCTCCAACTTGTGCCGTCTGGGTCACTGAATGTGGTAACAAGGGAGAACTGGGAAGCAGGTCCAACTTACCTTCAACCTCAGCTGTCTGACTCAGGCAGAGATTGACTGCAAACACCAGAAACATAAACATAGCCCAGCTGGCAAAAGTAAAGGAGAAAGTGGAGTTTTATTGCAATTGGCCATCGTATGTTTACACAGGAAGCAAAGTACAGCTGAAGCCCTAAGAGAAATCTAGGAAATGAAGGGCCTCTCTTTGTTTTTCAAACGTCCCCAGGTCTCTCTCATTATTGCTTTTCTCGGCTCCAACTCTCCTTTGCTTGTACACAGTCTGAATGGTCGCCTCAGCCTCACTCAGCTTCTACTTTCTCAGCCTCTACAAATCCCCTCAGACATCTAACTGATGAGGCTCTGTGTGTTTCTTGGTTTACATGAAAAAAATTCAGAGAGAGAGAGAGAGAGAAAGAGAGAGTGTGTAAGTACAGCTGATGGCTTGGTGAACCTATAGAATGGACTTCCTGGTCATTCCTAGTGTAATCCAGAGATGATCACAGCTATGTGGGTAGGAGCAGGGTAGAAGGAGATGGCGGCAGATAGGCAGGACTTGGCATTACTAGTCCATTCTTCAGTTGATGGATGGCTTTGTAATATAGCAACTGATTAGACTGAACTGCATGTCCCAGGATTCCAGAATCCCTTTCCTGATGTGTTCCCATTAGGGTAGGCTGCAGAAAGTTTCTTTTCATAAGATCTGGAGACTGGAGCTGAAGCAGTAGCCATTTTGTAGCTTCCACACACTGTCAGTTGTCTGTAGGCTCACCTCTTTGGCATGAGGCAGCAGCTAGGCAGGTCTGCATAGCTTCTCCAACTTTTGGGCTATGTGTGTGCCTATCTCCAAGATGAAGGGCTCTGGCCTCTGTAGGAAAAGCAGACCATCAAGGTCAGAGGCAGTGAGCACTGACATAGGTTCCAGTGCATCCTTGTGAGCATCAGCTTATGCAGTGGCTTTCAGCTTCTTGCTCTCCTTTACTTTACATCCATCTTCCCTTTCCCCGGCCTGCCTTGCAGGCCCTAAGCTCCAGTATAAGATGGGAAGACAACAGCCTTGAGAAACTGCTTAACCAGTGCCACAATTAAGTAAAGTCAAATCCCTGTAAGAAATCCTTTCATATGCTTGTATACATATCCCTTCTAGTAGTTCTGCCTCTCTGATTGAGTCCTGACAGATACAGTAGATCCTCAGCTCCTCACCTTGCTGACAGAGTGATTCCTTACTTGCTAGCAAGATGGTAAGTGATTCTGTCTTCTTTTTGGTATCCAGATCCTCTGCTCAAACCTGTATTCTTTGGGTGGAAATTTCTTGTATTTTTGGTCTTCTTTGGATTACCCTCTACCTATAGGTACAGTAAATTAATTCACGCGAAGGTGTTAGCAGCTAGAAGACCATTGAGTGATTAGGGACAACCCCCCAAATGTCCTCCTAGCCTGCCTTTATCTCCTACTGCTCCTCTCTTTGCTCATGACAGTGCAGCTATGATTATCTTCTTCCAGAGTCTTGAATATGCCAATATGATTTCATATTTGCCACTTCTTCATGTACTGTTCCCTCTACCTGGAATGTTCCTCCTCTGCCTCATCACATGTCTTCTGTCTTCACTTTATCTTTAAGTCTTATTCAAAATGTACCTTTCTTGAAGGGGCCTTCCCAAATAACCACATATTACATTGAACCTGTGGAAGCATGAAAGTTATTTGGAACATTGTCTTAAAAAGGAGCTAGAGGCTGTATTTGGGTTTGAAAGGAGAGTGTGCGGTGATTGATTAGCAATGTCTGCCATGGGTGTAGGATATAGAGCTGTGGGATTGTTTCTGTGTATTTTTTCTCTTCGGCTTAAAGGATCTTGCATTAACTAAAACCCCAAATTCTAGTGTTGCTGCTGACTTGCTATATGATCTTCACTTATTCATGTGACCAGTGCCTAACCTACCTCACCAACAAGTCCCCACAGTTAGGTCATAGATCATCAGCACATGCAGGTAGTGGTGGGTGGGTGGGTGGGAGTGGAGGAGGGTGTCCAAAAGATAAATGTGAATATTCAATGACATTTGAAGTTCTTAAGGAAGCAAGACAGTTTTAGTGCCTTATGTTTAGAAATTAAAAAGAAAACAAAAGAAAAATCCACATGGAAATGACTCCTGGTTGCCCATTTTCTGAGGGAACTAAAAGGAAGGAGGAAAGAAAGGGGATATCTCACAGTGCTGGTTGTGCAGTTACTAACCAGCACTGTGAACTTTCAGCAAGTCCATCAACCTCTCAGGACATTGGTTTTCTGATCCGTAGCAGACATATTGCACTTACTCTAAGAGTCAGTCAAACTTTCTATAATAAAAATGTTGGCAAGATGGAGAGATTCTGAAAGTGGTGAAATTAAAGGATAGGAAAGAGATTCTCTGGGGAAAATAGTGGACTTACTGGCTGCTGATGCAGGACTGCAGCATTGCTTTAGGGAAGGGGGGAGTCTTCAAATATCTTTCCCCTGATGTCTCTCACCAGTTTTGATCTGTGACTTCAAATTAGTGTGTGAATGACAAGACACTACAAAGAAACATTAGGTGTTTCTGCAGGCATCCTTTGTGTGTCCAGGGGAGGAGAGAGGGCAGAGCTGGGGATCGGCGTTAGTCCAGAGAGATACCACTGCCTGCCAACTGCCCCTTGGGGAGCTCAGCAGTAAGCTGGGGAGTTACATGACTCCAGGCCAGTCTGATCAATAAAGGGCATCCTTACTATAGCAACACAGCACAGTGGCGGGGCTGCCGTTGATCACGTGCCCCCTTCCCCCGACGCTGTGGAGTTTGGAGCAGGCAATTAGAACTTGGAGGCAGCTTCCCTCAAAGGTTGAAGAGCTGACAGATGAGCAAAGAGCTTTCCTGCTCCTCCATCCCAGTGTAGCCATGGAAAGCTTTTAGCTTACTCACCTTTGGTATTAGCCATTGTTGGGTTATATTAGAAAAATCACCGAAGTGGCTTGGGAATGAGGCTTAGCATGGAGAAGTCACCAAAAGAAGAGAATTCTTTTAAATAATAGCAATAACAATAATCATAGTTAACTTTTATTGTCTGCGTGACTATTTGATTAATGTCTCCCCCTCTAGCCTGGAGTTTCCAGTAGTGAAGAGAAGACAAGTATTTTCACACTCTTTTATATCCACTGTCTTGTGGCCATTCCATATTTACTGAATGAAAGAGTCAACTGTTAATTGTGAGTTAGGCACCATTGGCATAGATCCTCTTGTTCAGTCCTGACAATAATCCTCTAAGGCAAAGACTGTTATTACCCCCATTTGATTGACAGAGAAAAAAGAGGCAGCAAGGGTTTTATAGTTATTAAAGCAGGGTTTCTTAACTCTGGCAACACTGTCATTTTCGGTCAGACAATTGTTGTGGGGGGCTGTCCTGTGCATTGTAGAATGTTTAGCAGCACCCGTTGCCTCTATTCACTTGAAGCCAGCAGCACAGCTTCCCCTCCCCATTTGTGACAGCAAGAAATGTCTCTAGATGTTGCCAAATGTCCCCTTGAGGGAGAAATAACCCCCACTTTTTAGTAGGAAAGATGGCACGTCTTGCCTGCCCTTCACCGTGTGCATGAATGGTGATATGTGCTACATTTATTTTAGGTGATGTGTTGCTCTGGTGCAGCTTAAGTGGGGGTCTTTTGTTAGGCTGCTTGAGTGTGTTTTTGTGTGTGTGAGCAGGGGATACTCAGCCAGGAGGCATATCATGTTTGGGCTCTGGGCTCATGGCACATCAGTGATAAACTGGGCAGGTCCCTCAGCCTGAAACCTGGAAGAAGGGAGAAGACTCCAGGGAGTTTGGGAGGTTCCTTCTGAGAATCAAATTAGGTCTGAGAGAAAATTGTATTGTCTGTCCTGGAATGATTTTTGAAGGCAGTCTAATATATGTAAACAGCAAAGACTTAGGAGACTTTTAGACTCTGATGTGAATGCTTGTGCACAGGTCATTTAATTCCTCTGAACCTGTTTCACATCTGTAAAGTCAGGGAACCTGGGAAGACTGACTTCAGTGATGGTCAGTTCTGTGGCACCCAGGCTGACAACGGCTCCTACATTGAGTGTGTGTGTGTGTGTGTGTGTGTGTGTGTGTGTAAAAAAAAGGGATAGGCCAAGCCAAAGTTTCCCCAGGGACGACATCCTTATCTCTGCTCCTGTCCTCATAATTGTAACCTGCATTGGGCATTTTCTGTGTGCCAGACACTGTTCTAAGAGTTTCATATGTATTAATTCACTTAATCCTCATAATCCCTGACAAACACAGCCCTCTCCAAATGCCCAGCCAGCTAATCACAGAACTGGATTTCAATATATTTCCTTCATTGACATTGTTTAGAGAGCTAGTGGAAATTCTTATTATCAATGAATTCCAAAAAATAAAACCAAAAAACACATGATTTTAATTTCGATCTGCTGTATATAGAATTTTGGGATCCATGATTTTTTTTATTTCATATAATATAGGAAGAGTGTTTCATAATTATTCTTAAAGCAATTTGGGACCTCCTTGCTGATGGTAGAAGCAAAATAACTTCATGTGGTTTCCCCCACAATACAATACATACTGCATAATTTTCCTATTTGGAAGAATGATGTTTTCCAGATGCAATCATATATAAACCTAATTATCAAATGTCCAGCAGGGCATAATTTAAATTAATTTATTCTACTTTTTTAAAAAATGCATGTCTTCCATACTGAGATATTTTATTTATACTTTAGAAAACTATAGAATTTGAATTTTTAACTATTATGCTTAATTCCTCAAAGGAAGATAATTGCTTTCTGAAAATTCTTTTTTTTTTCTGTAGCAAATATCCTGTTCATTTTGTGATTTTGTTGAAGTAGTTCTACTCTTTGGGTTTGGAAGTCCAATAGTCCAGGTAAGACAGTTGGGTTAAGTCTTCCACTTGTCAGCATAAGCTTATAGTGTACATAGACTTATATTTTAATATATTCTCTTCTACCAGCTTGTTTAAAGCAATTGTTTACAAACTTTTTGATGTCACATCACTATCAACAAAACATTTTCTAGCATGTATCCCTAATGTGTGTACAGTTATTTATAAATTATATACATTCTTGTTGTGTATTAATATCAGTAAAGTTGTGCTTGTTTCCTTTTAAAAAACTAAAACGAAGATAACTACACAGTGTAATGTTTCCACATCCATATGAGTCATTGTCACACATCCCATTTGAGAGTCCACTGTGACAGGAAAGAGTTGCATAGTCTATTTTCTTATTTAATAATGGGAGATATTATCCATCCTGCTTATCTCACAGAGTTGAAAGAGCATCAAATGGAATAATAGTGATTATTAGAACTGTAATTAATAGAACTGTATCAGTTAGCTATGGCTGTGTAACAAACCACTCCAAAATCAAGTGGCTTAAGGAAATAATTTATTAGCTTGTGATTCTGTGGTTCAGCAATTTGGATTGGGCTCTGCTGAGTGGTTCTGTTGTTGGTTTTAGCTCAGCTCATCTTTTGGTGACACATCAGCTGGTGGCTAAGGAAGGGCTAGATAAGGTAAGATGGCCTCATTCACCTATCTGGGGCTTGGTATTGGCTATTAGATGGGACCCCCTCTTCATGTGGTTCTTGTCCTCAAGTTGGCAGGGTTGGGCTTTTTCACATGGTCATTAGAGTACTCTGAGAAGATGAGAGCAGAAATGGCAAAGCCTCTTAAGGCCTAAACTTAGAACTGGTATGTCTATGTGTCTGTCACTTTTGTCACATTTTGCTGGTTAAAGGAAGTCACAAGTCCAGTTCAAATTCAAGGGTTGAAGAGAAAGACTTAGTTTTTTGATGGAAGTTGCAGAGTGCTTGAAATTGGGTTATTTTAATGATTCTTAAAAATAAACCTAAGAGTTTAGTACTATTGACGTGTTCATTTTATAGACAGGAAAACTGAAGTGCAGAGAGGTTGGATCATGGCCTTATCAGTACATGGTGCTATTATTCTCTCTATTTAACAGTTGTGAAAACTGAGGCTTAGACCCAACTGGCACATTCAGCATCACAAAAGAAATAAATAATGGAATGGTAAAGCAACCCCAATCTTCTTCCTGCAAGAGCCTGGCAGTTGCAAAAAGTAATTAGTTAGCTGGCAGCAAAAGTAATTAGTTAGCTGAGTATTTTTGTCTAACAGCTTCAATCTGTAAAGCACTTATTTGGAGGTCATAACCTCATGTTTCTTTTTATTTTATTTTATTTTTTTTAAGAGTTGAGTTCTTACTCTGTTGCCCAGGCTGGAGTGCAGTGGTGCTATCATGGCTCACTGCAGCCTCAAACTCCTGGGCTAAAGCAATCCTCCTGCCTCAGTCTCTTGAGTATCTGGGACTACAGATGCACACCATCATGCCTGACTCCCATTTTTCTAACTTAAATATAGACCCTTGTTTTCTAAACATTTTGAATCATGCTTCCTATACATAAAAATAAAAATTCTGAACACAAACCCCCAATCTATATGTATTTATATATAAATTATAATCTTATTATTGTTCCTTATTTTATTCATTGGTATAGCTTGATTTTCTTCTTATTTTTATAGACAAAATAAATAGAAGTAGAAAAGAACATAACTGTCTTCCTTCATTAAAGCAAATTGTCTTGCACTTCTCCTGGAGTACGTACTCCCTATTTTGGAGATTGCTAGAATAGAATAAGGCCCATTCATTAGCATGGCAACAACTATGTCTGAGATAGCAGAGAGCAGACCACCCCTCAGGGACTCTGCAGTAGCTATTTCAGATCAAATTGAAAGCCCAACAATACCTGCATTAACTTCAGTTAGCACCGAGCTACCAAGGAAAGGAATGCATGTAGATTTTATTTGACGAAACTTCATGACCCAGCACTTAGGAACGATGTTGTTTTGGATAAGTTTACTTAATTTCTGCATGCCTTGATCTGTAATCTGTAAAATAAGGGATATTAACATAAACCACAGCACCGAATTGGGAGAATTACATAAATAAATGCTAAAATAATGCCTGGCACATTGAAAGTGCTAATGGATGTTGGCTGTTGTTATATGTCATTTCCGAACGATTGACTATGATTCTCTAGAATGTCATGCTAGATTCTGAGACCAGGTCTGTGCTCAGAAGCCAACAGTCCCCTGATTGATTTGCAGTGCCTATTATGGACATGGACTAGGGTTGAGATGGTATGTACCGAGCATCTTCTATGAAAAGAGAAATTCTTCTTCCTATTTCCCTGGTATAAACAATTCATTTGGGTCATTGCCTGTTTTTCTGCCAACGGACTGTGTGTGAAGATGGCTGGGTCATCATGGGGGAGATGTCCTTAATAGTTTGGTTGTATCTCTGGGTTGAAAGCCTTCATGTAGTGGAATTATCATGAGTTTTCAACTGTGCCCCACTATAAGTTTAATTCTTCTTTGATTCACACTGTTAGAAAATTTAAAGCCATAAATTATCATCTAGTTAAACCTTTTCCTTGACAGACGGTGAAACTGAGGCCCATGGACATTTTTTAATATAATTATTTATGCCTCACATACTCCCCAAAGACCTGAAGAAGACTGTAATAGAAAATATAGAGTGAATATATGGATACAATTATTTTTTTTTTTCGTGAGACAGACTCTCGCTCTGTCACCCAGGCTGGAGTGCAATGGCGAGATCTTGGCTCACTGCAACCATGCCTCCCAGGTTCAAACAATTCTGCTGCCTCAGCCTCCCGAGTAGCTGGGACTACAGGTGTATGCCACCATGCCCGGCTAATTTTTGTATTTTTAGTAGGGACAGGGTTTCGCCATGTTGGCCAGGCTGGTCCTGAACTCCTGATCTCGTGATCCATCTGCCTTGGCCTCACAAAGTTTTGGGATTACAGGCGTGAGCCACTGCGACCAGCCTATGGATACAATTTTTTAGAGGAAGATGAAAAGAGGAATGAGTCAGAAAACAGACTGAGGAAAGCTACTGCAATTGGGCATAATATAGGCTCCAAGCTTGTGAGCAGCCAGGACAAAAGGATAATGTGTCTGCACAGCTTTTTTTAATCCAATAAAATATAACAGGAGACACAAACTTTTTATTCCCTAAATTTGAACTTAGGGAAGAATTTGCCTTGCAGTTTTTTTCTTAATATCAGAAGCATCATGTCTTAATTGCTGTGGTTATTATGAGAAATTCTACATATAGCTTTTTTAATGTCAATCCTCCATGAAAGAGAATTATGCAGAGAGCACTATTATAAGTCATGTTCTTAAAAGGCAATCTTAGATCCTTGTGGTGTTTAATAGCAGGCCACATATATGTCAGGGGTAAAACTTTCTGATGATCAGATATGATATGGGAATAAAGGCAGAAAATGTTTCAGGGGTGAAGAGTGAACATACCTCTTAAACTATTCCTCTACTGTATTGCTTATAACTGGAGTGGTGTGTTAGATAGCTAAGAATTGACGTTAATAGCTACTACCTAAAATGTGGGTATCCTATATTATTGATTGAAATAAAGCCATATGTCTGAGAAAGGGAACATGAATACAGCAGAATATATTTTATTATGAAAATTAAAGACCTGATTTTTGTCTTACTAAATGACTTTCCCTCATAAACACTACCCCCACCACACACATATAAGAAGGTAAAATACCTACAAGGCCAGTACTTTCCTAACATATTGCATTGCATTACTGATACAAGTTTGGGGGACCAAAGCTTGGCTATTTGTATGGTCTGAAAAACCCCAAGTTAAGAATATACTATAAAATGATCTGTGTATGCTACTGTCCCATGCATTTGACAAAAGCAAATGCTAATCATTTCTGAATAAATGTACCATGACTTAGACCTGAAAGAGTAACCACAGATAAAAATTTTAAAGAATGCAATGTCCCACTCAAAATCACTAAACACATAAGGAAACAAGGTATTATGAATGAGTTGGGAGGAACAATAAGCGGCAGAAAAAGACCCCCAAAGACTTCAGATATTGGAACTACCATATACAGAAAATGAAATCAGAATATAAAATGTTTAAAAAAAGAGTAAATAAAAACATTAATGATAAATAAGAGACTGTAAAACTCTTGAGTAGATTTGAAAAATAAAGCAAATAAAACTTCTTGAAAAATATAATTATTGAAATAAAAAACTTAATAGATGGGTGAAATTGCAGATTAGATACAATTAAAAAGAGAATTAGTAGACTGGAGGATGAACCTGAAGATACATAGAATGCAGCACAGAGAAACAAAGAAATGGAAATGTTAAGAAAAATTGAAGATAGAGTAAGAAAGTTTAACCTGTATCTAAAAAAAGTTCCAGAAGAAGAGAATGAGAGAGAATGTAATATTGGAGGAGATAATGACTGAAAATTCTCTAGAATTAATGAAAGACATGAATTCTCAGATTAAAAATGCATGATGAACAGAATAAATAAAAATAAATTTATGACCAAGCATGCAGTGGCAAAACTTCAAAATATCATCACAAAGGGATTCTAAAGCAAACAGGAAAGAAGCCTCTGATTATCTATAAATGAGAGATAATTAAATGAAGATTGACTTTTAATAGAAACAATGGAGGCCAGAATGATTTCTTCAAAGAGTGAAAGGAAATACTCGTCAACCTAGAATTATGTATCCAATGAAACTGTCTTTCAAGAATGGATGGCTGGGTGTGGAGGCTCACACCTGTAATCCCAGCACTTTGGGAGGCTGAGGCGGGTGGATCACCTGAGGCCAGGAGCTCATGACCAGCCTGGCCAACATGGCAAAACCCCATCTCTACTAAAAACACAAAAATCAGCCAGGCGTGGTGTCATGTGCCTGTAATGCCAGCTACTCAGGAGGCTGAGGTAGGAGAATAGCTTTAACCTGGTAGGTAGGTAGAGGTGTGGAGGTTGCGGTGAACCAAGATTGTGCCGTTGCACTTCAGCCTGGGCAAAAGAGCAAGACTCTGTCTAAAAAAAAAAAAAAAAAAAAAAAAAAAAAGATGAAATAAAGAATCTTGCTGACAAGCAAAAACAAAGCATTCACAAGCTATCTACAATTCTTAACAAATATTTTCTAAAAGATGAACTTCAGAAGGAAAAAGAAAATCTCAGAAAAAAAAGAATGAAAGAACACAAGCAGTTTGAAAAATACAAGAAAGGAGAAAAAGGAAATCCACATATATAAAAACAGGACAAATTAAAAACACAAACTAAGGTAGCAATAAATCCAAATATAATTGTAGTAATTTGATCATAAAGTGGACTAAATGTTCTAGTTAAAATACAAATGTTTTCAGACGATTAAAGAAAAACAGCACTAAAAGCAAAGCAAAACCCAGATTACTTTGTTTAAACGAGACTAATCTAAAATAGAAGGACATAGAAAGGTTGGAAATATTAGGATAGGAAAAGATATACCAGACAACCAAAAGAAAGCTTGTGTAGCTGTGTTAATATCAGACAAAAACAGGGCTTAAAGATTACTGATAATAAAGAGCATTGCAATTGAGATGAAAATGTCCCGATTCATCAGGGAAAGATAATATTCTTAAGTTTGTATGCATCCAGTAAAATAATTTCAATATATATATGGTAAAAATGGTCAGAATTACACATAGAAAGTAACAAGTAAACATCACAAAGGGAAATTTAATAAAACTTCTCTCAAAAACTTATAGATCAAACAGACAAAATAGTAAGAATACAGAATATTTGAATAACATGACTAATAACATTAATGTAAGTATCGCATACAGTACTGTCACCTATCAATTAAGAATACTCATTTTTTTGAGGATACATGTAACATGAAAATTGACTCTTTACTGAGTCATAAAGCATGTTTCAATGAATTTAAAAGAACCAACATCCAGAAAAAAAAATCTGGATCATATAGATACTAATTCATACAGACCTTATTCTCTTACCATAGAAAGATATAAAATGAACCTTATCTTCAAAGCACTTTACATATAGAAAGTAAAAAAAATAATTAGAAATAACTCATAGGTCAGAAAGGTAAATTATAGTGGAAATTAGCAAATTCTTGGACTTGAACAATAACAAAAGCACTACATAAAAATAAATTTGTGTGCTATAAGAAAGGTGTTACCAGAGGAAAATTCAAATTTTCTACTATATTTATTTATAATAGAAAAGGAAAAAGGCCAAAAATTCATAAGCATAGCATCTAATTTAAGTTAGAAAAACAATAACAGAAAAACATAAAGAAAATAGAAGCAAGAAACTATTAAAGCTAATAAAGGCATTTTAGAAGATTGCTTTGAAATTTTTTCTCATGCTGGCTGTGGAGAGAGTCTCCAGTGCTGTTCATTGGGTATTTCTGCTTCTGGGCAAATGGTGAAGTGGCATTTCCCCTGGTCTTGGAGTCACATGTGGCCATGTGTTTTGGTGTGGTGGTGTCCTTTGCACTGAGGTTTAGAGCTAGGGTCTCTGCTAGCAGTGTTACTTTGATTTCTATCTGTAATTACTACTTGAACATATATATCCCCAGAGCTCTCAGTGGGAGGATGCCTGTGGTTTGATGGTAGGACTAGGGTAGTTTAAGACTCCTTAGCCATAATATTATATAGTTGCAGGCCAAATAAACCTAATTTCTAACACTTTTCATCAGTGTAATTCTCCAATTTAGCTAGCCTAAGCTCATGATTGATCTCAGTAGAAAACGTTTATCCTTGTTCCCAGTATTGTCAAGCATGAATTAGTTCATTATCAGCTAACATATTTTGAGTGCTTACTATTTACTGAGCAATATCATAAGCATCTTACATGAATTACATAATTTAAGTCACAAGAACCCAACTTTAAGCAGATTCTATTATTGTACTTCTTTACAGTGGAAAGCAGGAAGTTTAAGGAACTTGCTGGTAGGTAGAACAGTTAGCAGTACAACATTTCTCTCTGACTCTGGAGATGGTGCTCTAAACCTCTATGCCACATTGCTTATCATATATCTTAGATTGTTTTTTCTTTCAGGACAATTTTTCTTTCAGGACAGTGGGTGGTGAGGGTTTTCTTATGGTGGAAGATGTATGCATAGTAAAGATGCATCCTAGGAAGAACTTGCCGTTCTCCTTCAGTCAAGCTTATCCTGCCTGAAAACAGCAATTTGAGACACTGGGTCTCAGTATGTATCTTCCCTCCTCAGAAGTCAAAGTGGGAAACTGACCTTGTATGGCTGCAGTGCTTGTTTCTCTTACACTAAATACAAAGCCTTTGGTAGTACCTCAGGGGACATCAGATAGAAAAGCAAGTACGGGCTGATTTGGGAAATTGGTGCTATAAGCACCTCAGAATCACAAACGTAGGGTTTCCTTAATTAGAGAGGTGGCCCTCCAATCAATATTCTTGCTATTCTTTGCTGTGCCATTCTCCTTGCTTTCCAGCCGGTCACTGTGGGGATTTTCAGCTGACGGCGGTGCAATTCTCCTGGGGCTGTGCAAGGAACAGAGGGGGAGAGAGAGCATAATTTGTTGGCCTGTTATATGGGGTTGCTAAACCACGGGATTGCATTCATCAAAGCCAACATAGCTCCCTGCAACGTTATATTCAGAATGCATGTTACATGGTTCACTTAGGAGTGATGGCAGGATGCTGCAGCTATGCTGAAGCATTGGAAATGTTTAGGCATTTTGAGTCTTTTTCCTTTCGCGGTAAGAAGAGAATATCCAAAACTCCAGGTAGGAAACCACACTGTCCCAAGACCTGAACTCTGCTCAGATGTCTGTTAGCTGCTGCGTAGGAACATGCAAGTATTTGAGGAAGAACAATGGAACTTTCCTATTGCTATGGGAATCTGAAATTAGAACTTTGTTTATCTGTCTTCCTACCCAATAAAGGAAACAGAGGTAAGAAGAAGGAAAACAACACCACATTTCTTCCTAATATTTATTTAATACCATGTTAGGCACTAAATGATTAATGCATTATCTCATTTAATTTTCACGACAATCCTACAAAGCAGGGCTATGGCTGTGGCATCCATAGCCTAAATGTGAGGAACTGAGGATTTGAATGACGAGTAAGTTGTCCACACTCCCACAGGAATTGAACTCTGGTCTTACTCGGGAGCCCCTTCTCTGAAGCACTGATTCCAATTATGTTTCCATGGAATTAGGAATTTCCATTCCAGATTTGATTAATCAGGATTCTCTCATAATCCCTGCTGCTGGTATGTATAGAATAAAACTAATTCATCTTAAGGCATGGTCGAAATAGGTCACCTAGGCTATATTTACAGGGATAATGTAATTATAACAATTTTCAGGAGTGTTCAGCCTTCTCTAAAGTAAACATTAGTGAGGAAAGATAAGTTAGGGGCCCCAGTTAGCCAGATTGGATCGGTTTCACTGACTTGATGCATAATTCTCTAGTTCTCTTTTCTTAAGTAAACACAGCTGTGATGTACCAGTGCATGCCTTGGTATGCCAGAATCCAGACGTAAGATGGAAGTTCTCAAAAATAAGTCTAGAAACTGTGTTTATCATCTCGTTCCTTGCTACCTTGCCTTAGGACTATGTATTTATTTGGCATAAAACCAAAAAAGAAAACACAAGCTCAGCTAAATGGTTCCTTTATAACCTGGAGGAAAAGACCTTGAGTAGTGACCTCCAAAGAGTTATATCAATAAAAAAAATCCCTTAAAATACTTCTATAACTTGAGTTCTTTGCTGTTGTTGTTAAAGAATGAATTGGCACATGATTTCACTTGCTCCCCATATTGGGATAATGAATATTCTAATAAAATGTCAGTTTGCTTTCCCAAAGAGTGTTGTCCAACACAGAACACATATATGATTCCTGAAACTTATTCTTCATTTAGGAAGTCAGTTAATGCTGATCAAAGAGCATGTCAACAGAAGCAGTGAAGAGAAAGGAAAACAGAGGGAATTGAGTTGGAATAGGGGTGAATTTACACACTTCAGCGTCAGGGTTTGAAACTGTGAAATTCAACAACTATTCATTGAGGACTTCCTCAATGTAAGGGATTGATGCTCTACACTGGGGATAAAAACATGGATTTGTTGGCTCTCAGTGACTATATCCTGAGATGAATGAAGTTTACAACTGAGAAGTTTAGCCTAATGCCTATTTTTTAAAAGCATTTACAGAACTGTCTGATTAAAGAGTGTTCTTCCCTGTACTAATGTTAACATAGGCAAAAGAAGAAACCAATTAAATATTGAATGGCAAATAGAATTCCTTTCATGTGACAATACGGATTGAGGCCAGTCTGGGCTTGATTAGTGATGTCTGTCATAGGCATAGAAGGGGAAGATAGTGGCATGAAAATAATATGTTTGATATCCCTAATGTAAATTGTATGGTTTGAGCTATGTCTGTTTCTCAAATAGCTTTTTCACTGTTTCACGGCAGTACCTGAAACTCTTGCCCTTTATTTACTAATTGTTCTATATTACTATTATTTTTAGTAATAAAAGCTAACATGGGTTAGGTTCTTAGTACATACCAGGAAGTAAGTTAAATACTTTGTATACAGCATTGTATTTATTCCTATTTTACAGATAAGGAGAGTGAGACCTATTCTCTAGAAACTGAACCAAGGTGCTTTGGTTTCCAAAGTCTATGCCTCAAATTGCCACATTTTTGTGATGCATTCTTCTTGGGGTTCTATGAGATGTTTCATGCTTCTTCTCTTCATGATTTTAGGAGAACATCTCTCCTGAGAAACCAGAGAAATATTGAAGGACCCATATATAATAAGAACATGGAGAACCAAGAATGCAAAACACAGACCTAGAGCAAACTTGACTGTAATGTGCTGCTAGCCACAATTTCCTAGGTTCAGTAAGCCACGGGCTCATCAAAAGGCACTGGCCTACTTACTGAAAGGCCTTCTTGAAGATCCATTGCATTTCCTAAGATGTGGAGATTTTACATTTTGCTTTTATTAGGAAATACCTTAAAACTGTAGAGGACACAGAATGGGGATTGTCTTAGTTCAGGCTGCTATAACAAGGTACCATAACCTGGGTGGCTTGCAAATGATAGAAATTTGTTTCTTATAGTTCTGGAGGCTGGAATTCTGAGATTGGAATGCTGGTGTGGTTGAGCCCTGCTGAAGGTCTTCTTCTAGCTTGTAGACTGCTGATTTCTTGTCATATCCTCACATGGCAGAAAGAAAGTGAGAGAGCTCTCTGGGGTCCCTTTATAAGGGTGCTGATCTCTTATGAGAGCTTCACCCTAATCATCTACTTACTGCCCCCCATTCCCCCAAAGGTTCCACTTTCTAATACCATCACATTGGGGGTTAGGATTTCATTGTGTGAATTTTGGGGGGGATACACACATATCAGCCTGTTGCAGAAATATAGTGAGGGTGGAGGGGTGCTTAGAAAGCTACATGGCATGAGATGCTGCAGTGAATGCAGGTCAGAGAAGAACGTGGTTGTCACAGAGGGAATACTGTTCATTCACTTCTTTATTCAATTGCTCATTTATCCAACAAGAACACATGGAGTATCTGCTTTGCTCTAGGAACCGTGCCAAATGCTGCGGATATAGGTTCCTGTTCATAGGGAGGTTTCTGAAGGGAGGAGGCAAACTCTAAAAATAAATGATATATTTACAGATTTTGCCTAAGGTTGCTCTGACTCTCACCCTTTCCACTTGAAGAGTCAGCTTTCTTCTTATTTGATATCTTTATTATTACAACACTCAAATCACCATTCTAATTCTAAACCACATTGATGAGACATGAAAATACATATGCATCATATTAAGTAAAGAAAGGTCAAATATAATATTTTATCTACAACATGATCATAGGCCTGTAATAATTATATGCATGAAAAAGGATGACCTAGCTTGAAAATGTTTCTGAAGATGTTGAAACATTTACGAGTGGAAGCTTGAAAAAAATAACCTGTCATTTAAAAGCTGCAAAGGTTTTCTGTCACATAAGAAAGTCAGCTTTCCTAACTTCACTGGGTCAGACTGCTTCTTTATTCTAGAAAAATCACTGAGTTGTCTTAATGCTAGCCATAGGTAAAGCAAGAGCCCAGCTGTTATTTGGAAGGCTTGCAAAATCACAGGTGAGAAACCAAAAGTTCTGTGTGGTCATGTACATTTTTGCCTATATATGAAGCAAATCTTCTTCGGTTTCTCATATCCTTGTGAGCTAAGACAGCACTGTGCCCTAACTCTGGTTACCTGTATCTGGGGTGGCCTGGGGATTATTATTTGAACTGTTGCCTCCCAGGGAAGGTGACTGCAAGGAGAATATGAAGATAGGGTCTTCTTTTCATGCTGGGAGAATCAGACTGGGCTGGGAGTAGTTGATACCCATGCCATCCCAACACAAACCCCACCCTCACCCACAACCCAGAATCAGTGCACTTCTCAAAGTCTGGATCAGCAGATCTCAAATCAGACACCAGGACTGGACTGGACTGTTGATGTCTGATTTGAGATCTGGTGATCCAGACTTGGAGAAGTGCACAGATTCTGGGTTGTGGGTGAGGGCAGAGTTTGCATTGGGATGGAAAGGGTATCAGTGCTGTTGATCATCCTGGTAAGGGATGGATCCCCTAGGAATAAAGATTATGGCCTGGGCTGAGGGAAAACATCTTTTCTCCCTTGGAGACATGGCTGTGAGATCTGGACTATAAGAAAAGGAGATGTGTTTGACTACACTCTCAGTTGAGATCAGGTTGGGAGGTATCTTAGAGTTTCCCAGAAGCAGTATCTGGGCCTCATACTAGGTCTAGAGGAAGGTTTTTTTCTGTGTTATAGTTTCCGTCTGTTCTTCCTGGACTTTACATACAATCTTGTTAATAGTTGGAGCCAGGTCCTAATACTGCTGTGGGGAATTAAAGGAATTAGTCCTGAATCTATTAGTCCTGAATCCACTTTGAGGATTCAGGACTAAAGAGAAGGCTCACCTCTCCTTTCCCTCTGAGGCCAGTGTGTTGGAGCCAACTGCAGCCAAAGAGACACCTGGGACCCTACAACCGCAGGAGAGGCAGGCTGCTGTGAAAGCTCATGTAATTGCCACCTCCTCTTCCCAACCCTCCACTCCCCACCCCTCCACTCCCCACCAATTGTCCTAAGTACAGAAAGGTGACGGAACCTTCAGAAGGAGGGGAATGGATGCTAAGGTCTAGCAGTCAAGCTAGGAAGGGTTTGGAGACCTGGGAACAGAAAGGAAAAGAAAGGGATGGTTAATGAAAAAAAGTAAGAGGGATTATAGAGAACTATTTTTTGTCATTTCATTTCTATGGTTATAATATTGGTTTTGCAGTAAATCAAGAAGGCTTGTGACACTATTATTGTTACTGTACCATCTACAAATGTTGTAGTCCCTGTGCAAAGAGGGGTTAACATTTGACATTAACTCGGTCAGCTAAAGTCCAACATAAAAACTGGAGGTGTGTCATCTGTTATGATCTCTTTCACATAAACCTACTAATTGAATTTTTTTCATGCCCCAGGTGGGAGCTTCTTGTGTTTTAATATATACTGAGGCCCTTTGTGTAGTTCTTGTGAGTCTCAGCAGGGGAGCATGCTGGTCAGTTAGCACTGCCAGCCTTATGAAGAAAAATCACTGTATTCTTGCTATGATTTACACAATAATTTTAATTTTATTTCTTTTTAGAATACAAAGTACATATTTGTGGTTCTAAATTAAGAGGTATTGAAGGCAAACAGTGAAAATACTGCCTCTGATGTGCTTCCAGCCTTCCAGCTCTCCTCTTCAGAGACAATTCTGTTACCAATTTGTCATGTATTTTTCCAAAGGTAGTTTACGGGTACATAAGCAGATTCCTCTCTCTATGATATTCTGCACATTGAAATGCTCTTCTTGAGCCTGGGACTCTGCTAAGCATTTTACATGCTTGGTGTTATGCAAATCTCATAATCAACCTATGAGTAGTTACTCAGGTAATGTTAACTGAGACTCAGAGATGGTGGTCTGCTGGGCTGGTTTGTACCAGCTTGAGTGAGCCAATAGTTAAACTGTTAGGAATTTTGTGATCTGGGTTGACCACAGGTTAGCAGCTTGAAACTGGCCACAGTGGGAGCATTTGCATCTGTGGAAATTGGCAAGTGCTACAAATCGCATTTCCTCCCTCCACAGCTGGTTGTTCCATGTTTACCAGCACACTACTTCTTAGAGAGGTTAAGTGACTTGTTCAAAATCACAAACAAAAGGTAGAAGATTCAGGATTTGAACTTCACCATCTCTGACTCCAGGTCCTGTGCTCTGAGCCAGGATCACACTGAAAAGTAACAGCAAGATGAACTTGAACTTCCCAGTGCCAGTCCTGGCGTTTTCTCTGCATTCTCCAGACCCAGGCTGCATTAGACAATCTCTCTCTCTCTTTTTTTTTTTTTTTTTTTTTTTTCTGAGACAGAGTCTCACTCTGTCGCCCAGGCTGGAGTGCAGTGGCACGATCTTGGGTCACTGCAAGCTCCGCCTCCCAGGTTCAAGCCATTCTCCTGCCCCTGCCTCCCAAGTAGCTGGGACTATAGGTGCCTGCCACCAAACCTGGCTAATTTTTTGTATTTTTAGTAGAGAAGGGGTTTCACTGTGTTAGCCAGGATGGTTTCGATCTCCTGACCTCGTGATCTGCCCTTCTTTGCCTCCCAAAGTGCTGGGATTACAGGTGAGAGCCACCGCGCCTGGCCCTCTCTCTCTTTTTAAACACTTTCATTTTTATGGTTAGTGTCTTTTTTTTTTTTTTTTTTTTTTCCTGAGATGGAATTTCGCTTTTGTCACCCAGGCTAGAGTGCAATGGTGCAATCTTGGCTCACTGCAACCTCCACCTCCCAGGTTCAAGTGATTTTTCTGCCTCAGCCTCCTGAGTAGCTGGGGTTACAGGTGCCTGCCACCATACCCAGCTAATTTTTGCATTTTTAATAGTGACGAGGCTTCACCATGTTGGCCAGGCTGGTCTCAAACTCCCGACCTCAGGTGATCCATCTGCCTTGGCCTCCCAGAGTGCTGGGTTTACAGGCGTGAGCCACCATGCCTGGCCGGTTAGTGTCCTAATAATTTGTTTTCTTCTTATAAAACTAATCCATGCTTATTGCAGACAAGCTGTAAAATGGAGAGAGATATAAAGAAGATAATAGCCACTACCCAGGAAATAACCAGTGCTAACATTTTATCACCTTCTATTGACTTCGACCTTTGTGTTTCTGATCACTTGAACTTGATCCCTATTTGGTGCCTCTGTTTTGCCTTTGGACTTTTTCCTCTCTGATTTTCACCTTGATGTTCCTTGGTACCTTTCACCTTGTCTGTACACCTGGAAGTCCTAGCTGTGACATGGACTGCAATTAACCCCATTTTAGAGCGGTCATGTCAAGGATCAACATGTAAGGTGAACAGACGATGTAGTCAGCTTTATTCTTGACCCATACCCAGCATGGCGAGAGGCTCACAAAGTAGGAGGCGCCAGGATGCCAAAACCAGGGGAGGAAACCACTGACTCCTACAGCCTGATTCACCATCATTAGGATGTGTGTGTCTCTTGAGTGGAATGGAGGGCAAAATCACACACACTATTTAAATTGTTATTTCTCTCCCTCTCATTATCCACTCCCTGTACCAGCTCATGCACAGTCGTTGAATTTATGTAATTTGAATGTGCAAATGACGTGTTTTCTCTCTCATAAAGCAGAGAAGCCAGAAGAACGGAAACACTTAGCCTTCTGAAACATCGACAATGGGTTGGTCAACATTAGTGTATTGTTAACTGTAACAGCTAGCAGAATATTATATTTTACCTCTGGAAGCGTCTGTAATACAATATCTGGTTATGTGTGTGTGTGCACGTGCGTGTGTGTTTCACTATATATATATAAAATCAGAGTAACTAATTCTGCATCAGGTAAGTGGATTAGGGGGAGTTAAAGAGGAGCCATTTTCTTCACGACATTTCAACAATGAGTAAATGGCATAGAGAAACACAGGCTGTCCTGAGAGGCAGAGGCTGTCCTTGGCTCTGGGCTATGCGAGCCCTGTGGGTTCTGAGCACCAGTGATACAAATTGTGCCAATCTGCTAAAGCGGACCTAGCTTCCCAGTGGTTTTGTGACTGTCGCCTGCCTCTGCATCTCTTATAATGAAATGGTTCTTGGACAGCTGGGTTATCAGCAAAGAGCTATGTAGGAAGTGCCCTGCCCAATTAATCAGATGTCATTCTGACCAGATTTCTTTAGCACATTGCTTCATGGTAAACAACAGAGTATGAATAAACTAAAATCAAAAATAGACAAAGGAGAAAGGCATCATTTTTATGTATACTTGTCTTAAGGCATATTTTTCCATTTCTGAAACTTGAAAAATAACCATCTGGAAAGAATCATATTATAGACAAGGCATGTCATGACATTTATAGCAAATATTTTTGCTGTGAGGATCAGTATTCTCTCATTGCCCCATCAACTGCCATATAATCAGATACCCATAAAGTATTCAATAAAAAGAGGGTTCCAGCAATACATCAATAGTGCAGGAATATGTTTTAAGTGTTCACATTTTCCTTTGTTTATCCTTCTTTTTAAACACACAGTTTTGCATCACAAACCCCCTTTAGCATTCATATTTGTTTCTTTGCCTTTCAGCCACCCAGTCTCGGGCAAATGACATTAAACTGCACCACTGCAAAGAGATCTCTGGCATAAATAAATGTATCAGGAGGTCAAGAGGTCAAGAGCATAAATGAGGCAAAGATTTCAAAGAAATCACCGACCAAATGATTTATAAATCATGGAAAACACTGCTCCGGCCATAAAAGAGAAATTAAATTTATACATCATGAGCTTCAGGATGCTTTGGGTTCTGGTGGGTAACTGGGTTAGAAATGGAAGAGCTTATGTCATCCTGTTGTTGGTTCGGAGCCTTGTTATAGCGGCATTTACCCCGGGACTCTAAATCAGGAGGACTGAGATTAAACTCTCCCTCCCTTCTTCTATGTCTTCAGAAACATTTGCTTTTACCTCTGACCTGAAATTCCCACTGCACCAGGCTCAGCTCTGGAGTGGGGTGGGAACCAATTCACTGTTGGGCAGAAATGATCATACCTGTGAGTGAAGATGGGCACTATCATGCCTCCCATCTGTTGGAGAAAGGCTGACAGCCTCCTACCTTTGTTTTTAGGAAAGCAACACAGAATTATAGCATCTACCCTGGCTGGCCAAGGAAGCTGTGAAACCACAGACTGCTGGAACCTAACAGCCCAAGCATCTATAGGAGAGAATAAAAACGAGCCAGGCTCTGTAAAAAGAACAATAATACTTTATGCTATAATGATCTGTAATGGGAAGCTGTCCAGAACTTTTACAACTTAAAAATAATCCTCCTTTTTGCCATATTTTCTTGAAAGATGTGCTATCTAGCCATTCCTCTTTTCTACTCCCCCTCCACTTCTTGTCCTATTATGTTTGGGGAAAATATCAGATTGGAAACTGTAAAGCTTGAAAGCATCCATTTATTTTAGCTTTACATGAATTCATGAAACGTACACAATGATCTCTATATAAAACTGCAGTAATTTAATGGGGAAGTTGCCGAAAACACACTCAATTGGGAACGTCATTTCCGAGTAAAACAGATGTGAAGCAGCAAATGACACCATGAGCAGCCATCAGACTTTGGAATTGATTGCTGTTCTTTATGACCTAACCGATGGAGACTTAAACATGGGGCTCATTTTAAAGTTTTCCTGGAAACAAATTTTGTTCATCCCACTCAATGGAAACAATATGCTAGTTCTGAGCTTGAAATACAGATCTGTGGTGATGACAGAGAAAAAACAATATATTGTGTCAAGATTCTTGTGCTTTCACAATCCAAAGTAGGATTTCAGAGGAGCTCTAAGTTTCTTTCCTTCCTCTCTCTATTTCCTTTCCTTTCCTTTCTTTCCTTTCCTTCCTTCCTTCCTTCCTTCCTCCCTCCCTCCCTCCTTCCCTTCCCTACCTCCCTCCCTCCCTTCCTCCCTCCCTTCCTCCCTCCCTCCCTCCTTCCCTTCCCTACCTCCCTTCCTCACTTCCTCCCTCCCTTCCTCCCTCCCTCCCTCCTTTCCTTCCCTACCTCCCTTCCTCCCTTCCTCCCTCCCTTCCTCCCTCCCCCTTCCCTCCCTCCCTCCCTCCCTTCCTCCCTCCCTTCCTCCCTCCCTCCCTTCTTCCCTTCCCTACCTCCCTCCCTCCCTTCCTCCCTCCCTCCCTCCTTCCCTTCCCTACCTCCCTTCCTCACTTCCCTGCCTCCCTATTTTCCTTCCTCCCTTTCCTCCTTCCTTCCTCCCTCCTTTTCTTGCTTCCTTCTTCCTTTCTTTTTCTCTTTCTTTTTTTCCTTCTCAAGCTTTTCTCTTTAGCTTTTAGGTATTTGCAAGAACAAGATCTTTGGGGGTCAGTAAATTGTTGGTTATGTGCTTTACTAGTTAAATGTCTTAAGACACTTTTTACTAAAGCATTTGGGTGAAGGAAATGTGAAGTGCATTTTTTTCTTGAGCTACTTTTTGTAGGATTCTAAATTTAGGCATATGTTATAGGAAATTTAATCCTCAGCTTGTGGATGCATTTATGCTTAAATCATCACAATTGGATTTGGAGTCAACTTGCTTAATGATAAGTCTCTGTAATCCCCCTTTTCTTTATAACTGGGAAGTTGAGTTTCATGGGTGAGGCCATAAACTCATGTTGTGTTTGGAATTCAGGTTCTTAAGAATTGGTTGGCAAAACCTCCACTGCTGGAAAATATTTGCAAACTATTGGGCAAAGGCCTAATACCCAAAGGTCTAATATCCAGAATCTGTATGGAACTTAAACAAATCAACAAGCAAAAACCAAACAACACTATTATGGTCATTACCTGAGTGATGAAATAATCTGTACACCAAACCCCTATAACACACAATTTATCCATGTAACAAACCTGCACATACACCTCTGACCCCACCCCCCAGCCCCCGCCAAAAAAAAAAAAAAAAAAAAGAATTATGGAGTAATGTTATGCAGACGTGGGTGAGGCAGGCTCTATTGAAGTAGCTGTGGTTCAAGTAGACATTGATAAGCATGTCTATTATTCTTCTAAGTTCCTAAGTCTCCACAGTGTGTCTAAATCAATGGTCTTAAGACTTTTCCACTATAACTTCTAGGAATAAATACATTTTATAATTTCATCCCAACATTCATATATGTGTTAATTATTGAAGCAATGCTTCCCCTTATTACATATAATACACTCTAATATTTCCTTTATTATTTCTTTCTATCACAATTCCTTCCATTAAATAAAAGCATCCTGGTCTTGGCTCACTAAAAAAAAACCAAAAAACAAAAAACAACAACCGACCAAACAAACTTTCCATGTTAGAAGGATACTTTGTTTTTCCTACCTTGGAATCACCCTGCATATGCCAAGGGTCCATCTGTTCTTCAAACCATTCCTTTTCCCAAATAAATTGCATATATAAGGATTATAAAAATAATAAATAATCTCACATCAGCTACATCTGCTTTTCTCTGTCATTTTTCACTTTAAAGAGAAGCAAGTCTGAGAGAAATGTTTGAGATTTTGCAAAGATTTGAATATGACATTGCGAATTTTCCAATGGTTTTTCAATTTTCATAGCAATTGGCAGAATTATGTCTCAATAAAGTAAAAAAGGAGTATGTTAATTCACATCTTAGCAAAAATATATAAAGTATATATTTGGGGAGAACCTGTTAAACATAGGACTAGGCTAGTGATTAGTACATTTGCATTTTCGAAGGAATTCTTAGGAATTTTGAATGGTTTCTGTAGAGCCTAGGTTGGTTGTCCCTTTAATGTCGTCCCACACAAGGTACCAGTGTTTTCAGACTCAGTTGCATATGTCAGAGTTGAGCTTAAATGTAATGTCTGTTGTGCCAAGGAAGAGGAGAGACAATCTCTGCCGCCGCTAAAAGAAACTGCTGACATTGTTACATTTAAAATTTTATTTGTTTTCACAGAAATGAGCAACTTGTACAGCCATATTTGCCTTTTCTGGCTCATTGGCTTTTGATCACATCTCATGACTTTTTCAGTCCATGATATTTTGCTTACACTGAAGAAGCTGTAATCTTAAACATGCAAATGGAAGGAGGGTTGAGATCTCTTATAAACAGACTGTGTGATGGGGTCCATCTATTTTTAAATGACTGCTGTGGAACATGTAACACACACATGATGGGAAGGGTGACTGTAGGGTGAGAGCCTGAGTAGAGAATAGGTAATGTAGTAATTCAGTAATACTCTCTGACTTCAGAGATATGAGACATAATTCCTCAAGGCCTGTTTAAAGAATAGAGAAAAACCTTTTATATTTAACGTATCATGCACTGAGAACTGAACTTTAAGAGTTCTTGGCATTATGTTTTTCCTGTTGTTGTCTAACTCTGTGCGCCCTCAATTTCCCTTTATCCTTCTGAGAATCTTAATCTGATTTGTAGTGAAATTGACTAGAAGTATAGCCTTTGCAGTTCAGAGTTCAAATCCTGTTTTAGCCACAGACTAACTGTGGGACCTTGTGCGAGTGACCTGAGCTCTCTTGCCTTGATTCTCTTCCTTGTAAAATGGTAAAAACAATATTATCCACCACATGGACTCATTGAGATCGAAGTATGTGAAAAGCAGAAGAGATGTTGGTATAGGGTTAACACTAAATGTTAGCTGCTCAAGTCATTATTATGGTGATGGTGGTTTAGCAAATTGTGTAGCCCACAGTTTTTTTTTTTTTTTCATAGATAGTTTAAGTCAAAGTGGGCCAGTCCATTCTAACATGATTCTAAACTGGTTAAGTGCGAATTACTAAAATTACTAAAATACTCCCGAATTAAGGCTTTGACATCCCCAAAGCAAATCACAAAGTAAAGTGTCTAGTTATGTATTGGGTGGTACTGGTGGAAGCACCATTATTTTATTATTGGAAAGTGGAGTGAAAATCTGATATGGAGGGAAGAACGCTGGATTATGATGAGTTGGATCATGTGCCACTAAGAAAAGTGTGACCTTGGGCAAATTATATGTCCTCCCTGAATTTTGTCAGCCAAATGAGAGTGGGAGTGATGAGACCCACTCTGTGCATTTCCCAGGGTTTTATGGGATCCAGTTAGAAGAAGCATGGGCACAGGAAAGCACTCTGAAAAGATGAATGTGCTGTTCAGGCAGGAGGTGATGCAAGTTGAATGACAGAGCAGATTCCTGCCCATCAATCCTGTACTTCCGCTGGTTACTGTTCCAGCCTGGGATGCTGGAGGATGGCCCGATTGCAAATTCCAGGGCACGCACATGGCCTGTTGATTGCAGCGGTGCCTGCTGTGCAAAAGGAGCCGGGGTGCATTTGTATGTGTCAGTTCCAGGTAGGCAGATAGCTTTGCTTTCGAAATACAAAGGCTTTCCTGGGTGAAATGGGACAAATGGGTAGACCCCAAATACTCCAAAACAGCATCTGAGTGTTTGAAGCATTGTGCCCTTTGTTTTCTGAATGATACTCTAGTAATTTTGTGACAGTGTATTCCTTAGTCAGAGCTGCAGAGTTCAGCAGCCACCCCCTAGAGCCCTGGCAAAGGCAGTTTCTGAAAATGCCAGAAGAGAGAGGAGTTAATGTACAAGGTGGAAGAGCGAAAGCCCAGGGAGCCCAGATCCAAGCCAGGAGACTGTTTTCAACAACGTGAGTGAGAGTGTGCAAGACGCAGACAAACAAGGAGGACCAGAAATCGCGCCTATGCCACCAATCCAGACGCAGTAAAAAGAGGAGGTAGCCCTGTTGGGGTCCTAATCCATCACTCTTTGGAGGCTGCTCAGCCTGGCTCGGGCGGGGAATTCACGAGCCTGGCACCAGCCTCTCTGGGCCACCTCCCGGCCTTGGGCAGCAGAAGGGCCTCGGGCTGAACTGTGCTGCCTGGGCCCGCACTCCTCAACAGATGGCATTGTAAATCTGAAATATTCCACAGGAGAAAGACAAATGGGAATCCGCCGAGAAGTCTTGGAGCCTGGCATACGGAGTGGAATAAATAGAGGCCCAGCATCCTTACCAAGCCGTTCCTTCCTCCTGCTCTTAAATATCACACTTCTGAAGTCATCTCCCCCTGGAACTCCCAGCAGCTGAATAGGCTCATAAACACAGTGCTCTCTGGGAAGAGGGAAACCGAGAACTGAGCTGGTTGCCCCTATGAATACAGCCTACAGTTAGGTGTGGGGGTGTTTGCCTTGAGCTTTCAGATGATTTCACACTTACCCCACTCTAGCTGGTGATTCTGTGCTCTGACCCCCACCGCCTCGTCATTCAGATGTAAACAAGCCCTTATCTTCCCTTTCTGAAACATTTGTTGTCTGCAGGCCATACGTGAGGCACTGTCATGCATCCAGTCACTAGCCGTGTTTTCCTCCTTTATTTACCTCCTCTGTACCACAGGCTGTGCTAGAACTAAGGCTATGAAGATGAATATGATGGTGTCTTGCTCTCAAGAAGTTCAAAGCTGGGGTTATGGATAGCCACTAAACAGTCTTACAAGGTCAAATAAAATGGTTCAAGGGCTCTCCCTGCAGAGTGAGAGAGAAGCTCTCCATATACCACTGAGATTCGGAGGCCAGGATTATCCTTTCAGTGATTCGATGAGCCCATTTATGACAACTTTCAATGGGGATGTTTTAGAATCTCTGGTTTGAGACTGATAGACGTGGTTTTTAAAACACATATTTAAAATGTTTCTATTGTACACGTGCAGAAGATAAGTTCATCTCTTACCCCCCATGTGGCAGCTTGGCCTGCCTCCTAGAATGCCAGCAGAGTTCTTGCCTCTGGAACTTCATGCACACCATTCCAGCTTCGCTGAATGCTTTGCCCCTGCTTCTTGTCTGGGTGCCTCGTTGCAAGCTTTCAGCTATCAGAGTAAATAGCATCTCTCCAAAAAGGCAGTGTGGTGCAGTGGTTGAGTGTGGACTCTGGAGCTGGTCTGCTGGGGTCAAAATTTGAACCTGCTAATTGCCAGCTATCTGTCCTTGGGCAAACTCCTTAATCAGTTTGAGAATTCTCTGTTAATCAGTTTCCTTATCTTAAAAATGTAGGCTATTATGTGTCTACCTCATAGGATTGTTAAGAAGTTTAAATAAGAAAATATATGTACTCAGAGCAATACTCAATACGTATTAACTTGTATTATTCCCTAACATACATCAGTTGGTTCACTCATATTATTCTCTATTATCTTCTCTTTTAGTTTTCAACATAGGATTTACCACACTAGGTAATTATGCATGTATTTATTTACTTGTTAATTATCTGTCTTCCCCGGTAAAGGCTAAGCTTCCTAAGGGCAGATCTTTGGTTCTTTTATTTACCAAACTATCCTCAGCTCTGTATCTGGATACCTCAGTATTGTACCTGGATATAGTAAATGCTCAATAAATATTTGTTGAAGAAGTGAATTAATGGAGAAATCGAAGCTCCACCCAAATATTCTTGAGTAGAGGGTATATACGGAAGATACAATTAGAGAACATTGTAATGGGTATGAGTTTTAAAAAATGGGGGGTTGATCTCTGAAGTATGGGGCTTAGAAATCGTTGTGTCTTGGTTTCCTAATAATGGGAAGTTCTGTTTGCCACAGATTCCCCCAGTTTTTGACATGTTGAAATAGTCTTCCGGACATATTCCACTGGGGCAATTGTGAAACATAGCATATCACCAATGGGAAAAGGATGTCTATAGGAAGGTGGGAAGGTTGTATTAAATCTTCCTAATGAAAATCAATAGCCTAAAAATTAAATTAAGTTGATGCAACTAACTATTCAATCCAACTTGCTCATTAGCGAAATCACCCAATCTATTGCAGGGATCCCTGTTGCTAAGTTGCCTCAAGAAACAAATTGATTAATAGATTTTCTTTTTTTTAAAGGCCTTTCAAGTAAGCGGGTCAGGTAGCTATGATTTCACTATGGCCACTCTAGTCAGCAATAGCTGTGCAATTTGGTTCCAAACACCCAATTTATAGATTGGTCCAAGCCCCATGGAATCAAGTGTTTGGGGGACTTTGAAAGCCCCCAAGATAGTATTGTCATTAACTATCCTTAAGGCATTTGTGGTCAAGAAGGGAAACAGAAAGCATTGCTAAGAAGCAAACACTTGCCCATTTTCTTCAGTGAAATAAGAACTGGGGCCAACACACCATACTCCCCTTGTTTCCATATACTCTCAAAACCCCAATGTGTATTAAAATCATTTGTGAACATCAGTAGTTTTCTGACAAGAACTTCTTACATGGAGATGTTGGTTGGGAACCAGCAAAATATAGTCATATGCTGATCGGTGGTCTGGAAATAACCAAGGAGATGACAGTGAAACCCAAAGGCTGAAATTTGATATGGAAAAGTCTATTTTTGATAACTGAGACTTCTCTTTTTAAACTTAACTAAGTCTTGAACTGTCTACTTCATCTACTTAAAGTACCAGCATGACTTTACAGGTTTATAACATTAGGACAGTAAAACTAAAATATTGACCTATCTATCTAGTTTAGTGTTTGTGTGTGTGTGAGTGCATATGTGTGTGTGTACACTGCATACACATAGTTGTGGTACGTACTGTAGACCAATATAGTAAGTATATATAAGACCAAGGAGTAAGGATGGCCGAAAAAAAATCCCAAGACTCTACAACAGAGGATGCCCAGAGCTAGGTGCCTCCAGGATCCAGACGAACTTAATTTTATAAGATAAAACATTATCAAAAACCATTCCAGAAATTAGAGTTTTCCTCTGCATCTCCAGGTATAGTGGAAAGTCAATAAATGGCAAACTGAAATTTTAACCAAAGAAACTTGAAAAATGTACTGAGGTAGCTTTCTTTAAATAATGGATAGCATCAGGTGCCTTTTAAAGCTGGAATATCGGCCGGGCGCAGTGGCTCACTTCTGTAATCCCAGCATTTTGGGAGACTGAGGCGGGAGGATTGCTCGAGGCCAGGGGTTCAAGACCAGCCTAGGCAATATAGTGCAACCCTGTCTCTACGTAAAAAATTAGCTGGGCATGGTGGTGCGTGCTTGTAGTCCCAGCTACTCAGGAGGCTAAAACATGAGGATCACTTGAGGTCAAGGCTGCAGTGACCTATGATTGTGACACTGCATTCCAGCCTGGGTGACAATGTGACAGGATGAGACCCTGTCTCAAAAAAAAAAAAAAGTTGAAATAGATTTTATGAGGCTCAACTTTTTTTAACTTTAATAAACTTTAAAATATTTAATAGTTTCTGACAGAAAAGCTGTAAGAATATTCCAGAGGGTTCCCGTTTACACCATACTCAGTTTGCCGTATTGTGAACATCACTTTGGTACACTTGTCACAACTAATTAACTAATACTGATACAAAATCTCCTCATTTTGCAGATGAGAAAACTGAGTCCCAAGGGGTTAAGTGATTTGCTCAAGGCAATGGCAGAGGAGGAACCAGGACCCAATTTTCTCAACTGTGAGCCAAGGTCTCTTTTTAATAAACTGTGTTTCTCTATCTTGTGATTTCATATTCTTCTCTTTTGTTACAGATGAGCCTTTAGAAACAAACTTAGTTCAGAAATTCAAGGTGTGAAGCAGATAAAAGCAGAGCCACATTCTGGTTGAAGTACACCCTCTCCCCATCACACTCCCTCCCATGGGGCACCCGAGGCATCTTCCAGTGACTCTTAGGGATCAGAGGAAGGGAGTTTGGCAACCTCTCCGCAGTTTGATTGCAGAAGTTGTTATAAGTTTACCATCTGGCACCATCTGCCCGGTGAGGCTTGAGGTGGGGCTGTGACAGAATAAATCAAGAGGCAGCCCGAGAAGGGAGGCAGATCAGGTATACAGTTCAGTGGTGGGTTGTGCTATTTCATAAGAAGCATTTTCTTAACCCTTTGATATTAAATTGATTAAAGAAAGGAGTCCAATGAACATCTTTGAGTTCATACAACTCTCCTAGTTGCATCTTTAGCATTATGTGTTCCGAGGGTAAGGGGGAGATTGGTTGAAAGCAATTTTGAGTCCTCTGCAATGTGTCTACCTAGCTGACTGTGCCTTTCTCCTTCCTAAGACTACAAATGACTTCTTCACCTTTTTAGGTTTTTCCTTTTACCAGTGTGGACTAGAGGAAAAGTGATCGACAAAGAGGCAAGGAGAGAATGACAAACAGGAGGTATGACATAGGCCTGACGTGGGAGCTTGGAATCAGAAAATTTGGAGTTCAAGTGCCCAGCTTTGCCTTGTACTATGATAACTGTGTGATTGTGAGAGAATTATTCAACCTCTATGTGACTCAGTTTCCTCATCTGTAAAACAGAAGTGGTAATCATGGCAACTGCCTAATATGTTGCTTTAAGAATTAGGTGAGAGAATGCATCTAAACTGTTTTGCCCTGGGGCCTGGGACATTATCAGGACTTCATAAACATTGATGGTTATTACTTTCATTAGTACCATAACTGTCTGTATTATTACCAAGAAGGGAGTTAAAGCCCGAAAATGCATAAGTAATTGTTCATAGGGCAAACCTATCAATCTTCTGCTTTTAGTGCCTTCCCTAGAATGCTCACCTTTTCCAAAGTACTTGCTGTTTCCTTTGCATCTTTTTGATGATTTTAAAATTTAATAATAATGTAACAACATCTCTCATTCATATAGTGTGGTTAAGTTGCCAAAGAAGTTTAACTAATTTTATAAATTTTTTTCAAAAGAGAAACATTTGATGGCTGGGTGTGTTAGCTCACATTTGTAATCCCAGTGTTTTGGTAGGCCGAGGCAGGAAAATTGCTTGAAGTTAGGAGTTTGAGACCATCCTGGGCAATAGTAAGAACCCCGTCTCTACAAAAATAAATAAAAAAAAAATTAGCTGAGTGTGGTCTGTAGTCCCAGCTACTTGGGAGGCTGAAGTGGGAGGATCGCTTGTGCCCAAAAGTTTGAGGCTGCAGTGAGCCATGATTGTGTCACTGCACTACAGCCTGGGTAACAGAGTGAGACCCTGTCCTTAAAAAATAAAAAAGGAAATATTTGACTTTTAGCAATTTTTTTTTTTTTTTGAGATGGAGTCTCGCTCTATCGCCCGGGCTGCAGTGCAGTGGTGTGATCTCTGCTCACTGCAAGCTCCGCCTCCTGGGTTCACACCATTTTCCTGCCTCAGCCTCCCGAGTAGCTGGGACTACAGGTGCCCGCCACCACGCCTGGCTAATTTTTTGTTATTTTTAGTAGAGACGGGGTTTCACCATGTTAGCCAGGATAGTCTCAATCTCCTGACCTCATGATCCACCCGCCTCGGCCTCCCAAAGTGCTGGGATTATAGGCGTGAGCCACCGTGCCCGGCTGACTTTCAGCAATTTTTAAAATCAGTAATTTTTTCAGGAAGTATTTATGGAGTGCCTACTATATGTCGGCACTGTTGTAGGCCTTGGAACACAAAGCAAACAGCCATGCCCTGAGGCTTATCTACATCTAAGATAACATGATAGTAAATTATATTATATGTTGGAAGGTGGTTAAATGCTATGGAAAAAGTAGGGCAGGGTGAGGTGAGTTGGGAGCACAGAGGCTGGGTTTTGTTTAGTTCTGTTTTTATTTACCAAATGTGACCTCCTAAGAACTCCTGGAGCTCTATGGGGCAGGCTCAGTGTCTGGAGAAAGATTACTGGATGCTGAAATTGCTGGTCTTTCAACTTCTGCTTCCGGAGTCTCTGTTCTATTCTCGTCCAATTATGGGGGCCAGCTTTCCCTGCTCTAGCCTCCTGGCCAGCCTGGCTAGTCTACTCTCCCACACAGCCTCATTCCTGCCTGCTCAAGGGGTCTGCCACCAATCTCAGCAGATCCATTCTTTTTGACAGGTCACAACCAGGCCCACCTAATTACTCCCACCCATAACCCAGCCAGAGGCAGATGAAAAATAGCATTCTAGAGCATGGGTAATTCCCCTCCTCCCTGTGATTTTCTATGATTCTATGGGCAAATGAGGGGACTTCATCTGGGTGTTAAGTGGAGGCCCCTGGGTTTTCTAACCCCCTCTTCTAGGAATTCCAGCTTACATTCCCAGGTGAGCTGCCAGAACACTCAAGCCCAAGGTAGCATTATCATTCATCTCCCAACCAGGGCTTCTATTAATGTGTCACTGAAACAACCCATTTTCTTATACCAGTCCCCACCCCTTTGATATACTGGACATGTGTCAGAAAAATCAGAGGCCATCCATATCTTATCTTACATTAGGAAGAGTCATGTAGAAATGTCCCTTCATTACCAGGACAGTCATGTCAAAAAGAATCGACTTATTGTCAACGTTTCTAACCTAACAATGTTAATGGAGACTTTAGACATCCTTTCTCCTCATTTGTTTCTTAGATGCCTATCAAGGAGACAGTTGCAAGAGTTTCCAAGCTCTGGGGAGCCCTGTGTATGGGTATTAAATGACAGCACTCAAGGCTGCTTATTATAAAAGGATGCAGGGGTACATTGGAGGATTGAGATGGTGGGGAAAAGCGTGCTTTTGGCATGGTGCCAGGGTGGTGAGTGACTCCAAGCAAGACTTCAGGCTCCAAAGATAGCTATTGTTTCTCCCTCTTCTGCTCTCTCCTTCACAATTTCCTGGCACCGTGTAACAAATATATTTACCGAGTGAAGGCAGCTGTTAAGACAGTGCCCAGCAGTGTTTAAAATACCTTTCTCTCTCAATTCATACATGGAGTCACTCTTTTTTTTTTTTTTTTTTTTTTTTTTTTCACCCTCTGAGGCAGAGGAGGCTATAGGGGAAGACAGCATTGGCTGGAGAATTTTCTGGAGCTCTCAGAAACTACCTGGCACTGGGCAGGAGGATTTTCAGGTCAGGGCCGACCTTTGAGGAACCAGCTCCCTCCCAACATGCCGGTGGCCAGCCAGTGCTGATCAATAGTAACGAGATGACAGGTTGATATTAGTGAATAAAGCACCAAGCCATTTCCCCTGTAGAAGTTACACAAATGCCTTGTCCTAACAGCATGAAACTATTGGAATTTTTCTAGGAAATGCCCGTGGGCTCTTACAGTAAATCTCTTTTGAGTATGGATAATTCATTCTTCTTTCTTTTAAAGCACAATGAACGTGCTCCTTAGGTCTGTGGTTCTCATTAGCCCTACTCATAGGTGGTTGAACTCTGCCTAGTCAGCATGATTCAGAAAGACACAGCTATCCGTGGCGTGCAAAGTACTTTCATATCCTTCAGTGGGTATTTGGCATTGGGGGACTGCTCAGCACCCACATAATCCTTCAACCTGGGGGATGGAGGAAGGCAGTGCTTACCTCCCACTTTGGAAACTGACAGTGTCTCGATTTCCCTCTCCCCAACCCCTGGCAGCTGGAGAGTGGACTCATGATCTAGGCTCAGACAACTGGATGTTCCTCTCTGGGCCTTTGGGTTGTGAGCCAGGATGTAAATTTGGAGGGAATCAATTATTCCTGGTGGTGGCTGCAACTTTCTGTGGTGAGGGCCTTGGTATCTAGCAGTGACTACGTTCTCTGCAGGCGTTCCTTTTGCAAGTAGCTGTGAGGCCCTTGGATACTGTGTGTTTTCCAGCCTTTGGGTTGGTAGTTTGAGTAACCCGATAAACTTCTAAAAATATCTTCCTGCTTCAGTTATCCAGAGTTGGATTCTGACCACTAGAAATGCTTTATCTTATTGAAGTCCCATTCAGCACAGAGGGTGTAGGAGGCCAGATATCCGTTTCTAAAGGACAAAGCCGAGGCTCAGCAAGCCCAGTGACTGGCTCACATTTTTGCCAGGCAGAGACAGAATTGAGATTTGAAGTGAGTCTGTGGGATCCGTGGGGGTGGGCCCATGTCTTTTTTAATGTAATATGTCCAGGACCTGGCAAAAGATCTTGCAGGAAACAGACTCGTGAGAATAATTCGACTCCATATTCAGCCTGCAGGGTATATTATTATCTCTATTTGGTGGGTGAGAGACTATGTTCTACAGTATATCAGGGAATTTCTGATATGAAAATGATAGCTCCAGGCTGGACCCCAATTGTAACTGGGCCTATTTTTCTCTCCAAATCGATCCCATCATTCAGCATTCTTGAAGGAGAGCATAGCATGGAAGAGCATGGTAGGGAAATGAAATCTAAAAAGGAGGGAGAGGGGAATGACACTTATTTAGTTAATTTATTTAGTTTTCAGCTAACATGCATAGAATGGTTACTCCATGCTAGTAATAAGCTAGGCACCTGACATCTATTTTATTTCATCTTAACAATGGTTAATGATACGACACAGGTGCTATTATTGCCCTGAATTTACAGATGAGGAACCTGAGACTTAGGAAGGCTAAGTTCCTTGCCCCAGATCCACAGCCAATAAGCCACAGCACCTAGTATACCTGACGTCATGGCCCAAGCCCCTGCCAATATATTATGCCAATGGGGCTTGTTGACATTTGAGTCTGGGGTTTGTTGATGATGGTTGACTGCTTTTGAGCACGTTTCACTACAAAAAAGGGTATGGAATTGCTTATGTATTTCCAAGATCATGGTCTTAAAAGAGATATACCTTCCTCCAATATTTTTATTTTTGTGTGCAGAAAAGTTGAAATTTGGAAGACTTGGCAAAGAGAGTGTTAATGTGCTAACATCAAATGAATTCCATGGATTTTCTATTCATTAAGGCCCATTTCCCTGCACATAACTCACCTCAGCTTGGTTATACTACTCCAGGGTATGCTAGTAAAAGGAGGAAAAACAGGGAAGCCAGCCAGAAAGAGGTGTTTTTGGCTGCAAAAATCAACTTACACCTACCAACAAAGTAAAACAGAAAGACTTTGCCAAACAGTAAATATCAAGTTCATTGCCTAAGCCCCAGAAGAACACATATGAAGCAATTTATGATACCTTTTGGAGTCTGTGGTCACCTGATAGTGCTTGGCTGTGAATTTTAGGAATTACAATTCAGCAACTGGAAGGTGAATCAAAGTAGAAATTCTGGTCATTTTATAGCTTGGCTAAACCATCGGAGGATGGCAAGATATGAGTCTCCTTTGCCCTAGATAACAAAATGTGCATTTATTTATTCATGCTCTGATTAATTTACTAAGCACCTACTATGTGCCAGGCAATCTTAGCACTACAGATAAATCAATCACCTATATTTGAAATATCCCTCTCTTGCAGAACTTACATTCTAGCCAGGAAAAATGGATAGAAATAAGAAAATGAATACATGAATGATCTCAGAGAAGGGTAAGTGACTTAAAGAAAATAAATCAGGTGCTGTGATGGATGGAGGGTGACAGGTGAGGAGGGAGTAATTGAGGTTGGATGGTCTGGTAGGTCTTCCTCTGGCTCAATGTTAAGAAAAATCCAGACATTCAGAGGTCTGGAGCAGAACATTCTGGACAGGAGGGTCACCAAGTGCAAGGGACCCCAGGGAAAGGGAACCTGGTGTGTTGGAGAACCAGAAAGAACTGTGGGTCAGAACACAAGGAGAAGAGGGAGCGAGAGGGGTTGAGGTCAGAGGTTGGCACAACCAAATCCTGCAGGGCCTCAAGTCATCATCTGTTCCTCATCCTAAGAACACTGTGAGGCACTTGAAGGTATTCAAGTGGAGCATTGATGTGTCTGATTTAGAATCACTGAAGGCTTCCTGGGAAGTCTAAGCAGAGGATGGTTTGGAGATGCCTAGGAATAACAGCAGGGAGAAGGGATAGAACATAGTAGCCAGACCACAGTGGGGTCAGTGTTGCTGGACAGCAGCGTGCAACCAAAAGGTTATATCCAGAATGTTTTTTTTAACTCTGCCTGCACATTTGAATCACTTTAGAAACTTTTTAGAAATATAGCTGTCTGAGGTTTACCCTTGGATATTTTGACTCAGTAGGTCTGGGAAAGCTATCTGTCTTTTAGGAAACAAAACAAGAGATTCTGAAGCACAGCCAGTATTGAGAACCACTGATTTAAAGTGTTTTCACATTCACAATTTCTTTTGATTGTCCTGTAATCTGTGAAGTAACTGTTGTTGTCATGCCCATTTTATTGATAAGGACACTGAGGCTCAGAGTAAGTGACTTATTTAGGGTCACATAATTAGTGAGCAGAAGCCAGAATTCATTTTCTATGTGCAAACCTAATGCTCTTTCTCTGACCCTACCACATATCCCTGAACGTAGCCAGCGATCAGGTTACTGTCAATGTCTTTAAAAAAATTCAAAATACAGATGGGTGTTTACCATCAGGAAGCAGAAAGCAAAATAGAAATTTGGAAACAAAGTGGAGCCCATGGCTGAAGGGTGGAATGTGGAGGCACCCCTGCATGTTATCATTTACAAAGACGGATCCGATGGCAGGGAATCTGGAAGAGTGGCGAAAACTGTCATGTCTGAGGGGATGTGTTGGGAACAGTTGGGAGAGGTTGTGGAGATGATTAGGTGTGAGGAGAGGAAGATGCTTCCATGAATGAATATTCTAGTGGACACCTGTTGGGTTTTAGTTGCTTAGCAACCATTCCAAAACAAATGGGCAGGGAAGAAGAGGAGCAGACAGGTGGAGATTTCTTCTTCACTGGCTCCTCTACCAATGATTTGGAGTTGCTTGGACTCTGTTCATTTTAAGCCTGGTTTTGCAGCCTTCCCTTTGATCCTAGGATGCCTCCACATCTTCTAACAAATTCCCTTTTTGCTGTAGGTGTCCAGAATGAGTTTCCTTTGCTTTAAAAAAAAAAATTACTCCTGTTGCTATTCAATATGGTGACCATTTAAAGAAGAAAGACTGGCTGTGCAATTCTCTAAGTTGGCAAGCAGGCAAAATTTACCTCCCATCTGGCCTTCTCCCACCACCCAACCTCTCTGCACCTCTCTCTGTGAAGACAATCACTGACTTCTTCCCCTAGATGCATGCCCTCCCTTTATTTACTATGATTGTCAACAAAGAGAGACACTGGATATTTGAGAAAGGACATTCTTCCAATCGATTCTTTATTTAGCAGCCAGAGAGATCTTTCTAAAATGAAATCTAATCATGGTGTTTCCCTGCTTAAAGCCCCCCCAATTCCTTCTTATTATTTCTAGGATAATGATGACCCATTAAAGTGGTCTGCAAGGCCCTAGGATATGTGACACTTAACAGGACTCAACCTCATCTTGCCCTACCTTTGATATCTATGCTCCAGCCACACACATAGTATTGCAGTTTTATAAAAAACTATGCTCCAGCTGTTTCAGGACCTTTGCACATTCTTTTTCCTTCACTCAAGAAGCTTTCCTTTCCCATTTAGCCTAGTTAACCCTTTAGATTTCAGAACTGCATCATTTTCTCAGGTCAGCCTTGTCTGACCATCCTGATTAGATTAAGTCCCAGCTCTTCCCCACTAGTCAATGCACATTATGAAAGTAAGCCCCTGTCTGTTTTGTTCATCATTATATTCCGAATCCACTGCATAATGTTGGGTACATAATGATAAAAATATGACAACAGTAGCAATCATTATACCACATACTAAGTGCCTTCCATAATTTAACTCCTCTAGTCTTCCCAACAATGTTATGAGGTAGGTTCCACCATTATTTCCATTTAAATATGGGGAAGCTGATACAGAGAAGTTATGTGACTCGATAAAGGTTACACAGGTAATAAGCATTGGAGCTAGGATGAAAACCTAGGCAATTTGTTTCCAAAATTAGCACTTTAAACTCTAATGCTTTCCTTCTCTGTACATAGTAGGTGCTCAATAAGAATTTGTTGAATGAAGAAATGAGTGAGGATAAGAATGAATAAACACATGGCTTCAGAAATCTGGAATGGAATTTCCGGAGGCCAAAATTCAGGTCCCTACTCTGTGACTGACACCTCCATGTAATTTCATATCTGAAGACCTTTACTCCCCCTGTGTGAAGGAGGGGAACTGAGACAGACAAGCATTAGGCACCAACAGTCTGTGACTCGAAGCTGGCTTGACTTAAAAGGCCACATCTGGATTCAGCTCTTGGGTTTTGAAACCTTAAAACAAAAAAATGGCTGGATGGAGAGCTTATTCTTTAGATCACAAGAGAATTCAAGGCCCCTGGGAGATGAAACAATAAAAGGAAAGACCATATGAATGGAACTTACATTGTGCTTACAGACCAAGCAAAGAGGAAGTCATCTGTCCCTCTCTGCCTATCATTTTTGGTATTGCATGAGGTGGGCTTTAGGGGATAATTATCGACAATCACTTCTTTCTTGAGATATATTCATGATTAGCAGTTGTGAATGCCTGCTGGAGAAACCAGAGTTAATTTTTTTCCTTTTCCTAATGTAGTTATACAAAAGTCCCATTGCATTAATACTTTTGAAATTGTGCTGTAACTGAAGCCACAGAAAACTGCTCACCAGGGATCCTAAGCCTTGCAAACAAGTCTCTCTAAGCCTGCATGAAAAATGCAGACATGCCCCTCTGTTGCTAGTTAAGCTTGCTAGGACTTTAATGCATGCCTCCTACAGCATTTTAGACCCAGGCCCCAGGCCCAGGCTCCCACTCCTACCTCCAAGGCTGCCACCAGGGTCTTATGTGCCTCCTAAACACTTGGCTGCTGCACTTGGGACATTTTATTGAGGCAGCTTTACTGGAAGGATCCAATTACAGGGTATGGCAAGTTAGATTCAGTGCCCCTCTTAACAATGCTACAGAGAACACTGAGGTTCCTTTAGCCATTCCTGGTCCGAAAGAAATGAATAGAGGTAATGACAAACAGTCCCTGAGATGGCTGCTGCTTCTGGACACGAACACTCCATTGGGTTTTAAAAAATCTTTATGTGTGGATTCATGTATAAAAAGCAATACATCATAGTTGCAAAGAAAAAAAGTCAAACAATAGGAAGTAGGGTAAAAAGCAGGACTCTCCCCTCCTACCCTTATAACTTCCCCTGAGGTGGGCACTGTTTTCAGTTTGTTATATATCCTTCAGGATCTTTATTACATTTACAAACAAAATCATATTATAGTTAAAAAGTTTTCTGTCCATGTTTTTCTGCAACTTAATTTTTTTTCTTTACAATAAATCATGGATGTTTTCAACAACTCATACAAAGTTACTTTATTCTTTTTAACTGATGCATCACAGTGCCTAGTGTGTCTATAGCACTATTCTCTTAACCACTTCTACTGTTGATACATATTGAGATGTTTCCAAAATTTTGTCTATTACAAATAATGCTGCAGTGAATATCTTTGTAGTTTCTTTGAACACACTGTGCACACATGAAAGAATTTCTATAGGGTAAATTCTGGAGAGTTATTCAGAGTGTTAAATAAAAATATTAGTTCTAGAACATTCAAGCGCAGCTTTCCCCAGAGCTCAGACAAACCTTCTGAGGGGCTTGTTTTTTAAAATAATATAATTTAGAAAATAAATAATGCTACAATCACATGACATAGATTCACATATTCTCTCTTTCATAACTCTCCCTCCTCCAGTCAGTTCAACAGTCAGCCCCACAGGTAACCACTGTTATTAGTTCCATAGGTTTTCTTCCAATGCTTTTTAAGGACAAACAAGCGAATATGAATGTACATTTATTTTCCCCATGCTTATGTAAAAAGCAACACATTTTTACACTGTTCTACCCTTGCTGTTTTCTCTTATCCATGTATCAGATAGATCTTTCCATATAAATATATAGATTCCTCATTATTTAAAAAAAATTAATAGACAATTTTTAGGGAAGTTTTTTGGTTTATGGAAAATTTGAGTATAAATATGTATTGCAATGGACAAATCAGTATTGATACATTATCAGTAGTAGAAGTCATAATTTACATTAGGGATCACTGGTGTGCTGTACACTTTTATGAGTTTAGACAAATGGATAATGTCATGTATCCATTCTTGTGCAGTACCAAACAGAATAGTTTCATTACCCTAAGAATCTCCTGTGTGTTCCACCTATTCGTCCCTTCCTCCCTCACTCCAAATCTCTGACAACTACTGAACTTTTTACTGTCTCTTTGGTTTTGCCTTTTCCAAAATATCATCTAGTTGGAATCATACAATAGATAGCCTTTTCACACTGGCATCTTTCAATTAATAACATGTATATAAGGCTGCTTCATGACTTTTTGTGGCTTAGTATTTTTTTTTTTGGTATTACTGAGTAATATTCCATTGTATGGATATACCAATTTCTATTTACCTATTGAAGGATATCTTAGTTGCTTCTAAGTTTTGGCAATTATGAATAAAGCTACTATAAACATCCATTTGCAGGTTTTTATGTGGACATATGCTTTTCACTCATTTCCATAAATACTAACTAGTGTAATTGTTAGATCATATAAGACTAAGTTTTGCTTTGGAAGAAATTGCCAAATTGTCTTCCAAAATGACTGTACCAATTTTCATTCCTGCCAGCGATGACTGTGAGTTCCTGTTGTTCCACATCTTTGTCAGCATTTTGTGTGGTCTGTCTTTGGGAGGTTAGCCATTCTAATAGGTGTGTAGTGGTATCTCATTGTTGTAATTTGCAGTTCCCTGATGACATATGATGTGGAGTATGTTTTCACATACTTATTTGCCTCTGTATAGATCCTTTGGTGAGACATTTATTCAGATCTTTGGCTCACTAAATTTGTTTGTTTGTTATTTTATATTGTTGAGTTTTAAGTGCAGTGGTGCGATCTCGGCTCGCTGCAACCTCCGCCTCCCAGGTTCAAGCGATTCCCCTGCCTTGGCCTTCTGAGTAGCTGGGATTGCAGGCGCCTGCCATCATGCCTGGCTAATTTTTGTATTTTTAGTAGAGATGGGATTTCACCATGTTGGCCAGGCTGGTCTTGAACTCCTGACCTCAGGTGATCCTCCTGCCTCAGCCTCCCAAAGTGCTGGGATTACAGGTATGAGCCACTGTGCCTGGCAAGAGTTCTTTGTATATTTTGGATATAACTCCTTTATCAGATATGTTTTGCAAATATTTTCTCTCAGTGTATGACTTACCTTTTCCTTTTTAAGTGTCTTTTGAAGAAGTTTTAAATTTTAATAAAATCCAACATCCTTTTTTTTTTTTCTTTCATGGATTTTGCTTTTGTGTTCTATCTGAAAACTCAAGGCCAAACCTAAGGTCACTTAGATTTTCTCCTATGTTATCTTCTAGGAGTTTTATAGTTTTTAATTTTACATTTAGGTCTATGATCCATTTGGAGTTAATTTTATAAAGTGTAAGGTCTGTGTGTAGATTTATTTATTTTTGTATGTACATGCCCAGTTGTTTTCACCATTTGTTGAAAAGAATATATTTTTTTTGTCATTTAATTTCCTTGGCTCCTTCTTCAAAGATCAGTTGGCTATATTTGTGTGGTTCTGTTTCTGGGCTCTCTGTTGATCTATAGGTCTATTCTTTCATCAATACCACATTATTTTGATTATTGTCATTTTATAGTATATCTTAAATTTGTGAAGTGTCAGCCCTCCCAAACTTGTTCTTCTTCAGTGTTATGTTGGCTATTCTGAGTCTTTTGTATTTCCTGTATAAACTTTAGAATCACTTTCTTGGCATCTACAAGATAACTTGCTAGGATTCTATTGAGATTGTGTTGAATCTCTAGATCAACTTGAGAAGAACTGACAATTTAAAAATACTGGGTCTTCCTACACACAAATATAGACTATCTCTCCATTTATTTAGACTTTCTTTGATTTTCTTCATCAGAGTTTTAAAGTTTTCTTTATATAGACCTTGCACATATTTTTATTATATTTATACGTAACTTTCACTTTTGGGGAAGTGTTAATGTAAATAGTGTTGTGTATTTTATTTTAAATCCCAATTGTTCATTGCTGCTATATAGAAAAGTGATTAACTTTGAGTATTAACCTTGCATCCTGCAACCTTTCTATGATCACTTATTAGTTCCAGGATGTTTTCTGCTGATTTCTTCTTAAATTTTCTACATAAACAATCATGTCATGTGTGAAAACAAGACAGTTGTATTTCTTCCTTCCTAATCTGTATATCTCTTACTTTTCTTGTCTTATTGCATTAGCTAAGACTTCTAGTGGGATATTGAATAGAAGTGGTGTTATGGTCTGAATGTGTATGTCTCTCAAAAACTCATGTGTTGAAACTGAGTTCCCAGAGCAATAGTATCAAGAGGTGGAGACTTTGGGAGGTAATGCGGTCATGAGGGCTCTGCTCTCATAATTGGGATTAATGCCTTTAAAAAAGAGGTACAAGGAAGCTTGCTTCCCCTTCTACCAGGTAAGGACCCAGCGTTTACCCCTTAAGCAATGAAATTTCTGTAGTTTGTAATTTATCCAGTCTAAGGTCAATTGTTAGAGCAGCCCTGATGGACTAGGACAAATGATGAGAGGGGATAGCCTTGCTTTGTTCCCATTCTTAGGGAGAAAGTATCTAGAAAGTTATAATATGTATGATGACAGCTATAGAGTTTTTATAGATACTCTTTATTTAGTTGGAGTAATTTGCCTCTTTTCTTAGCTTGCTGAGAGTTTTTATTATGAACGTGTGCTGGGTTTTGACAAATGCTTTTTCAGAATTCATTTATATAGTCATATGACTTCTTTACTCTATTGAGTAAAGGGTATGGATTAAACTAATTTCTTTCTAATGCCAAGCCAGCTATGCATACCTAGAAGAATTCCCTTTTGTTCATAGTGAATAATTATTTCATACATTATTGGATTCAATTTGCTAATATTTTGTTGAGAATTTTTGTATCTATGTTCATAACATCAGTTTGTAATCTCCATTCTTGTAATGTCTTTATTTTGGTATTAGCCTAGTTCTGGCTTCATAAAACAAGTTAGGAAGTGTTACATCTGCTTCTACTTTCTGAAGGAGATTGTAAATAATTGGTATCACTTCTGCCATAAATATTTGGTGGAATTCACCGGGAAAACATCTGGGCTTTGTGTTCTGTTTTGGAAGGTTATTAATTATTGATTCAATTTCTCATAGATAAGTCTGTTCACATTGTCTATTTCTTTTGGGGTGCGTTGGAAGTTTAATAGATGGTGTCTTTCAAGAAATTGGTCCATCTCATCTAAGTTATTTAAGGCATATAGTTATTAATAATATTCCTTTATTATCCTTTTAATGTCCACGGAAACAATACCAATGGTCTTTCTTTCATTTCTGATATTAGTAATTTGTGTTTTCTCTCTTGTTTTCTTGGTTTGCCAGACCAGAGGTTTATAACTGTCACTGACCTTTTCAAAGAACCAGGTTTTGATTTTTTTTTAGATTTTGTAGTTCTTCTGTTTGCAATTACATTGATTTATGCTCTAAATAGTATTTTTTTCTTCTGCTTACTCTATATTTCATTTGATCTTTTTTTCTAGTGTCTAAGGTAGAAATTTAGATTATTGATTTTAGATCTCTCTTCTTTTCTAATATATGGAATTGCTGTAATTTGCCTCTAGGCATTGCTTTCATTGCATCCCACATTTTTTTCCTTCCAACTTTTATTTAAGGTTAAGGGGATGCATGTGCATATTTGCAACATAGGTAAATTGTGTGTTACGGGGGTTGGTGTACAAATTATTTTGTCACTCAGGTAGTGAGAATAAATGCAGTTTTTCAATTCTCACCTTCCTCCCATACTCCCCCTTCAAGTAGGCTCTGGTGTCTATCCTTCTTTGTGTCCATGTATACTCAGCGTTTAGCTGCCACTTATAAGGGAGAACATGCAGTATTTGGTTTTCTGTTCCTGCATTAATTTCTTAGGATAATGGCCTCCAGCTGCATCCATATTGCTGCAAAGGACGTAATTTCATTCTTTTTTATGACTGCATAGTATTCCATGATGTATATGTATCATGTTTTCTTTATCCAGTCCACCATTGATGGGCATCTAGGTTGAGTACATGTCTTTGCTGTTGTGAATAGTACTACAGTAAACATAAGTGTACATTGCTGGTTTGAATGGTACTGCAGTAAACATAAGCGTACATTGCTGGGTTGAATGGTAGTTCTGTTTTAAGTTCTTTGAGAAATCTCTAACCTGCTTTCCACGGTGGCTGAACTAATTTACATTCCCACTAACAGTGTGTAAGCTTTCTCTTTCCTCTGCAACCTCACCATGTTAGTTTTTGACTTTTTAATAATAGCCATTCTGACTGGTGTGAGATGGTATCTCATTGTGGTTTAGATTTGGATTTCTCTAATGATTGGTGATGTTGAACATTTTTTCATATACTTGTTGGTCACATGTATGTCTTCTTTTCAGAAGTGTCTGTTCATGTCCTTTGCCTACTTTTTAGTGGGGTTGTTTTCCACTTGTTGACTTGTGTAAGTTCCACATAGATTTTGAATATTAGATCTTTGTTGGATACATGCTTTGCAAATATTTTCTCTCATTGTGTAGATTGTCTGTTTACTCTGCTGATAGTTTCTTTTGCTGTGCAAAAGGTCTTTAATTAGGTCCCACTTGTCAATTTTTGTTTTTGTTGTGATTGCTTTTTGGAGTCTTCATTATGAAATCTATGTCTAGGATGGTATTTCTTATGTTTTCTTCTAGGTTTCTTATAGTTTTAGGTTTTACACTTAAGTCTTTCATCTATCTTGAGTTGATTTTTGTATATGGTGAAAGAAGAGGGTCTAGTTTCAATCTTCTGCATATGGCTAGCCACTTGTCCCAGCACCCTTTATTGAATAGGAAATCCTTTCCCTATTGCTTGTTATGGTTGACTTTGTCAAAGGTCAGATTGTTATAGGTGTTCGTTTTTATTTCTGGGTTCTCTAACCTGTTCCATTGGTCTATGTGTCTGTTTTTGTCCTAGTGCTGTACTGTTTTGGTTACTGTAGTCTTGTAGTATAGTTTGAAGTCAGGGAATGTGACTCTGGCTTTGTTCTTTTTTGCTTAGAATTGCTTTGGCTATTCAGGCTCTTTTTTGGTTCCATATAAATTTTAGAATAGTTTTTTCTAATTCTTTGGAAAATGTTGTTTGTAGTTTGACAGGAATCCACTGAATCTGTAAATTGCTTTGGGTAGTATGTTCATTTTAACAATATGATTCTATCTATGAGCATGAAATGTTTTTTCATGTGTGTTGTCTCTGATTTCTTACAGCAGTGTTTTATAATTCTCATTAAAGAGAACTTTCACTTCCCTGGCTAGCTGTATTACTAGGTATTTTGGTTTTTTGTGTGGCTATGGTGAATGTAATTGCATTCTTGATTTGGTTCTCAGTCTGGATGTTATTGGTATATAGAAATGCCACTAATTTTTGTTCATTAATTTTGTATCCTGAAACTTTGCTGAAGTTGTTTATCAGATCTAGGAACCTTTGGGCAGACTATGGGGTTTTCTAGCTATAGAATCATATCATCTACAAAGAGAGACAGTTAAACATCCTCTTTCCCTATTTGGATGCCTTTTATTTCTTTCTCTTGCCTGGTTACTCTGGCTAGGGATTTCAGGACTATATTGAATAGGAGTGGTTTGAGTGGGCATCATTTTCTTGTTCTGGTTCTCAAGAAGAACGTGTCCAGCTTTTGCTCATTCAGTATGATGTTGGCTGTAGGTTTGTCACAGATGGCTCTTATTATTTTGAGGTATCTTTCTTTGGTTGGCTTAACTTATTGAGTTTTTATTATGAAGGGATGTTGAATTTTGTTAAAAGCTTTTTGTGCATCTATTGAGATGATCATATGTTTTTTGATTTTAGTGTTTATGTGTTTACATGATAAATCACATTGATTTGCATATGTTGTTTATGTTGCATACATTGAATCAACCTTGCATTCCAGGAATAAATCCTACCTGATCATGGTGTATAAGTTTTTTGATGTGTAGCTGGATTCAGTTTGCTAGCATTTTGTTGAGGATTTTTGCATCTATGTTCATCATGGATATTGGTGTGAAGTTTTTTCTTTTTGTTGTGTTTCTGTCAGGTTTCGGTATCAGAATGATGCTGGCCTTATCATAGAATGAGGTAGGGAGGAGGTACTCCTTTTTAATTGTTTGGAATAGTTTCAGTAGAAATGATACCAATTCTTTATACATTTGATAGAATTCAGCTGTGAATCTGTCTGGTCTAGGGCTTTTTCTGGTTGGTAAGTTTTTTATTACTATTTTGGAACCTGTTATTGGTCTGTTCAGGGTTTCAGTTTCTTCCTGGTTCAATCTTGAAAGGTTGTATATTTCCAGAAATTAACTTATCCATTTTTTTCTAGGTTTTCAAGTTTGTGTGGGTAGTACACATAATAGTCTCTGAGGGTTTTTTTGTTTGTTTGTTTGTTTGTTTGTTTTTGCATTTCTGTGGGATTGGTCATAATTTCACCTTTGCCATTTTCGATTGTGTTTATTTGAATCTTCTTTCTTTTTTTTTTCTTTGTTAGTCTAGCCAGCAGTCTATCAATCTTATTTATTCTTTCAAAGAACCACATTTTTATTTTATTGATCTTTTGTATGGTTTTTTATACTCCACGTTGTTCAGTTCATCTCTGACTTTGGTTATTTCTTTTCTTCTGCTAGCTTTGGGGTTGGTTTGCTCTTGGTCTTCTGGTTCCTGTAGGTGTGATGTTAGGGTGTTAATTCAAAACCTTTCTAACTTTTTGACGTGGGTGTTCAGTGGTATAAAGTTTCCTCTTACCACTGCTTTATCTGTGTCCCACAGATTCTGGAAGTTCTATCTTTGTTTTCATTAATTTCAAAGAATTTTTTTATTTCTGGCTTAATTTCATCATTTGCTCAAAAGTCATTCAGGAGTCAGTTATTTAATTTCCATGTAACTGTATGGTTGTGAGAAATTTTCTTGGTATTGATTTCTGTTTTTATTATGTTGTGATCCAAGAGTGTGGTTGGTATGATTTAAGTTTTCTTGAATTTGTTGAGAATTGTTTATGGCAAGTATGTGGCTGATTTTAGAGTATGTGCCATGGGGAGATAAGAATGTATATTCTGTTGTTGGGTGGAGTGTTCTATAGATGTCTGTTAGGTCTATTTGGTCAAGTGTTGAGTTTAGGTCCCAAATTCTAGTTTTCTGCCTAGATGATCTGTCTAATAGTGTCAGTGAAGTGTTGAAACCTCCCACTATTATTGTGTGGTTATTTAAGTCTCTTCTTAGTTCTCTAAGAACCTGTTTTATGAATCTGGGTGTCCAGTACTGAGTGCATATATATGTAGGATAGTTAAGTCTTCTTGTTGAATTGAACTTTTTATCATGTAATTCCCTTCTTTGTTCTTTTTGATAGTTGTTGGCTTAAAGTCTGTTTTTTTTCCCTGAAATAAGAGTAGCAACCCCTGCTCTTCTTTGTTTTCCATTTATTTGATAAATCTTTCTTCATCCCTTTACTTTGAGCTCATGGGTATCATTGCATGTGAGATGGGCCTCTTGAAGACAGCATACAATTGGGTCTTGCTTCTTTATCCGACTTACCTTCTAAGTGGGGTGATTAGCCCAAGTATGTTCAAGGTTAATATTGATATGTGCAGATTTGATTTTGCCATTGTATTATTAGCTGGTTGTTATGTAGACCTGATTGTGTAGTTGCTTTATAGTGTCCATGGTCTTTGTACTTAAGTTTGTTTTTGTGGTGGCCAGTAACAATCTTTCATTTCCATGTTGAGCACTCCCTTAAGGACCTCTTGTAAGGCAGGTTTCATGGTAATTAATTCCATTTAGCAATTGCTTGTCTGAAAATGATTTTATTTCCCCTTTGCTTATGAAGCTTAGTGTGGCTGGATATAAAATTCTTCGTTGGAATTTCTTTTCTTTAAGGGATGCTGAATATAGGCCCCCAATCTCTTCTGACTTTTAGGTTTCTACTGAAAGGTCCACTGTTAGCCTGACGGGGTTCTCTTCGTGGGTATTTTTTCTTTCATGTTGACTTTGGAGAATCTGATGACTATGTGTCTGGGGGATGGTTATCTTGTGTAGTATCTTGCAGGGGTTCTCTGAATTTCCTGAATTTGAATGTTGACCTCTCTTAGTGAGGTTTGGGAAATTTTTGTGGACAATATTCTCAAATTTGCTTGCCCCCCCTCTCTCTTTTAGAGACACCAATGAATCATAGATTTGCTCTCTTTACATAATTCCGTACTTCTTGGAGGTTTTGTTCATTTTTTAAAATTCTTTTTTCTTTATTTTTGTCTGAATGAATTGATTTGAAAGACCTATCTCAGAGTCTTTGAGTTCTGAAATTCTTTCCTCAGCTTGGTCTAGTCTGCTGTTAATACTTCTGATTGTATTATGAAATTCTTGCAGTTCATTTTTCAGCTCTATCATACCCCTTTGGTCCTTTTCTTAAGATGAATATTTCATCTTTCAGCTCTTGAATTATTTTACTGGATTTCTTATATTCTTTCAATTGGGTTTCAACATTATCCTGGATCTCAGTGATCTTTATTGACATCCAGATTCTGAATTCTATTTCTGTCATTTTACAGTCTGATTAAAAACCATTACTTGGGAGCTGGTGTAATCATTTGGAGGTAAGAAGACACTCTGACTTTTAGAGTTGCCAAAGTTCCTGCACTGGTTCTTTCTCATCTATGTGGGCTGATGTTCCTTTAATCTTTGAAATTGCTATTCTTTGGGTAGTGCTTTTTGCCTTTATGCTCTTTGATGTTCTGGAGGATTTGTCTGTAGTATAAGTTGGGTTTAGATGACTGGCTTTGTTTCTGGATGGTTTTAGAGGGCCAAATCTCAGCTCAGTACTCCTGAGCTGTGTGTTGTAACCCTAAAGGGCTTGGATCATGCCCATGGGTTTGTTTGGCTGCTCGAGGGTAAGTACCTGCTGCACTGAAGGGGCCAAGGTGTTCCCAGTCTGGTGGCAACAGCACTTCAATGTGGGGGGCTGGGGTGGGGGGGCTTGTGCTGCCAGGGAAAGCACTTCATTAGGATGATGGCAGCAGGGTCCATGCTTGTGTGTGTGCACCTGTGATGTTGGTGTGGTAGGATCTGTGTGCATATGCACTAGTGGAGGTGAGGTGATGACAATGAGGTCTGCAAACATGCACATGCTGGCAAAAGCAATGTGGAGAGACTACACACGAATGCGCATTGTGGGGGACCCATCTGCAAAAACTCTCTGATGGTTAAGTGGACTATGCCAGTGAAAGAGCTATGGTGGTTGCCACTAGGAAGTGCCCTGGTTGGGCATCTGAGGCTGCAAGTGGGTGCAGCCAGGCAGGAACCCTGGGGGTGGTGGTGGGGGTTGTTTGCTCAGATCATATTGGTCCCATCCCATGGCAAGATATCCCTGTCCTGTCCACTTCTGACAGTCAACAAAGGCCAAAGCCACCTACAGGAGTGTGGCAAGCCTTGGGGGATGAGCATTCCTTGCTGGGTTCCACTCTGCCATTCCCATGTCATACCCTCTGGGCTCCTTCAAGGTTGGAGTCCTGATCCTGCCAACTCTCTAAGCAACACTTCCTGCCAGCTCAAATGTCCATGGGGATCATGAGGTCTCCTGCAGTTAGGATTCTGGAGGTTTGTGGTGAAAGTGGGCCACTCATGCCTGTTTAACTCATCCTTTCCCCAGGAGCTGCACAGGGCCAGGAATGAGTCCTGGTGCTTGGCAATCTTATGCAGGGTTCCCAGCTTCCTCCTCCTTCAGCCCAGAGTATTTGTCCTCCTTTTGTCCATTCTCAATGCCTTCCTTCTGAAGATCTGCTCATTGTGTGCCATTCTTCTTGATGGTGTGGTCTTTCAGTGGGAGAAGCTCTTCCTGGCTGCACCTAGTCAGCCATCTTGGGTCCTCTCTTCATCCCAAAGTTTTGATAAGTTGTATTTTCATTTAATTTTGTATATTTAAAAATTTCTCTTGATATTTTGACTCATGGGTTGTTTCGAAGAGTGTTTAATATCTAAATATTTTGGGATTTTCCAACTATCTTTCTGTTATTAATTTCTAGTTTAATTCCACTGTGGTCTGAGAACATATTTTGCATGATTTTTATTCTTTTAAATGTGTTGATATGTATTTTATGGCCCATAATGTAGCCTATTTTGGTGAATGTTCCATGTGAGCTTGAGAAGAGTGTGTATTCTGCTGTTCTTGGATGAAGTATTCTATAAATGTCAATTAGATCCAGTTGATTGATGGTGCTGTTCAGTTTGACTGTACCCTTACAGATTTTCTCCCTGCTGGATCTGTCAATTACTGAGAGGAGTTTTGAAGTTTCCAACTATAATAGTGGACTCATCTGTTTTTCCTTGCAGTTCTATTACTTTTTGCTGCACATTTTTTTTTGATGTTTTGTTGTTAGGCACATACATGTTAAGAAATTACTTTCTTTTTAGAGAATTGACCCTTTTACCATTATGTAATGTCCCTCTTTATCTCTGATAATTTCCTTTTCTCTGAAGTCTGTTTTATCTGAAATTAATATAGCACCTCCTGCTTTATTTTGATCAGTGTTTGCATGGTATGTCTTTCTCCATTCCTTTACTTTTCATCTTTCTATGTCTTTATGTTTAAAGTAAGTTTCTTGTAGACAACATATAATTGAGTCTTGTTTTTTTTAAAATCCATTTTGACAGTCTCTGTCTTTTAATTGGTATATTTAGACCATTAACATTAAAAATACTTACTGATATAGTTGTATTGATATTGGTCCCATTTATAACTATTTTGTAGTCATTACCCTTGGTATTTATTTCTTTTTGGTCTTCCACTTTTTCTTCTGTCTTCACTGGCTTTAATTGAACATTTTAAATTTCATTTTCTCTCCTATCTTAGTATATCCTTTATACTTGTTTTAAAAATTCTTTCATTGTTTTCCCTAGAGTTTGCAATATGCATAGATCATTAATTTAATTTCACTTTTATATGGACACTAAACCATGGGCACATATTCTGTGTGTGTGTGTGTGTGTGTGTGTGTGTGTATCTTTCAAGATTTTCTCTTTATGTTGACTTTCTACAATTTGAGTATAATATCTTTATGATGTGTGTCATTATTTTTGGAAAATTCTCCTCCATTATTACTTCACTATTACTTATTATTGCTTTTTTATTACCTATTATTTCTTCTGATCTTTTCTTGTTATTTTCCTTCTGGTATTCTCATTGCAGATATGTAATCTTTTGTAACTGTTACACAGCTCTTGGATATTTTGCTTCTTTTTAAATTTTTTTCTCTTAGTTTTTCAGTTTGAGAAGTTTCTATTGGCGTATCTTCAAGTTTACTGATTGTTTCCTCAACTATATCCAGTCTACACATAAGCCCATCAAAGGCATTATTCATTTCTGTTACAGTGGTTTCGATCATTGTCTTAAAAAAATTCCCTTTTAAAGTTTCCATCTTTTTTTTTTTTGAGATGAAATCTCACTCTCCCAGGCTGGAGAGCAGTGGTGCAATCTCAGCTCACTGCAACCTCCATCTCCCGGGTTCAAGTGGTTCTTTTGCCTCAGCCTCCGAGCAGCTGGGATTACAGGCGTGGGCCACCATGCCCAGCTAATTTTTGTATTTTTAGTAGAGGTAGGGTTTCACCATGTTGGCCAGGCTGGTCTCAAACTCCTGACCGCAAGTGATCCACCCATCTCAGCCTCCCAAGTTGCTGGGATTACAAGCATGAGCCACTGCACCTGGCTAAGTTTCCATCTTTTTGCTTTCATTACCCATCTCTTCTTGCATGTCATCTACTTTTTCTGTGAGAGTCCTTAGCTTACCAATCAGTTATTGTAAGTTCCCAGTCTGATATTTCCCAAGTCTCTGCTGTATCTGAGTCTGGTTCTGATACTGGGTTTGTTTCTTCAAGCTGTATTTTTTGCATTTTAGCATGCCTTTTAAATTTTTTTTGAAAATTAGACATAGTATATTAGGTAAAAGGAACTGAGATAAACAACACTTTAGTGTGAGATTTTATGTTGATCTGGCTAAAAGTTAGACTGGGCTTACCGCTTGCAATGGCTAAAATTTCCTGTAGTGTCCTTGTTTTTGTCTCCCTGCATATCTGTGAGTTTGCTGAGATACTCCTTCTGAAACAGAGTCTGAGCTTTGCAGTTCTTTCAGCTATACTCTCTCATTATTATACATGAACCCTGCTGATGTGATGATAAGGTTTGGGATGTGGGGAAGCATTCTATATACCTATGATTAGGTTTTAGTCTTTTAGTGGACCTATGCCCTTCTTCTGTAACATTCAAAAATGCATCTTGGCTTTTTTTTCTGGTTAGGTGAGTCAGGAAGGCTAGCAGAGGCTACAAGGTGTTTCTCACCTCTGAAGTTAGTTGGGCTTCCGTAAAATAGTTTCCATTGAGGATAGATCTTCACTACTCAGAATACAATGCTCTGGGTGTATTTCGAAATGGTTACTTTTCCCCTCCCTAAACTGACAGATCAGGGGTATATCCCCTACCCCATCTTCACCCTGGTAACCTGTTGGGGCTTTTGGAGGTAAAACTCATGAAAGTGTGGGGTCCCCCTAAGGCTGAGCACCAGAGATTTTTAATATCTCAAGCTAGTCCAAGCTCAGGCTCCAGCAATTAGTCAATTACTTTTTGAATGCTCCTACTGGGTTCCAGCTATAGCTGCTATCCTAAGTCTGATTCTCTGTATTCTCCTATCTCTCCTGTTTTGGGTGACAGTCTGACAATTTTCCCTGTGACCTCAGATCTCTGATGTATCTCAGAAAAATTGTTTATTTGCAGTTTGTTCAGCTTTTTTCCTGTTCTGGAGACCAGATGTCTCCTCCTTGTTTATTTATTTATTTAATCTTATTTTTTATAGCTGAATAGTGTTCTATTATATGAGTGTACCATAATCTATTTAATCAGTCTCTTATTATACACAATTAGAATGATTCCATTTTTTGCTATAATAATCCCCAGTACATTCCATTTTTTGCTATTATAAGTAATCCCCAAATGTAGGGCTGTATTTGTGAGCCAGTGTACTGGTAGGATAAATTCCAAGAACTGCAATCACTTGGACAAAAAGTAGTTATAATTTTTATGGACATTGCAAAACTACCCTTCACATGGAATTGTACTAGTTGGCCCTCTTACTAACAATATATGAGAGGGTATGTTTTCTCAAAGGCTCAGCAAAAGTGTATATTAACAAACGTTTGGATTTTTGTGGTTGTGTTATGGTAATGGATACTATCTCATTTTACTTTTAATTTGTGGTTATCTCATGATGTTAGGCTTGTATTCCATTTTATGTTGCTGCATCAAAATTACCACAAACTTAGAGATTTAAAACAACAGACACTTATTATCTCTCAGTTTCTATGGCTCCAGATTCCAGGCATAGCTTAACTGGGTTCTCTGTAAGGCTTCAATCAATGTGTCAGTGAGGACTGAATTGTTATCTAGAGACTCACCTGGGGAAGAGTCCATTTCCAACATCACTCAGGTTGTTGGCAGAAATATATTTTTTGCAGTTGTAGGACTGAGGCTCTGGCTTCCTTTTGGCTCTTTGCTATCAGCTGGTGGCCACTTTTGAGGCTGCCCTCAGTTCCATACCATATGGGTGTTCCAACAGGCTGTCTTATTTATTCTGCAATGTAAAAAGTATCTGCAGAAACCTATATAATGAGAGAAAATATTTGGAAACTACACATCTGACAGAGGTCTAATATCCAGAATCTATAGGAAACTTAAATCAAGCAAAAAACAAACAACTCCATTAAAAAGTGGGCAAAGGACATGATCAGACACCTTTCAAAAGAAGACATACATGCAGCCAACAAACATATTTAAAAAATGCTCAACATCACTAATCATTAGAGAAATACAAACCAAAACTACAGTGAGACACCATCTCACACTAGTGCTATTATTAAAATATCAAAAAGATAACAGATGCTGGTGCAGTTGTGGAGAAAAGGGAATGCTTATACACTGCTGGTGGGAATGTAAATTAGTTCAGCCCTTGTGGAAAGCAGTTTGACAATTTCTCAAAGAATTCAGAGCAGAATTACCATTCAAAGCAGCAATCCCTTTATTGGGTATATACCCAAAAGAATGTAAAGTGTTTTACCACAAAGACACAGGTATTCTCATGTTCATTGCAGCACTATTCACAATACCAAAGACATGTAATCAACCTAAATGCTCATCAGTGGTAGACTGAACAAAGAAAATGTGGCACATACACACCATGGAATACTACACAGCCATTAAAAAAACAAGATCATGTCCTTTGTAGCAACATGGATGCAGCTGAAGGCCATTATCTTAAGTGAACTAACACAGGAATTATCTTAAGTGAACTAACACAGGAATAGAAAGCCAAATACGACATGTTCTCACTTGTGAGAGCCTAAACATTAAGTACATGTGGACACAAAGAAGGGAATAGAGGACGCTGGGGCCTACTTGAGGATGAAGGGGTGAGGTCTACTTGAGGATGGAGGTTGAGGGTCCTATACTTATTACTTGGGTGGCAAAATAATGTGTACATCAAACTCCTGTGACATGCAATTTACTAAATAACAAACCTGCACATGTACCCCTGAACCTAAAATAAAAGTTAAAAAAAAAAAGAGAGAGAAAGTATCTGCAGAGTCTACAAATTAGATGGAGTCTCATATAATATAATGGTGGATGGAAGTGACATGCCATCATCTGTGCCATATTCTGTTAGTTAAAGCAAGTCATAGGTTCCACCCACACTCAAGGGGTGGGAACTTCACAGGAGTATAAACATCAGGAGGGGATCTGCCATTGTCTGTTGGCTGCAGGTTGAACATCTTTTTTGAAAAATCTTTTTATGTTCTTGAGAGCCATGTTTATTTCCTTTTATGTAAACTCTGTTCATATCACTTTTCCATTTCTATATTGAGCTATCAGCCTTTATCATATCCATTTCTGGGAGCTCTTTATATATTAAGGCAATAAGCCTGTGACTGTGGTTTGAATTTCAATATTTATTCCCAATTTGATATTTGTAAAAGTTTGGTTTTTTCCCACACAGAAGGAATTTTTTAAAAGTGTATCTAGGAAATTTTACGTTTATGACTTCTGGATTTGAGTAGTAGTTAGAAAGCCCTTCTTTCATCTAGGTTTATAAATGAATTTTCCATGTTTTTTCTAGTACTTAAATGAATTACTGTTTTTTTAAAAAATGAATTTTAAGTCCATTTGGAACTTCCCTTGCTGTATGGTGTAAACTTTGGTTCCAGCTTTATTTTTTTCAAGATTTTATGCTCAGAGTTATTTAAACTCCATTTATAGAATAATCTAGATTTCTCCAACTTATTTGAATTGCTTTCTTTATTATGCACTAATTCTCATATGTATTTGGGCACCCTCTATGGAGTTTTTATACTAATTTATTGGTCTTTCTGTTTATTCTACTGGCTGTACTACTCTTTTTTTAAATATAAAGTGTTTATATTTTAATGTAATAAGGGTACACTGCTCTCATTTTTCTTTAAAGAGATCCTCCCACCCACACAAAGTTCTCCTAGCTATTATTTCTCTTTATTTTTTTTCATAGGATGATTAGAGTGAGAATATCTGTTTGTAACTATCCCCACAAAAAGCTTGTATTTTTATTGGGATCATATTACATTTATACATGAATTTAAGAAGAATAGTAATCTTTTTGTTGTTGAGTATTTCTATTCACTAGTATTATAAATACAGTTTTAATTTATTCTAGCATTATTTTGTACCTTTAGTTCTGTTTTAAAGTTTTCTTGTTTGGTGTCCAATATTTGTAATTAATTTCATCCGAGTATTTTATCTGTGTTGTGCTTATGTGAATAAATTCTTTTTTTCCATCATGTCTTTTAATTGGTCATTGTATTTGTTCATATGTTTATACATATAGGCTATTGCTTTCTGTTACTGAGTCCTGTTACTTTACTCAACTATTTTATTTTTATTTTTTTGTAGCCATTTTAGTTAATTCTCTTAGGTTTTCCAGGTATGTAAATGTAATCTGCAAAAAGTGATAGGTTTACCTTAGTTCTAATTTTCATACATTTATTTTCTTTCTCTTTTCTAATTATGTTGCCCAGCATTTCTAATAATATGTTAAAGATAGTGTGATGATAGTGCATGTTTGTCTTGATTTTTACTTTAAATCCATGGTGTTGGGGGGCATTTGGGAATGCATGAGGTATATTTTGTTTCCATAATAACTGGGGAAATTTCCTCCTGGAATTTAGTGGATGAGTGACACATGAGTCTAATGCCAATAGAACACTTGTTGAGCAAAATGAGTCTAGTATTTTTCCAATGACCATTGGCTCAAGATAAAATATAGTTTATTCCTATTTTATTAAATGTTTTTGTGAAGAATGATTGAATTCTGTCAAATGCCTTTTTAGCACTTATGGGGATAATTATAATATTTTAATGCTAATATCTCTACTAGTGTGATAGGTCATATTATGATATGATTAATAGATATCGTAATATTGAAAATCTCTTGTATTCTTAGAATAAACCCCACTTGGTCAGCTGCATTTTTTTAAATATGATGTTAGATTATGTATGTTAATGTTTATTTAAAATGCTGGCATCAATACTCATGAGTGAGACTGGCCTATCATTTTCTTGTTTGTGTGGGTGTATGTGCTTGTGTGTCTGTGTCTGTAGGTGCACATGCTCAATTTTTGTTAGGCTTTAGTTTCATTTTAGGTAGAATTGAAATTATTTGCTTTTTAAGATTTGAAAGAATTCCCCCATGAAATCATCTGGACATGTGGTTTGGGAAATCATCTGGACATGTGGTTTGGGGTGGGATGGAGGTAGTGGTTATAGCCAAACAACTTCCTCTATGTCTTATTTGGAAATCATACTGCTTACGTTTTTCTATACTTTCCGAGGTCTGTTTTGATAAAATATGTTGTTAAGGAATATTATCCACTTCATCAGTGCTTTCAAATTTATTGACATTGATTTATGCAAAATTATTTCTTACTTTGAAGTTATTTCCCTTTTATAATTTTTATTTTTAATATTTGTGTCCTCTTTTTCTTCATTAGGTTAGGGAGTTTATCTTTTATTTTTAAAATAACAATCTTTTCAAAGGTCAAAAGAATATTTGTACTCTTCAAGGAAGAAAGAAATATTAAAAATATACATGTATCTGTTCATTTGGGCAAAATAAATACAGAAAGTATAAACCAGAAACTAATTAGACTGCTTACCAATGTGGATGGATGGTAACAAGGTGAAAAGAATGAGGGCATGAAAATGGGGCATAAGGATAAGTGGGGAGCAATACTTCTTCAAGTATACATTTTTATATAGCTTTAACTCTTAGAACCATGATAATTTTTCACATATTAAAAAAATAGTTAAAATCCATCAGGATGGAGGTGGGATCCAAACTAGAATATAAAAATACAAATGAACTCTCACTGTATTACAATTGAATAGCTTAATCACACTAAAAGGGATTGAGAAAAAAATTAACTTTGGAAATAGCTTGAATTTCATATGAAAATTCATAATATTCATAACTTTTGATTGCATACTAGAAGGCTAAAGACATAACTAATTTTACACAAATTTTGTACTCTAGCTTCTAAATTTGGTTCTTATGGGGATATGGCAAGCAATTCTGAATCTACTTTGTGTATATACTAGAATTGGACTAATAAATATAGATAATGAAAGCACATTTTTCACTTTCAGGGAACAAGTTATAATAAAGAAAGGAGGAAGGAAAAGGGAAAGGGAAAAAGCCTTGTGTTTGTTAGATTAGAATTAGAAATATCAAAATGAACTTATAGTTGTTAATATATACAGACAGATACAGAAATAAATATAGGTGTGTGTATGCATAAGTTAGCATACATACATATCTTTTCTGGCTATGTCCAGTGAGAGGGGCTAGATACTCCAGTAGCACTGAGCACATCTGGCACTCAGTTTATGGCTTCTATATATCATCCTCCAGCAGCAGGAACCAGAGCTCCTTTAAGAAATACGATAGTGGATTCTAGGGATGTGATAGGAAAAATATAAGATGAGCCTGGAAAATATTGTGGTTTCAAAAGTAGGGAAGTATTTAAGAAAGGATGAGGACATGTTTGAAAGGACATTGGAAACACCTTGAAGATCCTTCCAATATCCAATGCTGAAACAATTTGAACAAAAAACTTAGGAATGACAGGTTGCATTACAACCTGTAGAATAAAATAAATTATTTGTGAGTCCATACTTCCATAAATATATGATTGAATAAATAAAAAAAATGGAATAAATAAGTAAATGGGGAAAAGAGACAGATCTTTCTTATGATGGCAGTCTATTGATAAATGTAGAAGAAATGATAGAAATAGAAAGCACCACTAACCAGAGACTACATGTTTTCTAATTGTATTTTTCAGTATGTGTTCTGAATCATTGTTTTATTTTCTTTTCCATGGACTCCAATTATGCAATTGCTATATCTTATCTTTTCTTCTATACCTATCCTTAATTATCAACCTTTTTTAAACTCATTTTCCTTTTTGATTGTCTTTCTTACTGCTACCTACTATTTATCTTAACTGAAAGACTTACAGTGTCCTTTCTCCCATTTGCTCATTCAATATTGAATGGTTTTAATTTTTCTTATTTACTTTATATTTCTTACTGAGCTCTGCCAGTTCACTTTTAATTTCCAATCTCACCATTCAATTCCTGAGACTCTGCATCTCTGCTTTCAAGTATTCCTTCAGAGGCATAATTATATTCCTCATGGTTTAAAATTCATAATATGATGTCTGGTCATATTTTCTGTCTACTCCATGGTAACACTTTCCTAGTGAGTGTTTTTTATCTACTGGTGAGTTTTGTTGCTCTTCTCCATATTCCTTCCCATAGTATTTTTGTTTTTTTAAAAAAATTACTCATCATTACATTATTTGGATTTTCTTTGGACAGATATTTGCACGAGGCACACTGTTGGGGTGTGGCAGATGTTCAGTGTAGCCTTCTTCTGCCATAAAGACAAGCTGTTTCCTGCAGAGATGGCCTATTTCTATGACTATCTGCCCAGCTCTTTCTTCTCCCAAACTGATCCAGCTCTGCTTGCCTAAATTCTCACATGCACTGTTGCAAACACTTGTTTGCTCTTTGAGTGAGACCCTTACAATCGGATACCATATTTTTGTTGGCACTTTCTTTGAATTTCCACTGATGGGCCTTGTCAACGTTCCCCATGTGTTGCCTCTTCACTTCCTTCCATGGGGTTTCTGATCTCAACTATTTTTTGCAGCTACTTTTTAGTGTCTGTAGATATAGCTTTCTTTTAGTTTCATTAAAAATAGAGTTTGTGGTGAGTTTTTCAATTTCCTTGTTGCTTTTTTTTTAAAAAAATGATTTTTTAGGAGAAAAACAAAAACAATGGCTTACTTTGTTTTGTTTACATTAGAATCATTTTTTTGTATCATAGAACTGTTTCTTAAAGTTAACACAGAGGTTTTTAAATAAGTTATTAGCTCTACATTACCTTGGGCAAATGGCTAAACCCTTGCAAGCTTCAGTTTCTTCATCTTTAAAATGGGGATAATATTAGTGGTGGTGAGGACTGAATGAGATAACATACGTGAAGTGTTTAACAGGATGTTTGACAAATAATAAGTAATCAATAATTATAGTTTATGAGGCAAACTGGCCAAAAATACATTTCTATCTGGGATTTGGCATTACTATTTGAGAAGTCTGGGTCTTGGTAAATTTGACTTAATTTCTCAAGATTTATAGTGTTGAATCCTTAACATTTATTTATGCCTATAATAAAAGAAAAGAAACCAACAAATCATGTATTTGCACATTTTCTGAGTGTGGTAGACTTGTCAAATGTAAGATAGCTGATAATAGACAGCCTGGATGTGGCCGGTCATGGTGGCTCATGCCTGTAATCCCAGCACTTTGAGAGGTTGAGAGGCCGAGGCAGGTGGATCACTTGAGCTCAGGAGTTCTAGAGCAGCCTGGGCAACATGGCAAAACCCCGTCTCTACCAAAAATACAAAAAATTAGCCAGGCGTGGTGGTGCATACCCATGGTCTGAGCTACTCGGCAGGCTGAGGTGGGAGGATCGGTTGAGTTCAGGAGGTAGAGGTTACAGTGAGCTGAGATCACGCCACTACACTCCAGCCAGGGTGACAGAATGAGATCCCATCAAGAAGAGAGAGCCTGGATATGAAGAAAAGCTTTGTTTGGTAGAGCAGACACCCTAATTTCGGGCAGTGGTGTTTAACCAGGGAGGGACTCTCCCAAAGAGTTTTTACAAAAGACACATGACCTTGCTACGCTCACGATCTACAGAGTTAGAATCAGTGGGTGATGCGGGCATGTGCAGGCTGCAGAAGCTCCCCTGGTGACTCAGATGTGCATCAAAGGTTTATGGCCTCATCAGCTTCTACTGGAATAACTGCAACAATGTCTTGACTGCATTTGACTGGCATAGGTTCCTCTCCAGTTTATTCCATACCCAGTTATTCAATAAGCTTACTCAGATTCTATTTTCTTAATCAAATGGCATATGCTATCTTGTACTGCACCTTGGGTTAAAGCATAGAAAGAAGGCCTTTAACAATAACTTTTTGCATACTTGACATTGAACATATAACTTAAACTTGAAGCCTTGGTTTTCTCATGGTTTTGTGCATCTGTCCTTTTTCATTAGTGAGACTGTACAGTAATAGGACTATTTCTTATACTTCTCTGAATCCCTTAGGATCCTCAATCAGGATCAAACCCTAAAATGGTAGTGTTAAAGATGATCAGGCATAAAGGAAAAAAAGAGAAAGAGAGGCTTCCACTGAACATATTCACATATAGTTTTGATAGTTTGCTTCTTTTGCTGTTGATAACAAATATATCTCCAGTTAGGGTAGGAAGAAGGGGAGAGTTTTATTACTTTAATTTGTTTGCAATAATTCTGTGCACATCTAACACTGTCAGTTGTTCCTACTAGGTGCTCAGTAATTGCTTGCAGAATTGAAATGTTCAGTATAAATGGATCATAACAGGGGAAATGGAAAACAAAGCAAAACCAAATCTCTTTCTTTTAACCATGAGTTTTTTCTTATCACTATGTGAGTGGGGAGCTTTTCCACATTAAGATCCCATGCCTGCCAGTTTGTATAAGACAAAGATCCTGTCCTCCAGCTAGTTATAAAGAACATGAAATAAAACTGGATCCTTTGTGAGCATCAGACCTTAGGTTTATTTTTGTTCTAGATTTTAGATCCACTTTATGACCCAGAATATGCTTATTAGAATGGGCAAAGGGCTTACTTTCAGTTCCATAAACTCTTATTGCCATTTATTATACATTTTATTATTAATTACATATTTATGCTAAAAGACCCATTCTGTAAACAAATTCGGCTTTTGATTTTAAAAATTCAATTGAGGTGAGTAAATTCACAGGGAACTTTCTGCTCTGTCCCTCACTCAATTATTAATAACCAGTGTAATCATTGCGATGTGTTTCAATGTCTGGTTTGGGCTCTTACTATATGAATCTTTCAATTCAAAACTAGATTCTTATTTTTACTTTCTCTTCTTTAAAATGAAGAAGCCATATCTTTGCAATACATTTTTATTTCCTTTATTCAGGGATAGAGAACACCAGCTGTGTTTAGCTTTCCCAAGGTTCAAAATCTTACCTGGGGTGTAAAGAAATAGAGCAGTATCTTGGTCTCCGGATGAGATGATTACTGAAGCTATCACATGCTGGCACTGTAAGCATCCCCAGCTACAACATTTATTGATGCAAAGAATAAAAAGCAATACTGGGAAAAACTAGGGTGATCAAAAATCTCTTTGGTTCATGGATTAGGTAGTGTCAGACATCTCATTTTGAAAAGAACTGCTGTCTGGATTGAGAGAGTGTGCCGTTTTATTCATATGATGGATTTGGGGTTCTGGGATGTGTGTGTATTTAATTTTACAAGAAGTGGTCTGATCAGAAAAGGGCTTCTCATTATGTTAAAGGCAACACATGTTTTGTGAGAGCAGGGAAGGAAGGTACAGATGGATCACATGGTTAATTCAGCTAAGTGGCCAAATCAGTGCTCAGTGGCATCTTTTGAAGGCAACCAGTTTGAAAGTAGAAAGTGACTTGTCCGTTTAAAAAGCAGGGATGGGCAGTGAGAAAGTTCTTTGGAAATGAAATCTGTTTAATATGGCGTAAAAGCATTAAAGATAATAAAATAACAATGCTGTTTCCATAGACCGACTCTTTTGCTAAGCAAACACCAAAACATCATTCAATTTCCCAGATGCAAGGACTAGTTTTCAAAAGATGGATTCATGTTACCCTGGAAAGCTCCCAAGCAAATAATGTCTCTTTATTGGAAGCAAATGAAGAAAAAAGAGGATCTGTGGGGGAGTGGAAGCTACGTAATTGTATTAAAACATAAACTCAGCAGTTCAGATAGGGATTCGGGGGAGAGATAGTTGCCCTGGCTTTGGGAGGAGAGAAGCAAGCTGTGATTAGAACAACTTGATAGGGGAATCTTATTCGTGAATGAGAAGATGCTGGGGAAAGACACAGACCCTCAAGTCGAGAATTCATCCAGGATTGTATTTAATCTAGTTTTTCTGCACTCTGGGGACCCAAAAGACTTTGGTGTTTGCCTATCTGGCAGGGGAAGCAGAAGAGCAATAATTTTTAACAATTCAGACACTAGGCCCTGGAAGCCTTGGATTTAAATTACGACTCTACTCTCTAATAGTTGGGTGACATTGGACAATTCACTCAACCTCTCTGGTTTTGTTTTCTTGTTTTTAAATGAGGATAGAAACTAGTATATATTTCATAAAGTTTGAGGAAAGATGGAAAACACGAATATGTACAAAGCATTTAGCAAATTGCTTAGCATATAGTTAGAATAGATAAATCTGAGTTCTATGATATACTGCTATTATAAAATAGTGGTTATAATAATAACATTGAAGTGAAGATTTAAGCTTCAGAGTCTTCCTTGATTAAAATGACTAACTCCACTAAACAGTTTTCTCTTGTATATTCACTAAATGTTTCTATACTTGAGTTCCCCAAGAAGGACTTATATCAGGCTGGGCGCGGTGGCTCACGCCTGTAATCCCAGCACTTTGGGAGCCCGAGGCGGGTGGATCACGAGGTCAAGAGTTCGAGAGCATCCTGGCCAACATAATGAAACCCCATCTCTACTTAAAAAATACAGAAATTAGCTGGGTGTGGTGGCGTGCACTTGTAGTCCCAGCCACTAGGGAGGCTGAGGCTGAAGAATCACTTGAAGCCAGGAGGTGGAGGTTGCAGTGAGCCGGGATTGCACCACTGCACTCCAGCTTGGCGACAGAGCAAGCCTCCGTCTCACAGAAAAAAAAAAAAAAGGACCTATATCAAGGAACTTGTATTGAAAGCATGCATTTATTCATTTGTCAGTTATTCATTCAATAAGCATTTATTTTATTTATTTTTTTAAATTTAATTTTTGTTTTTAATTTGTGTGAGTATATAGTAGGTGTAAACAAGCATTTATTGAGTATTAGACTCTGTTAGCAGCCAGAGATATCTGTGAGGGTGAAAAGGCAGATTCTTCTATTTGAGTAATTTATAATTGGCAGGGGATATATGTAGTTAAACGACCAATTAAACTTAGTTCTAGGTATTTGAGAGAAGTGAGGCTCAGGAAAGGCTTTGTAGAAGAAGCATCATCAAAGTTGAGACCAGGAGGATAAGTAGGAATCACTCAGCTGAAGGGGAGTCCAGCCTGGATGAGAGCAGGGAGCACAGCTCCAGGAACGCAGAGAGTATTTACAAAGGCAATGAAGTGGGAAAGTGCTTGGGGGACCATCCAGTGTGGCTGATAAGGGATGAAGAGAAGAGTGACCAGGATGAGAGGCTGGTTGGGCTTTGTTGACCACTTTCAAAGAGTATTCATTTTGTCCTGAGGGCAATGAAGAGAAAGGGCAAGAGAAAATCCTGACGTTTCAATGGAAACCCTGGTCTACATTTTTTCATGCCATTTTACTTTTAGTTATTCCATTTTACCCTCACAACATGTCTAAGACATAGAAATGGACAGGTGTCTCTCCCCTTCGGTAGCCAAGGAAACAGCCTCAGAGAGAGCCTCCTCCCTGGTCACATGCCAAGTTTCATTTTACCAGCCAGCCTGGTGACAAAAAGCATCTCTTCCTTTCTCCTCCCAACACAACCTCTTTCCTCAAGTTTAATTGATGGGATGTTGACTCGGATATCGTTCAAGGAGAACAATTTATAGTATAGCGCAAGTCCTTTAGGAAGAAAGGTGATAGGATATGGACCCCTACAGCTTCCAAATTGCCTGATTCCGTGAAGCTCAACATGCCTTGACCTGCCTTCTCCAATCGGAAGCTGCAGTTGCGGCTGTTCTCCTTGAAACCCATTGAGGAAGCCATGAGAGGTTATCTCGACGATTCCCTCAAATCTTCGTCTGTGCCGCAAGGAAACTGTTACAAACAGAATTTGAAAAAGGTCCAAGTGTAGCAGTACATTGAACACAGATATCAAAACGTCCCAAAATGCCTCTTTGAGGAAATAGTATTTAATCGGAGAACAATTCATGGGTCTCAATAGGCCCAGATAGCCATAAGAATATACATACATACATATGTATCCACACACATATGCAAATGAGGAATGACAAACAAAAATAGGACCATGCCCAGCTTGAGATTTTTCCAGCCAGCAGAATACTCTGCATTTTCTTTACCATTTGAATGATTTCTCTCTCTCTCTTTTTTTTTTAATGCAGGGTGTTACTCTGTCACCCAGGCTGGAGTGCAGTGGTGTGATCTAAGCTCACTGCAACTTCCGCCTCCGGGACTCAAGCCATCCTCCCACCTCAGCCTCATGAGTAGCTGTGACCCCTGGTGCGCACGACCATGCCCAGCTAATTTTTGCATTTTTTGTAGAAACTGGGTTTTGCCATGTTGCTCAGGCTAGTCTCCTGGGCTCAAGCGATCCACCCACTTTGGCCTCACAAAGTGCTGGGATTATAGGTGTGAGCCACCGTGCCCCATCTCTCTTGTTTTTTTATCCTTAGGAAAGGCCAATGGATTCATGAACAATGATAAAATCCTGAGAACCAGTGAGTGCAAATAAGCAGAAAATAATTGGTTAAAGAGTCATTTTTTAAAATGACAACCTTCTGGTTTAGGAGGATGTTACATTAGTTACAGGGAATAAGGATGTTCTTTCCAGATATAACTGCTAACTAGGGTGACTATATAAGTCATTGTTAACTTTTGAAAAAGTAATTTATATTTTGAAATAATTTTAGAGTTACAGAAGAGTTACCAAAATAGTAAATATAGCCTTCATGTAGTATACACTTATGCTGACAGCTTATTTTTCGTTCAATACTGTTAACCTAAGTATATAGAACGTATCTGGATTTTACTAATTTTTCCAATAATGTTCTTTTTCTGTTCCAGGATCCCATGTTACCTTTAGTTTTACGTTTCCTTATTCACTTCCATTCTGTGACAGCTCCTTCATCTTTCCTTGTCTGTCATGACCTTAACACTTTTGAAAAGCACTTGTTGGTTATTCTGTAGAATGCTCTGCAATTTGGGTTTGTCTGAGGTTTTTCCCTTGATTATATAGAGGTTATGCATTGTTGAGAAGGCTACAACAGAGAAGATGTGCCCTAGGGGACATGCAACATCAATATATGTTACTAGCAATATTAGCCCTGATCACTTAGCTAACATTGATCACCTGGCTGTCTGCCTGGACTCTCTACTGTAAATTTACTATTTATTCCCTCTAAAATTACTAAATATTTTTGGGAATATACTCTGAGTTCATGCAGATATTTTATTTCTGTGTAAACTTTCACTCACCAACTTAATTATCCATTGGTGGGTCTTGCCTGCAACAATTATTATGGTGAAGTTCTAACGGTGATCTTCTATTTCTCTCATTCTTTTTACATTATTAATTAGAATTCTGTAAGAAAACGTAGTCATTTCTCACTTATTTATTTATTCAGTTATTTATTCAGTATTAGCTCCTGTTTTGTTTTTGTTCTTTGGATTATAATCCACTATTATAATTATTTATTTTGTTGCTGGATTGTTTCAATTTTAGCCATTGGTAGTGTTTTCAGGTTGCCTCCTGTGTCCTTTCAATATGCCTCCATTAAAAGAAAAATTTTTAAGAACTTCCTTACTTTCTTGCACCACAAGATACTTCAGGTTCAATGTGTATTTTCCCCTACCCCAACCCAGAAAGTATTGCAGTTCTTCAAGGAGCCTGGTTCCTTTTACTAGAGAATTTAAAAAGCCAAGGTCTGGGTACAAGGTATAATTATGGCTACTGAACTGTCACTGTTTCTAGGTTCCCTCAGTGGATATTGTTAGGAAATATATATATTAGTATGTGTACAAACTCATGCATACATACATACACATCTATATTTATTTCCCTAGCCTTTACCTGTATCTATCTATTCATTCCATAGAATTTCTAACCCATACCCTTGTGTTAAACAAATTTACCAGCCAGAGTACAATATTTGTTTAGGTTTTTCTGACTTTAGCTTAACAGTATCCACTCAAAGCATTCTGCCTAAAGAATATCTTTTAACATTTCTAGTAAACAGATATGCTCCAATAAAGTTCAGTTTTTGTTTGCTCAGAAAGTCTTTATTTCTCATTCATTGTTAAAAGGTATTTTCTGTAGATATAGAATTCTGGGATGACAGTTGTTTTTCTATCAGTGCTGTACTGTGCCTTAAAAATATCACTCCATTGTCTTCTGGCTAGCATGATATAATGTGAGACATTTGCTGTAATTCTTACCTTTGTTCCTCTGTATGTAATGTCTTATTTTCTCTAGTTATCTTTAACATTTTCTCTTTTTTTGTTTACAGCAATTTAAATATTAAGTTCCTAGATAAGTGAGATTTAAAAAAAAATAATTTTCAGCCATTATTTCTTCAAATATTTCTTCTCTTCCATTGTCTTTTTCTTCCCCTTCCTGGGATTCCAATTATGTGTATTTTAGAGTGATTTGCATTGTCTCACAGATCTTGAATGTTTGGTTCTGGTTTGTTTTTTTTTTTTTACAATCAATAAATAGACTTCTTCTCTGGACGTTTTCACTGTGTGTGTGTGTTTTTTTCCTCATTTATTTTTGTCTTTTTGTTTCAATTTGGGTAATCCTATTGACCTGTCTTCCAGTTCACCAATTCTTTCAGCAGCTGTGTTGTCTGCTTTTGAATCTGCTGAAGGCATTCTTAGCTGCTCCTCCTGTGTTTTCCATTTATGCTATTTTTACTTGATTCTTTCATGTAGTTTCATTTCTCTACTGAAGTTACTCATCTCATTTTGCATGCTCTCCACCTTTTACTTTAGAGCTTTTAGCATATTAATCACTGCTCTTTTTAATTCTCTGTCAGCTATTGCCAACACTTGTGTCATTTCTGAGTCTGGTTTTGATGATTGCTCTTTTACTTCTGAATGTGGTTTTCTTGCCTTCTTGCATGCTTTGTGTTTTGGTTTTTTATTGTCATTTGAAAACTGGACATCTTGTGTAGTACAGTAGAGACTGAAATAAGTAGATTTTTAAACTTACACTGGGCATGTCTTTTCCTCTGCCAGGCTTTAAGTATGGGAGTTTGAGTTATATTAGGGATTTGGCTGCATTTAGATTTTTTGTTGTTTTTGTTACTGTGGTTACCCTCAGAGTGTCATGGGCTTTAAATTATTGTAGATATACCTGTGGTTGCAGTACAAAAACAGAGAAATTTGTGTTTGATTCTGAATTTTAGGTCTTCCCTTTGTGCCTCATAAAGCATTTTTTTCACATGCTTATTTCTCCCCTGTTCTTTTCAAAACAGCAGTAGCCTTCTCTTATATGTTATCTGAAGCATACCAGCTTAGTGACGATTGAATGTGGGGATGTGATCTCAATTGTTCTCTTGAATACTCAGTCATAAACATAAACCCTATTCCAGGATCTTATGTGTGTGGATGGATGGTTCTCTTCCCTATGTAAGCATGTGCTCACATCTCTCCTCTCACTGTCTCTCTAGATTTTGGGCAAGACTTTGACACTTTAGCTCTCCAGTGGATTTTTTAAACTTCATGAATTTGAAGTTAGTCTGGCTCTTTTATTTTAATTTTTGTAACTGTGAGCAGCACTCCTAGCTCTCTACATCCTGGGATAGAAGCTGGAAATTCATTCAACCACTTTTGAGGGTGAAAGAGGCTCTTTTAAATAAGTATGCTAGGACCACATTTGTGAAGCAGGATTGCCCCCAGGCAAGCTGGAATGTATGGTCACTGCATAGGTAACTCTCATGAGGCAAAGGTGGCCTTCACTAGGTCTAGACAGCACGGCTTTTTGAGGAACTGAGTAAGCAAGAAGGAGATTTATATGTTAATTCTAGTTAAATCCAGAGGCTGGAACATACTTTGTGCTCAGTATGTATTTGCTGAATGAAAGAAAATTAATATGAAAATAATCTAAGTCACATAAAACTCCATGAAGAGCAAAGACCAACATTTTCTTCAAAATGCTTGATTTTTTAAACTAGATTTTCCCCTCTTTCCTCACACACACACAAATATATACACACATACACACTCACACACACTTCATGCTGTCTAAGATAATTTCCTCAGATCAATCCTTATTTCACACACTTTTGTGGGTGAGTAAATCCTTCTATCAGTGCTAGGGTAAAGATCTTTCTCTTTCTCTTCCTTCTCTTTCTCTCCCTGGATTTCACTGCTTGAGTCTCACACTGATAGCCTGGTTTCTTCTAGAAACAAAGTAACTCCATTATTTTATCCCTTGCAACTCTCTCAGAGGGAACCCAAAGGGCTGGCCTGTCCTTCTAGTGCCATAAATTGCAGAGACTTAGCCTTAGCAACATGGCCGGTTAATTGTGCTCGCACAAAACCCAGTATGGATCTGAGGCCGGAACAGTTCTGCTCTGTGTTATTGTTCCCCCACCCTGCAGAACCACAGAGTCACAGCATCTGAGGCTTGGAAGAAATCTTAAAAACCAAACATACAATGATCCTCAGCTTTCACTCTGTCACAACACACAGGAGGGATAATGTAGACAATGATAAGAACCTCCCATGGATGTAGGTCAGGCAAGTTTACTAACTATAAAAATAATATGGTTTCTGGGTATATGCGATTTTAAAATTTTAATTATCTGAGCTATTCCATACCAATCCAATAGTTTCTATTGCTTGTAATCAAGGAACTAATACAGATCCACTTTAATTTATATGATTTTAAAATTAATCAAAAAATGTTCTCTATTAGTAGTAATAAATTACCTGTGATAGCCCATATGAGTGATTATGGACCTAGCAATGTATCAAGAAGCAAAGTTGAAAACTTCTTAACTAATCTAACTCTTCACCTGAGATTTGAGACTTCTTTATATTTCTGCCAAGTAGTTATTCATTGTCCACTTGCGTCACTCCAGTAACAGAGGATCTCACTTTTTCCTGAGAAAACTCTAATTTTTTTTTATTTTTTATTTTTGAGATGGAGTCTCTCCCCTGTTGCCCAGGCTGGAGTGCAGTGGCGCGATCTCAGCTCACTGCAAGCTCTGCCTCCCGGGTTCAAGCAATTCTCCTGCCTCAGCCTCCGGAGTAGCTGGGACTACAGGTGCCCACCACCACACCCGGCTAATTTTTTTTTTTTTGGATTTTTAGTAGAGACGGGGTTTCACCATGTTAGCCAGGATGGTCTTGATCTCCTGACCTCGTGATCTGCCTGCCTTGGCCTCCCAAAGTGCTGGGATTCAGGTGTGAGCCACTGCGCCTGGCCGAAAACTCTAATTATTAATAAGCTCATTCAAGTGGAGTTGAAATTTATTTCTCCATGATTGCTTTTATTGTGTATCCTTAGGTCCTATAGCAAGTATCTGTGAAGAAGTCTTTGCATATGGCAGACATTAGCTCTTTCCCTGTGGTCTTAGCCAAACCTCTGATGATACCACGGGACTTGGTCTATTACTAATTTTTAAAGCGGATTTTGCTTAATGATTTGGGTTGATTAGCTTTCTAGAAGCAGAAGCAAAAAAGAACATTTTGGATCATGTCCAACCAAGAGAAGTGTCTGGAGCTAGTCCACTGGGAGAACTTAGAAGTAAGGAAAGCACAGAGAAGGTGCCCTTTGCCCTCTCTAAATATCACCAAATTCCAGTCTCACTCAAAGGGGCAGTAGATTCTGAGAAAGGAAAGTTATCTCTATGAAAATTTATGCTGATCCTCAGTATGAGGGAAAACAAAATTATTTTCTGGGCACAGCAAGAGTTTATAGGTAGAACAGTAGAGTACTTAAGAAACTGGATTTCAAAAAGAGACTACCTGGGATCAAATCACAGCTCTGCCACTTACTAGTCATGTGATTTGCAGCAAATTCTTTAATCTCTGTAAACATTAGCTTTTTCATCTGTAAATTGGGAATAATTAATAATAGTACCTACGTCATAGGGTTATTTTAATAATTAAATGTGATAAGGCATGCATATGATTATTAACAAGTATTATTTACATTTAAACCTTTACATTCAAATTGAAGAAGGTAGTATTGGTTGATTTTATAGATAAGATAACCCCTATTTTTCAAAAATTAAAAATGTATCCAAATTAAGAATAACACTTATTTAAATGGTTTCCTCCTTCTCTTTTTTTCCCTGGTTGACTGACGTTTGGCAGCAAATGATAGCTTTGCCCATTTCATCTGGGCAGCTCTTTTTAAAAAACTGTTGATAACTTTGGGAATACAGCATTTACACCTAAGGGCTTCTTAATGTTAATGAGCCCTTAGGTGTAAATTGTGATTCGGACGCATGGGACTTTTTTTCTCTGATGCTGCATAGAGAACCTCCAAAATATTTTGAGTCACCTCTTTGGATTAGAAATTCTGTGCAGACATAGCCAACATTGTTGCTGGAGGGAACATATGAAAAGGCCAAAGTGAGAAAAATCACAGCCTGGGGATAAAAGAATAATAAAAAGGAAAAACAATAGAAATCTTTATGAAGAGCATTGAGACCAACATTTGAGCTACCTGCAATGTTTATTATAAACTAGGGGACAATGAAATACATATTCCCTGACAATGTCTTTCAAACTTTAACTGGTGGTGTCTCATTGCTTGATTTAAATGAGGTTAACATTTTGCCATACATTCTACAAGCCAAAGTATTTTATCATAAATTGTTTTCATGTCTTCTTCCTATTTTCTCTTGGGTTGTATGTTAGTCTAATTTATATTAGGTTGTTTTATTGCTATTCTTGTTGTGCTGTTTATTAACCTTATTCTTATTAGTTTGTAAAAACTCTTGACATGTCAAGGAAATTACTCCTTTTAGATTAATACATTTTCATATTTTAAGTAGTAAAAATAATGGCATGACAGTGTCTAAAACAAGACTCAGAGCAATATCAGTATGTCTTTAAGGCCTGGAAAATGATTGTGTATGTGTTTATTTTAGATACTTTATTTGTCATATCAACATGCAGTATCCCCAAATTAGTACTTACAATAATTAAAGTAAAAACAAAAGTTAAGCTTTTATTACTACTGCTGCTTTTTTAAAAAGCACCTCTTTCTTATGAAGTTCTATTAACATAAGTGCTTGATGCATGCATATCACTTTTATTCTGAAGCTTTCTAAAAATTTTATTTGTACATTTTAAACACATGTCAAAATTGAGGAAGAATTTAGTTAAGAATCCCATGTTTTCATTTCCTCTGTTTTTCATTCTAGGTATATAGTATTGAGCAATGATAGCATTTTGCTTAAGGAAACTGACTGCATACAGTTGTTCCCAAGGTATGGTCTTATGCCCTAATACTGTTTGGATATAGCTGACTATAATTTCTTGTTTTTCTTATTTTTATCGGTAATGTCTAGCACTATTTTGAACTTTGAGTGTTCAATAATGCTCCAATAAACTAATGATTAAATTAACTCATTAATGATGATTATTATTATTATTATTTGAGATAGAGTCTTGCTCTGTCACGCAAGCTGGAGTGCAATGGCACCATCTCAGCTCACTGCAACCTCTGCCACCTGGGTTCAAGGGATTCTCCTGCCTCAGCCTCCCGAGTCGCTGGGATTACAGGCACGTGCCACCATGCCCAGCTAATTTTTGTATTTTTAGTAGAGACAGGGTTTCACTATGTTGGCCAGGGTGGTCTCGAACTCCTGACCTCAGGTGATCTACCCGCCTTGGCCTCCCAAAGTGCTGGGATTACAGGCATGAGCCACTGCATCCGGTCATGATTGATTATTAATTAATAATTCAATTATGTTTAACTGCATTGTTAATATTAATCATAGTAGCAATAGTCACAGAAGTAGTAGTTAGAATTGTTATTTTTAACATTTTTTCTGTATAATATTTTTTAAAAAGAAGATGTAATCAGTTTCCTAATCTGTAAAATAGAAACACTAATGTGAGTGATAAAATAGAAACACTAATATGACTAATAAAGACACACTAATGTCTATTTATGGGATTTTTAAAATCATCCCCAGACTTCCCACTTTAAATGCTCCATCCTTTGCCATTAAATGCAATTCTTGAGCTTCCTTTAGAAACAACAGTAGTGGTGCTCTATGGAATGTAAAAAGAATCCTCCAGCATCCCTTAGCTAATGACCAACACAATTCATATATAAGGGAAGGAACAAAACTAGAGAAATCTAATTTATCGGAACACATCTTAGGAAACAAGAAGAAGATAAACCTCTCCCTGGGAACTCACATGCTCTGTACAGGGCCTAGTGTGGGTTCACAGGGAGTTTTTGTTTTATGGGCAGATTTCTGGGGAACAAGGTTTTGTTGGAATGGGGAGCCCTACTCTGAAACTGTAGCCACATAGAGCCATTGGCCTGTTGCAGTAATATTTTGGGGTCCTGTCTATTTAACTGCCAGTAAAACACTTCCAAAGGTAGGAAATGCTAAAAATAATATAAGCAAATATAACCAACCTCACTGGGTTGGGTGGAAGCTTTGAAAGTACTAATGTGATGTGGAATTGAGCCCTTAGATGGAGAAAAGAAATTAATTTTCTCTATGAAGCCTGGTTTACTACATCCACCTCTTGGTTTCTGACACTGGTTGTGCACAAAGGGAAGAGCACTTGGTCAGTAGCATAACCATCCTCTGGCCTCAGTGACCTTCATCTGTTCCATGAAACCACAGCCTTGAGGGTCCTCTTACCATGGCCCATAGTCTGTAATTATTCTACCCTGCAAGTGCAGGGTCCAAGATTTTAGGGTTAAAAGTAAACAGATCCTTTATAAACAAGTTAGGCTGTTATGATGCATATATTTTTGTGTGGAGTCCTGGATTTTCCACCACAAAATCGTTAACCGTCTCACTCTTCCAGTTGCCTCCACCTCCTACCACATACCCATTTCCCACGCATTTTTAGGTTGCTTTAAAATGGAGACAAACCAGTGTGGAAGTATAAAATACAGATTGCTAGACCAAATCTTGCCCCTTAGGATTTTAGAGTTGGTTAGGTCCTCAGGGATTTGCTAGTCCAATTTCCCCCTCCCCTCCCTTCCCCTCCCCTCCTTTCTCCTTCCTTCCCCTCTCCTCAGAACCTTGGAAGCCTCCTGTGTCCACACATATGGCAGGCCAGAAATGCCTGGGGAATTACGTCCTTATCCTCCAGCAGCTCTTAGCCAATGATCAACGTAATTCATATGTAAGTACCCTGGTTTCCTCACCATCAGCCCCCACAATTGCTTGTTTAATAATTTGGAGGCATATGTTCCACACTGGCTCCCAGAATTCCCAACAGATGAAGTGCTCTTGCACCTTGCACATACTTCCACTGCTTTTTCCAGCACAGGGGTTCCTAAAGATTTGTTAGCTGTGTCCTCTACCAGGTGTTAGGTTTGTCAAGATCATTGTCAATGGCTTTGCAACTTTGCCTTCTCAGACCTTAGCACAATCTTAACATATAGTAAGAGGCAGTACGTGTTTGTGGCAATGAATTAAATGGACTTTGCAAGGTTTCCTAGCTGGCTGTTGTCTTTGTAGAATAGCTTCATCCACCCTTTCTGTGGTGGGGGTCTGCTGCTTATGCCCACACAGAACGCATTCTACCTTTTCCAGTCTCAGCCCCTGTGGGGAGGGTAGGCTAACCATTGACTTACCTTCGAATGAATGCATTTCTTACCTTGGACTATAGTCATTTGTTCAAGGATCCAAACTGGGCTATTGAGATGATTGATATGAGGACCTTTGATGAAAATACTGGAAAAAAGACTTATTCTTTCCCTCTCCTTCTTACTTTCTTTTTTCCTCCCTCCCTTCTTTCCTTCCTTCCACTATCATTGGAGTTATTGAATTTGTAGGAATATAAACGTAGAGCTTCTTGATGAACATCTGACTACTCAAAGAAGAAAGCCTGCTTAAAGTAAAATCATCAGAGAGAAAGGAAGAGTGAATATTCGGAGAGATACAGAGACAGAGAAGCTAAAGACACTGCCTTTGTCTGTTTTTGCTTTTATAACAAAATACCTGAGCCTGGCTAATTTCTAAACAATAGGAATTTATTTCTTACCCTTCCAAAGTCCAGGATATCCAAGACAAAGGTGCCAGAAGATTTGGTGTTTGGTGAGGGCCTGCTGTCCATCCATGGGGTCTCCTCATGGTGGCATCCTCACATGGCAAAAGGGCAAAAAGGAGACAAAATCTATGTACCTTCATGGCCAAAGAACAGAAGAGTAAAAAAGGTCTAAGCTAGTTGCCTCTGGCCCTTTGATAAGGCACTAAACCATTCATGAGAGCGGGGCCATCATGATGCCCTACCTCTTAATAGCACAATGCAGATTACATTTCAATACATGGATTTTGGGGGACACATTCAGATCATAGCAGACACTATTTTAGTTTTTGCATACAGCTATGCCTGAAGAACTTGAACTTTCCAACTATGTGAGCCAATATATTACTAATTTTTCTTATGTCATTTGAGTTTCTAAGATCCATAGTATAAACTGTTTAATTACCCACCGTGGACCAGACAGTGGCCAGGTATGGAGGATTCAGGGATACGTGGCATACTGTCACCCTCCATGGAGAATCTGCTTATTAATGGGTGATCTGAGAAGCAAGCCTACAGCACTGTGCTCCTAATACTCCCAGCTTCCTGCTCTGGAGCCACCATGCTTCTTGTTTTCTAGGCTTTCAGAAGACACAAAAAAGCTGGGTTATTTTCTTTTCAATTTCCTCAGTCATACACAACTCCTTTCTAGTCCTTTTTTAAGAGGCCAGCATATCCTGGTTGTTTGTTCCATATGACGAATGTCCCCATTGCTTATTAACCTCCAAAATAGGCAGCCCCCACCATTAGGGCTTATGGTCTGTATGAGACAACATAAAAACAAGACACATTCTCCCCCATGCACATTTCAAATGAAATGTAACAGAAGAGAAATAAATAAAAATGGAAAAAAATGCCTTAAATGGTTTGTGTTGGAAAATGTTATATGGGCAATAATGGTGCTTATATGGGCTTTGGGCAGAGACTTTGATAATGAAGGTTAAATGAGGGAATGTTACAAAAAATGTTCACTGTTCATAAAAATAAATCTCTGGTATGAACCAGAATGAAATAAACAGAGTTGCAGGCGCCAGGAGCAGCTGGGGTGACCTCAGCCTCAGGTTGGTAATAGCCAGCCTCGCTGGAACCACACACTCTCACCTCAGCAGGATCCACTTAGCTCTCCATCACAGGGACATTGAGTCCCACGGCCCTGGCCCTCGTGTGGCTCTTCTGCTTTCTTACTGGAAAACAAAACCTTGTTGTTTCCAGGCATTTTCTGTCCCTGGGTCCTGGCTGAGTTTCCAGGGACCCTGCTTTTCTAGGTTAAAGATCAGACTAGGGGCTTCAAATGCAAATGTCGATGGGGGCAGACAGGTTGTGAATGGGTGAAGTGGACACAGAGGGATGGTGGATAATTGGAGAAGATGTGCCCCAGCTGAAAGTGTCACCACTACTCAACTGTAGCTGGCTGTGGGAATACTAGCCCGGCGGGGCCAAATCTTTCTATTTGTCAAGGTTAAGCTAGAAATCTTATTTTATTGAAATTTTATGAAATTTAAGTGTTGGCAAAAAATCAATTTCTGTTAAAAATATATGTTATACATATATTATATGTCGTATACACATATATAGCATGGGGAGGGTGCAAAAGAACACGTTTATGAGACAGAATTGGCTTAGTAGCAGCCAGTTTGCCATCTCGTTAGGCGAATGCTGAGACTGTAATTACTATTGTTCACTTTCATTGATTTTTGCTATAAGCTCTCAGATAAAGTCCTCCAGGATGCACAGTTCTTAGAATATTAGAAATCGCCATTTATTAACATGTACTATGTGCTATGCATTTTATTAGGCTTTACATGAATTATTTCATTACCTCCTCCCTTCATCTCTAAAAGGGAAACACTAATGTTTTACCCTTTTACAGATGGAGAAACTGAGGTTTTGAGACATGAAGTAATTCAACCAAGGTCATTGTATAGGACATCTTTTGCACAGCACCTCACATCTTCTTGGCCTTGCCACTTTCTCTGGCTTCCTTTGGTTGCATGAGGATATTGATATACCCCGGGGCTGTGGGCAGGAGCTGGTAAAGGCCATTGTTGCTGGCCGATGAATGCAACACACATTCCAGAAGGCTCCTCGGAAGCTCCTGTATGAGGTAACCAATTGCCTGCAGCAGTTCAGGCTTCCTTGCATTGCTTTTTCCTCCTTCCCTCTTCACTTTCCCGCCCCTTATTCCAGGGATCACATTCCTTAATAAGCCTCCACACACATCTTTATCTCAGGCCCTGCTCTTGGGAAACCCAGGTTAAGACAATGAGTGGCAAAGTTGGAATTTAAATCTAAGTTTGGCTGGTCTCTAAGTGAATACTTTATCAAACCAGTCACTAAAGTATCTATGTGATCCCATTATCAGGCTCTTTCCAGTCTGATTGGTCCTGAAGTAAAGCTGTATAGACTGCAAAAAAGGCTCTAAAAGGATTCTTAAATCAGCAACAAAGGAGGATGGTACCATGGGGTAGGTGGTGCCCAGAAATCTGTTCAAATGAAGAGGGGAAAAGGGTGCAATGTAATTTTAGTTCATTATGCATTTTATTTTTCGGCACATCTCCTACATGCCTGGCAATGGGCCAAGTACTAAGGAAGCCACCTGGAACTATGGGAATGAAAACAGAGCCTAAAGACCAATTTCCAGACATCGTCAGTAACTTTAGACCAGGGTGTCAATCTCAAATGCCCACAGGGACCAGGTGAGAACCTTACTTTAAACCAAACACAAATGCATAGTCTTTATTCCCACACAGAATTAGGCTTATGGTTTCCTCTCCTTTTTCTTTAAATACATGCCTATCCTAATCTGCCATTCACTTTCCCACATTAGATAGAGATGTTGATATAAAAAAATACCTTGATCTCCTTTTAACTCTAAGGAAAACAGCCACATAAGGGTAGTGACAAATGCCAATGGATCCTGTGTTTCTGTTTGGGGAAACACCGTGGAGGCTGGGAAGTGGGAATCCCAGTTCTTTTCCCAGCTACAACTTGGCTCCAGGTGACTGTGGCTGTACAGAAATTAGACTCTGTGATGTCAGTCAGCTCTCTTCATCTTTCAAGAGAACTCAGAAACCTAGAAAAGTTTGTGAAAGCTCTACATTTTTAAATGTTAAAAATGAATTAAAATTTCTTAAAAACTGTAGGCAAACCCAGGCATAATGGCTCACGCCTGTAATCCCAGCACTTTGGGAGGCCGAGACGGGTGGATTACCTGAGGTCAGGAGTTTGAGACCAGTCTGGCCAACATGGAGAAACCCTGTCTCTACTAAAAATACAAAAAATTAGCCAGGCGTAGGGGCAGGCATCTGTAATCCCAGCTACTTGGAAGGCTGAGGCAGGAGAATCACTGGAACCTGGGAGGCAGAGGTTGCAGTGAGCCAAGATTGTGCCATTGCACTCCAGCCTGGGCAACAAGAGTCAAACCGTGTCTCAAATAAAACAACAACAACAACAAAATCAGTAGGCAAATCAAGGCTGGCAGAGCAAACAGAATCCATCCACAGGGTGCATTGACACCCAGGCCACCGATTTGCTCTCCGGATTGTAGGATCAGCCTTTTTCTCCTCCAAAGTCCTTGAATCACACCAGGTTCTCCTGTGTCAGGGGCAAGACTTGGGGAAACAGCACCTGGGGTATCACTGAATTTGTTCCTGAGGATTCTCTCCTTCCTCCAGTTTGTTTCTAGGGGAAGTAGGTTAAGGCATGTGTGTGTGTTTGAGTGTGAGTATGTGCATGTTTACTAAGAGCTCAAAGATAGAACCTAATCTAACAGAAACAAGCAAATTGTACATTGACTTTCTTCAGAAGCTGTGAAGGGGCCAAGGAAAACAAATGAATTACTCAAACAGCTGACTTTTCCTAATGGCTGGCAGTATTTGAACATGGTAGGTAGAGTTTTTTTTTTTTTTTTTTAATCTTAAACCAGCAAGAAGAGGGTATATGGCTTTCATTTTTTTTCTTTCTGTGAAACTATTGTGCCCTCGACCAGATTTCTATTGGCCTTGCTGATTAGTTGGCTATTTGAGTAGTTCATTGTCTCAGCCTTTAGTACGAGCCCCTCCTAAATGGGACTCACTATGTCGTAACTGTATAAAATATTCATTAAGATGGTGCTTTTAATGGATTTGTTTGGAATGAACTCAAGCAGAAGGAGCCATGTGCTGATCCATAGAGCCTTCAGGATGTTTCAGGGCTATGTCTGCTCCAAACCTCTCTACTTGCTTTCTTTCCCTGTAGGCTCTCATCTGAGACGTGGGATTGAAAATGTACTGATTGGGGAAAATAGGAGGTTGTTTAGGGCCAGAAATTGTTCTCTTTTTGCAAGTGTATGCTCCCATTTGATGTTTTTCACCTAGTGTTCAATGGAGGCGAGTGATGACTTTTTCTGAATTACACTACAGTGCTTTTGCCGTGTGGAATGGCCCAGAGTGTGAGTGCTCAAGCTCCAGAATTAGACAAATTTTGTTTTCAATCTCAGCTCAGCCACCTACTTGTTGTGCAACTCTCAGGCAAGTATCTTGACATCTCTGAGCCTCAGTTTCCTCATCTTGCAACCTAGAGCAATGCTAGTACTTACTTCACAGGATATTTGTGAAGATTGAATGGACTAGTTTGCCAAATATCTAGCCTAGTGCCTGGGACATATTAAAAGCTCATTAGCCCTAGCCATTATTCTCTAAGTGGTAGATAACCAACTTCCACCCCATGTATAGGTCTTTTTAAATGAATGGAGTTTTCTGCTCAACAAATGCCATTTGATTCTTATCCCATCTCAACCCCAATAACAGAGCAGGTTTAACCAAGTATCCTCAAACAAATGGGAGATTGTGGATCAGAGAGATTAAGCGAGGTGATCAAGATTGTTCTGCAAGTTAGTGATGGGGCCTGGGAATAGAAAGAAATATTTTGACTCCTTTCTCAGCATTAGGTCCAATCCTTTGTGTCAGATTGGCCTTTTCTTTTCTCTTCATTATTTTTTTATAACCAGAGGATATCTGAATCCAAAATCATTACATCCTAACCTCTACCATTTAATTTCTATCTGTGCAGCTCCAACTTTTTAGTCTAGGCCAGTCACCTTCTCTCCAACCTTTTGAAACATGGTGACAGAAATAAATCATAATAAAGAGTCCTCCCTATCTTAACTCCATCAGCCTCTGCACCTGGAGCCTCCAGGCCCAGCTGGAGCATGCAGTAAGCATGTTCTTGTTTCAGCCCACCCCCTTCCGTTGCTCCCTTGTTCTGAACACTCAGTATCTATTAGGGACCTGTAACCCATATGGAGAGTGACTTTGGGCAAACTGCTTCACTTTTTGGGTCTTTGTCTCTCCATCCTTAAAGTGGAAAAGATCATTAAATTATTAATAAGGGAATAATACTTCCCTATAAAGGTATGGAAGAAATGTAACAATGATCAACTTTGCCTATTGTCCTCTGAGGCTGGGTGGGGCTAGGGTTTTATTTTTATAATCTCTAAATTGAAGTCACAAACAATTATCATAAAATTTCTGGAATAGGGGCTGGGGTTTTATTTTTATAATCTCTAAATTGAAGTCACAAACAATTATCATAAAATTTCTGGAATAATGAAACAACTGCTTCCAGGGGCAGAGCTTATGAAGGGGTAGGGATGGAGCCACCATGTGGGAATGGGCCGGAGACGGCCTCAAATAGATTCTTCCTTGGTGCCTTCATCCTGGGAGGGAAAATATGCTCATCAAGATGCTAATTTACCAGGGATTACCAACAGCACTCTTTGTAACCAGGTAAACAAGGCCAGTTTTTTTTTTTTTTCTTTTCACTCTTAAAACAAAAATCTATCAAGATTTAATCACATTGCTTTATCTCCATGACCAAACCCTTCATGTGTGCATGAGAACATTTCACTTTGTCTCCAGGCCCTAAAGCATGTGCCTGATGGGAGCTGTGGTCCCTTTAGGGTTTTTTCTTGAGTGGAAGAAGCAAAGATTGCTTTTTGTTCCCCTTTGACTCTCTTCGGAATTAACATGAAATTGGAGATGACTGTAGCTCCTCGTATGGGGTGGTTTTTGCATTAAATCCTGGGGTCCATTTTACAATCCATTATTTTTGACCACTGCTGTGTGTTCAAGTAGTATGAGAATGTGATTGTTTTTATCTGGTTACATATACATTTCTTTGTCTAATTTAATATGTCAAATAAATGAGTTCATCTAATAAAAAAAAAAAAAAAAAGAAAGAGAGAAAGAAAGAACAATGGGAGGGGAGCCAGTTTGAAGAATATGTCTTAGAACCCGAGGGAAGCTTTGTTTTCATCAAGCTGATAGTTCCCTTCCAGGCCATCAGCAAAATGAAAATGCCTCACCCAACCAAATTTAAATCCTTTCATCTAGGTCTCTTAAACCCTTCTCTGGGGAGTGGGCTTTGGAGTGTGAATTCTTCCAAGCTGATTATCTCTGCATAAGAACAGATGCCACCCCCCTACCCCTCCCTCCCCTTGGTCCTCTTTCCATTTTAACAGCCCTTACTGGGCTTCACGACCAAATTGATGCCAGCATAAGCGTGGCTGCCTCTGAATGTGTAATTGAGAAGCAGCGTGGACACTGATGTCTCAGTATTAATTAATGGAATTTGATGTTTATTGCTGTCATGTCAACCAATCATTTTTTGCAGAAAATTAATTAAACCTTGAGTAGGCATTTGGAAGCTCCCTACACAAGGCCTAGGGCTGACTGGGAGCCTTTGGGACTAGAGAAGGGAACTGCATCTACAGTTTAAGCCGTCCCTGAGCCTTGTCTAAAACTTCAGACTTAGATTCCAATACTGAGAGAGTGGAGAGGAATATGCGGAAGGGGACGTTGGTACCTTTCACTCTTCATCACCCCTCACTTTTGCTATTGGATTATCCTTCTCACTTCTTTCCACAGACTGTCCCCTGCTACGTGCCAAGTAAATCCATCCATTCTCCTGCAAAGATGAAGTGTGAAATACACAGTGGAAAAATAACTCCATGAAAATATTCTTGGTAGGGCTCTTTTGAATGCAGTCACCAGATGGGTTATATCAGACAGGAAGGCTGAAATGCAACGTTCTGCTCTTCTAAAATGTCCCACATTTGCATTTTGGATCCTTGCTTCTTTTCCTCTTCCTTCCTCCATCACTTTTTCTTACTCTTCTCTATTTTCCCTCCTGGAGAAACACAAATCATATTTCAAATTTTTTGAATAACATTGTTTTCTGATTATGAACTGAAATGTTATGCATTGATTGTAAGAAAATCAATTAAAAAACAGAAATATATGGTGAGAGCGCCAATTTGGGAATAATAGCTCATGTTTGAGTGTTTACCCTGTGACAAGCTCTGTGCTAAGTGCTCACCTTTTTGCACTGACTGTTCCTGCTACGTACAGGGTAAATCCACCCATTTTCTCACATGATCTTACTTAATCCTTTTAACAGCCATATGAGGTAGGTACTGTTAGTAACTGTGTTTCATAGGTGAGAAAGTTGAAGCTGAGAGAGATTCAGTAGCTTGCCCAATGTTGCACACCTTGGTAAGCAGTAGCACAGACTTTGATTCCAGGCGCTCTGATTCCAGAGTTTACATTCTTATCCAGAATGCTCTACTGACCTGTGCTGGGCTATGCTAACCACAGTCTAGGAACACACATCAGGAAAGAAGGTACCAACTGGAGAGGTCTCTGATCATTCGGAGCTGTTCTCTGGGGACATCTACTATGGGGAACATACCACTCTCCACACTCCAGCTCAGCTCTCTTCCCCATAAGCTCAGAAGCCTGGTTTTTACAGGGATAGGTTAACATTAACAGGGTCCACAGAAACTGCTGTGGTACCAAGAATGTTAAGCTTGTTAATTTACTAAGAACAAGGCCACAGTCTGGAAGGACTTGCACTGGCCTGTCAGTGCATCATCACCCTGCAGCAAAGCTACATGGGAGCTAACAAACAACTGCTTTCCAGAACTTGGTGCCTGGACTCAGTGCATGGGGAGTCATGCAGCTAACTCTCAGCTATCTTTTTAGCATCCCTCTTCCTCTCCACCACTGCCCTCATTCCAGGAGTAATGGAAACCCTAATATCCCCACATAAACCAAGGCCATTTCTCCCCTTTATCTACAGTCCCAAGAGTGACCACCCGCCTGCCCCCATTCCAATGGCATACTATTTGTATAGATTTCTTACTACATTTAATCTGACTATAGTCAAGTCTTGTTGGTCTGGGAGCCATTCTGCCTTCTGAGGATGGCTTTGTATATCTCGGCCCAGGTCTGTTAACTTGAATTAAAGTTTACTTCTGTAAGGGCAATTTTTAAAAACATCATTGAAGTATACTTTATATATAAAAATAAATCATTTGAAATGTGCAATTAAGTGATTTCTAAGACTTTTGGTGGGTTGTGCAATCATGGTCATAATACTTGCAGTGCTCCAGTGAGATCCATCATGCCCATTCACACTCTGTTCCCAACCCCGTTTCATATAAATAAAATCCTACAATATACCTGGCTTCTTTCACTTAGCATAATGTTTTGGAAATTTATCCATGTTGTAGCATGTATCATTATGCATTACTTTTTATTGCTGAATAGTATTCCATTGTATGGGTATGTCATATTTCATTTATCTATTCATCTGTTGATGGACATTCAAATCGTTTCTGTTTTTGGCTGTTATGAATAATGCTGCTGTGAACATTCACGTGAAGGCCTTGTGTTATCATAGGTTTCCATTTCTCTTGGGCAGATACCTAGAAGTGGAATTGCTGGATCATGTGGTGTATTTCTGTTTCATTCTTTAAGAACTGTCCAAAATGTTTTTCAGTGTGGATACAAGTCCCTTAACAAATGTATGATTTGCAAAATTTTCTCACTTTCTGTGGGTTATCTTTTCCTTTCCTTGGGAATGTACCTTGAAGCATAAAATCTTATAATGTTGATGAAGTCCTTCTCATCTAATGTTTTTCTCGTTTTGCTTGTGTTTTTAGTGCGATATCTAAGGAAATATTGCCGAGCTCAAGGTCATGGAGATTGTATACCTGTGTTTTCTTCTAAGAGTTTTATAGTTCCATATTCAGGCCTTATAGTTCATTTTGAATTAATTTTTATATGTTGTTTGCAGCAGAAGTCCAACTCAATTTTTTTGCGTGTTTTATTTGTTCAGATTCTTTGTGGCCTCTTTGTGTAACTTTCCTTCCCTCTGGGTAGAGAGTAGGACACCTGCTTTAGAAAGGTCTTATCAGCTACTTTCAGGGGTGACCCAGACAGTAATTTTTGTAGGTTTTATCACTTGATTTGGGGGAGAAAGAGGAATGGGAGGCAGGAAAGTGGAAGAAGGTGAGATCTTCTTGCTTTTGAGGCTCTCCTATCTCCTTCAGTTAAAAAGTACTCGCAAGCCAAGGCACCATACTTTGGGGTATTGCGTTCTGAGCCCTAACAAATCTGCAGATCAATTTTGGAAATACTGCCATTTTAACAATATCAGACCTTCCAAACCATAAACATGGATATCTTTCCATTTAGTTTGTTCTCAAATTTATTTCAATAATAGTTTATAGTTCACAGTGTACAAATCTTGCACTTCTTTGGTTCAATTTATCTATAAGCATTTTATTCTTTTTGATACTATGTAAGCAGAGTTATTTTATTAATTTTATTTTTGGATTGCTCATTGCTAGTGTATGGAAATTTAACTGACTTTTGTGTATTGATCTTGTGTCATGCAACCTTACTGAACTCATTTATTAACTCTAATAGCTTTTTAGTCGACTTTTTAGGATTTTTCTATGCTCAAGACCATGTCACATGCAAATAGAGGTAGTTTTACATCTTTCTTTCCATTATGCATGACTTTTATTTCTTTTTTTTTTGTCTAATTTCTACGGTTCACACCCCCAGTGTAATGGTGAATAAAAACTGTGAGAGCAGACATTCTTGTCTTGCTTCCAATTTTAAGAGAGAAGCAATCAGCTTACACCACTAAGTATAATTTTAGCTGTAGGTCCTTCACCTTTTCTTAGGTTGTATCTTTACCTGAAATATTTTTTCTACCTTTATATTTCTGTTTTTCAAAATAGTACCCATTAATCAAGGCCAAATACTCAAGTAGATATCATCCCTCCCACCCTAGAATCTCTCTTAACAATTTGCTTATATAATCGCACAGAGCACTAAGTATATTCCGCCTTTTGCTATAGTCATGTGTGGTTATTCTGGTAAGCCATCTCCTATGTATCTAGCAAAGTCTCTTTGAAAGTGGACTGTGTTTGCTTATTTTTACATTCCTAGTACCAAGACAAAGAGTTACAAATAGGAGCTTATGTCTTTTGAGTGAATGGATAAAACTAATTTATAATGAGATGTTGGTGCTTCACAGAAGCCTAATGTGTTGTTTTTCTGGGATATTTAAATTTGAAAGGAAGATCAACTTAAAATGAATTGGTCTTTAAATTATAAAAGTATCATTAGAAAACACAACCCAATTTTTAAAATAAGCAAAAGATTTGAAAGACACTTCACCAGAAAAGATATATGAATGGAAAATAAACACATAAAAAGATACTCAACGTTAGTCATTTAGGGAATTGCATTAAAACTATGATGAGATTCACACCTATTAGGATAGCTAAACAAAACAAAAACAAAAAAGAAACCTGCCAGTATCAAGTGCTGACAAGTATGTAAAACAACTGGAACTCTCATTTATTGCTACTGAAAATGCAAAATGTTACAGTCACTTTGGAAAGTAGATTGGCAGGGTCTCAAAAAATTAAACACAAATTTACCATATGATCCAGAAATCCTATTCCCGGGTATTTACATAAATAAAATAAAAACTTATATACAAAAACCCTGTGCAAAAAGGTTTATAGCAGCTTTAATCGTCATCATCAAAAACTGGAAACAACTCAAATGTCCCTCAATGGTACATAAATTAACAATCGGTGAAACATCCATACAGTGGAATATTACTCATCGGTAAAAAGGAGTAGACTACTGATACACACAAAAGTATGGACAAATTTCAAATGCAATCTCAAATAGCAGGCAGCAAGCTTATAATTAGCTTAAACTAATGGAATATGTTCTCCAAGAATTCTATGCTAGACTGTTTGAACCAACATGAAAGTTTCCTTAATGGCTCTCCTGCTCTCAACTCCTTCAACACATATCATTTGAGCTGTACAATTCAGCATACTCAAATGCATATGCTGAATGAAAGAAGCTATACCCAATGCATGATTACATTTTACATGGCATTATGGAAAAGAGTACATTTATAGGGAACACAGAAGTATCCGTGGCTGCAGGAGTTAGGAGCTGGAGGCTGGTGACATCAAAGGGATAAAATTAGGAACTAGTTTGGGGAGGAAGGAAGTATTCTGTATCTTGATTGCGGTAGTTTTCTTGCCAAATTCTTACACAATGGCATGCATTTGTTAAAATTCATAGAACTATATGCCACAGAGTGAATTTTACTGTAAGCAAACTAAAAAAATTATTAAAACAATAATATAACTAAATGCTTTTTTGGACAGAAGTAGATGTAGAGCCTGAATTTCAGCTTCATAGATTACAGGACAGGTGACCTGAGGTACATGTGGCTCTCTGACCTCTTGCCAAGGAGTTGCAGTGAATGGTGTGCTGTCAGCAGCGAGTGCTAGTGAGTAGTGACTTAACTTTTTAGGACATCAAGGAGAGCTTAGAAGTGCCAGGAAGAAAAGTGGCCAATAAAACAAAAAAACCTTTCAAACTAGAAGTGAGGTCATGGGGTAGCTACTTCAATTGTGTGTTGTTTGAGGAGAAGGCGGCCAACAATAGCTTGCTTCTTGTGAAGAATATGTGGAAGGAAAAAAAATTACATAAAGGATAGGATCAAACGGTTCCTTCCTGAATGATTATCGTCAGCAGCATTATAGATTCCAAAGAGAAGACACCCAGTGGTCCTCATTGAGAATCCAGTGCAAACCTCTTTGTAGAATGCTTGCTCTACAAAAGAAGCTTTCCAGTGATTTAGATGAGGGTGTAAGGGAGGCAGAAAGACATAGATGAATCCCAGCTCTGTCATTTACAAACTCAGAGCCCTTGCAGAAATCACTGTGCCTTTCTGATCTTCAGTTTCTACATCTATAAAGCAGGGTTAACAAGCACCTATCTTTCAGTGTTGAGAGAATTAAATGAGATACTGCACACATAGCACTAGGCTCAATACCTGGAAGATAGAAAACCCTTACTAACTTGTAGTGAACATTACATTGCTGCCAGTTTTCACGAGCATGCATATGTTTATTTTTCTCAAGTTCATTCTTGAATTTAATTTTTTTTTCTTGTCAGTACCTCGTCAGTAGGAGACCATCATGTCTAAGAAGCATCATCTTGCTGCCTAGAGTATATAGAGTGAAATTGAAGAGAAATTTCTTATTCTCAGAAGCACAGAATCTTTTATACTCAATACAGAGAACCTTCAAAAGCAAGAGCTGTGACTTCCTCACTCCAGAACTGGTTAACCTGTTGGGATATTTGGTAGATGAATTCTGCACCACGCGCTCTTCTTTACTATGCACTAGACCAGGAGACAGCAGATGCTCTCCATGCTCTCCTTCCAACACAGAAAACCAATCTCCCAGCACCAGGGGAGACCATAAAAAAGGAAAAAAAAATGCAAATGCCCAACATTGATTAGTTTTGCCAGCTGCTCTTCCTCCAGAATCAACGGACTGGCTACTTTAGCTGTAAAGTCTGTTGGACAGACTCAGGATTTTTTTTTTAAAGAAATGGTATTAAAAAACAAATAATGCTTTCCAGTCCAAACATCAAAAAAGTTGACAAATGGAGGGGGTATTTAATAAAGAAAGAAGGAAAATAACATGCAGCTTTTGGACTGTTTGACTTTGGGGAAGGCCTGTTTCTTTTAAATATGCAGTTGGAAACTCAAATGCACTCAGAGGCCAGACTAGTCCTGTAAATGAAAGAAGCATCATCTGAGTATAAGGCAATAGGGAGTGGTGGTGAGTGTGGACCTAGTTTTCTTCCTCCCACTATTTCGAGTTTATTTGAATACAAAAAATATTTCACTTTTTTTCTAGACTCTGCTGTGGAGGAGAAAATACAGAATGTGTTATGAAAACTGATAACTGTTACAACTTCAAAGACATGGAGCAACCTTGGTCGCCATTTTGGTTGTGTGGTGGACTCAGGAAGCCCATTCACATCTGAGTTGAGCAGCTCTTATGCACCTCCAGCAACTACTATTGTGCAAGAATGTGAGCCCACACTCACCACTACTCCCCATTGTCTTATCCTCAAATACTTCCTCTCTCATTATTTACATGACTAGTCTGACCTCTAAACGCTAAGTATTTAGTTATTCAAGAGACACCCTACATATTGATTTTGATGTGATTTCTAAACTACATCAACACGTGGATGATTTTAATGCTGATGATTCATTCCACTTTGAAAAACAATGGTGTGGGCCAAATACAACATGTTTATATGTTAGTTTCTGCCAGTGACTATCAGTGTGGACCTCTTCTTTGTACCTCAGTTCGATAATTGTTGTATAGTAATGCTTTTTGACAGATGGCAATCCATGATAGAAACAACATAAATTTTGTTAGAAATAATTTCTTATTAATTTCTAAAAGGATTATGAATTAACACTGTGTTGTGAAGTATGGAGTCATTTATTAAAGAATTATTCTAAAAGCAAAGGATGGGAAATAGACCAAATGGCCTTTAATAGCAGATGGTTACATAAAGTATATTACCTCTGATCAATATTATGTAACTATTAAAATATGAAGCAAAAATATGAGGCAGTTGTACAGTGCTAACATGAAACCATGCTATGATACATATGTGTGTGTGTATGTGTGTGTGTTTTACATATACATATTTTTCCATACTGTGAAAAAATCAAAGTGCAGAAAATTGTGCATAGCATGCTACTATTGCATTATATATGTTTGTGTGTGTGTATATATATATGTATATATATATATGTAATTTAACAACAAGTAATATTACAAAAATTCCACTAATTCACAGGACACAAGCAGCCTCTTTCATAAAGGTTGTAGCATAGTGGGAATAGGTTGTCATAACAATAGAGATGATGGACATTTTTTCAGGGAATCTCATGGCTAGAACATGCTTCATCCTCTTTCCATCACCTGCTTCTGAGAGACAATGACATTGGTTTTAATGGGTGGTCACAGACTCCAGTATGAAATGTAAAGTGGTCACAGAAAGTATTAATTTTAACAAACATAACAGGATCCTAATCACAAAGGCACAAGTGAATATTGTGGTAGTTCACATACATAGGATTTACTAGCAGTGGCTTTCCTACCAGACTCTCCATCCCTTTTTATCTATGCCCTCTTCTTTAAAATGTGCTCATCTCCCCAGAGGTGTTTCTGGCCTACCTGTTGTTTAGCCACTTCCCCATTTTGGTCCTGAGTTTGGCTCATTTTTGAGCATGACTTGTGTAAGCTCTTGACTAAGCTGACTGATTTAGTGTTTTCTAACAGATGCTTGAATTTGCCAGAGGTTGTCTGGGCCCTGCTGGGAATATGCACCTCTTGCAAGGAAGAGAATGAGATAATGAATGACCTCTCTTCATTTTCTTTCCCTCAACCTTAATTTATAGCTAGATATGTATGTAGATATAAATATGACTAAAGACTATATATTATATCTATATGAATGTGACAGAAACTATAACAATGATTGTCTCTGGGAATATATGTTCTTTTTATGCCCAATAAGCTGAATATCAGATTGACAAACTGCATTTCTGGTATCACAGATGTGTACATGAAATGAGAGAAGAAGGAGAAATTACCTAGTTTGTGACATTTAAGTCTCTGTCTTAAACAGAAGTAAAATTTCTAATCAGTATGGGAAAGTTAGATAATCTAATAAGTGATACTGAGACATCTGGCTAACCATCTAAAAATTTATATCCCTACCTTACTCCTTCTACCAAAATAAATTTGTGAGTGACAGTCTATAAAACAGTCCCTATGAGTGACAGTCTATAAAGCAGTCTCTATGATTCCCACCTCCTGGTATTCATACCTTTGTGTAATCCTTTTGAGTGTGGGCAGGACCAGATACTTATTTCTAACCACTAGAATGTGGCAAAGATTATAGGTTGTAAGTGATCACATGTATGTGATTACATAAAAGTGTAATGCCTATTTTTCTAGAGTCTCACCTTTCTCTCTCTTTTTTCCTTCCTCCTTTCTTCCTTCTCTCCTTTATTGGTTTTGATAAGGCAAGATGCCATAAATCTTACAGCATCAGAAAATGAATTCAGACAACAAAGTGAGGGAGCTTGGAAGTGGATCCTTCCCCAGTTGAGCCTCTGATGAGAACACAGTCCTGGCCATCACCTTGGTCACAGCCTATGAAACCCTAAGAAGAGGCCCTAGTTAAGCTATGGCCAGAGTCTTGATCAACAGAAACTGTGAGATAATATATGTATGTCAGTTTAAGCTGCTAAGTTTTTGATAACTTGTTATGCAGTAATAGAAAAGTAATGCAAAGCTCCACATGGATTAATGAATTAAATGTAAAAAAAATTAGCAGAAACCATACAAATCACTAAAAGGAAAAGTGATGAAATGCTTTTGTGATCTTGACATACAAAAGAGCTTTCTAAAGAAGAAACAAAACCCAAATGCCATAAAAAAGACTGACAGATTTGACTATCTAAAATTTTTGAAGTTCTGCATGGAAAAAAATACTATAATCAATACTAAATTAGAAAAACATTCGTACCAGATATGGCAGATAAAGGACTAATTGTCTTAATTTTTCAGAGTGCTGGCAAATCAGAAAACAAAATTAGCAACCCAAAAGAAAAACGAGCCAATAATATGAACTAGTCCAAATAAAAGAAGTATTAACAGTATTAACATACAAAAGGATGCTCAGCTTTCCTCACAAAAAAGGTAGAAATTCTCAAAAATGAGATTTTGTTTTTCACTTAGCAGATTTGCAAAGTTATAAAAAACTTGATAATACTGGAAAGACAGCCACTCATATACTATTGTTTGGAATTTAAATTGGTGCAATTTTTTTGGCAATAGAAACCCAAATTTCCAGCATACCTACAATTGCCAGTCTTCTTGTGGGAATCCATCCTACAGTTATGCCCATCTATGTATACAGTGAATTTTGAATAACAAAAACTAAGAAATAATCAAAATGCTAATTGGTAGAAAATCTGTTTAGTAAACTCAGGGATGGCTTACCATGAAAGATATGCAACTGTGAAAAAGAATGCCTTCTGCCCATTTGACTTCTGCCCAAGTCACAAAAAGGAATGATTTACCAGCTCTATTACATCTTAAAAAAATCAACATTCACATAGCATATACAGCTTTGCTTTAATTTTTTCAAAAGGATATATTGGAATAAGAAAAGTGTGTGTGTGTGTGTGTGTGTGTATAACATTGGAAGAGAGAAGTGTGTCTGATTTTGACCTCAGCCTAGGACCATGTCAGTATGGAGAGACAGAGAGAGACATGCATATCCTTATAAGCACATGTTCTAAGAAGTAATGACTGAGATGAAGGATTCAGTAGCTTTTGTGGTCAGGAGCAGAGAGGTCTGGGAACAGGAGATTAGGGAGTTGAGGAGGATTAATCGGATCCTGGAGATGGGGCAGTCAGAGAATCAGTGTGTCCTGCTGGGTCTTGGCTCTAACAAAGCCAAAAATTCCCGAGCGCTCCTGATTCTGGAGCAGAAGCTCTTTGTTTTCTGTGAAATAAACAGTAAACACTGTGCTCGGCACTGGGGTAGGGAAATGAAGAAGCATAAAAAGAGTAAGAATTAGTCTTTATAGTCTAGTGGAAAAAAGCATTAAATTCAAATAAATATTAAATATCAGAATATAGTATAATAATATTTATGTATCCATCAAATTAAAATATCCTGTGATGATCTCCTGGAGTCTAAATCTGTCATCAGGCCTGTGGAGTAAATCTCACTGATATTCTTTCATTGGCTCCTCATAGCTACCTTTTAAGGAAGTCTCATTACTCCTGTTTTACAGATGGGATTCAGAGAGGTGAAATACTATTTTTTAAAGACCTTAGAAAGTGGTCTCAGGATCTGGGTTTGTGTGAGGGAGAGGCGTGGGTGCAGAAGAGTAGAGAAAAATTTGAATTTAGCTATGGAGCCTGGATCTTAGATACCACAACCATTCCAAAAGGGGATTCATCATCTTACCTTAAACATGCTCATTTCCTCATTTCCTGTATGCTCCACCTCAACAAACTTTTTTTTTGTTTTTTTTTTTGGTACCTTCTATGAGCCGAGACCATGGTTCTAAAGGATGAGGATGTGGCGGTGAACGAGATAGACATATTTGTCTTCGCTCATGGAACATTTTAGAAGGGAAGACAGAGAATAAGAGAGTAACAAATACACAAGCAATGCAATTTAAGGTTGGATAAGTGTTTTTTTGTTAGTTTGTTTTTTGTTTTTTGAGATGGAGTCTCACTCTGTCACCCAGGCTGGAGTGCAGTGTCGCAATCTCGGCTTACTGCAACTTCCGCCTCCTGGGTTTAAGCGATTCTCCTGCCTCAGACTCCTGAGTAGCTTGGATTCAGGCGCCCACCACCACGTCGGCTAATTTTTGCATTTTTGGTAGAGAGGGGGTTTCACCATGTTGGCCAGGCTGGTCTTGAACTTCTGACCTCAAGTGATCCACTCACCTCAGCCTCCCAAAGTAAAGCTGAATAAGAGACAGAAATGGATGGTGGGGCTTGGGGTAGTGGTTGGGTATTTTAGTAAGCCTGGACAAAGCCACTCTGAAAGGGAGACGTTTGAACACAGATCTGAATAAACTGAGAGTGAATCATGGGATGATGTGAGACAGAGGAGTACTAAGCAGAGGATGATCAGGGCAAAGGCAGTGAGATGTGAGTTGGGCCTGAGTGCCCGTTATTGAAGGAGCGGCAGGTGCTTCCACATGGCCAGGGCGGGGTGGGTGAGCCCGGGTTCAGGGAATGGAGGCCAAAGGGGTGGGCAGAGGCCTGATTACATAAAGCACTGTGGAGCACAAGGAGATAGATGCTGAGATTTTAGCCCTCAGGAAGCCCTTGGGAAGTTTTCAGCAGAAAAGAGATGCTTTCTGATTTATGTTTAGAAAAGAAGACTTTGTCTGCAGGGGAGAACAGGGATACGCCAGAGTGGCAGTAGGGAGCTCTTAGGAGATGGCTTTGGGAGGTATGGGGGCAGTGAGGTGAAGACCAGTGGCTGTGTACTAGGGGAAGAATGTATAGGATTTTCTAATGGATTGGCTATGCAGAGAAAGGAGGGAGGTGGATGAGTACGAGGTTGACTCAGGTTTTTGGCACAAGCAGGTGGGTGGTGCCAGTCGTAGAGGTGGAGAAAACTAAACCATAATACCTCTCTGCTTAAGCCCTTGCTGGTCTCACACCACCTGCAGACTCCTCTAATTGGCTTACAAGCTCCCACCTGTCCACCGTGACTGAGTCCTGCCTTCCTTTCAGACTCTTCTCCAGCCCCTCGGTTCTCTTCCCTGTGTCTCCAGCTACACCCGTTTCCCCACACACCATGCTGCTTCTTACCTCTGTGCCTGTGCATGCTTCTCAGCCCCCTCATCCTGCATGCCTCAGCTCAGATGCTACTTCCTCCAGGAAACAGTTTCTGATTTTCCAAGTTCAAATAAGCCTTCTCCTCCAATTATGCTTCTCTGATGGGCTGGGTTCTCCTTGAGGGCAGGTACCGTATGTCACTCAATTTTGCATCCCCTGGGCCTAGCACAGTGCCTGGCACATAATAGGCAGTGCAAATAGTGTTTGATAAGTGAATGAACAAATGCATGCTGGTATGTGCACAGTACTGGGTAGTTTCTGGGGTTAAATATTAAATCTGAGTATGTTTTTCAAAAGTATTTAGATGTGCAAAAGGTGAAAGGAAGAGTTAACTAGACACTGTAAGGTGTGCATGTGGTGCTTCTGAATCCTGATCTTTTGCATGCTGAGACCACATCTGGAACCACCAGGGACACTAAATTGCCTCTGTAAAGGCTTTGCTGGAACTAGTGTGAGGGATGCAGGGACGAGGATCTTAGGTATACAAATGAGAGGAGTAAGTGCAGGCAAAGGGTGGATCTGCCCTCCTTTTTGTGTTTCCTTGATAATGTTCAGCCCCAAGGGTCATTCCTCAGTCATCTCCTGGTCTCCCTGTCCCTTTAATTCCGCTTATAGTCCAGACCATGCTCCAAGGTACGTGATTAATGCCCCTTCCACCAACCCCTCTCTGTCGCCTTTAAATGCGGCCACACTACCACTCACCTAACCCTGACAGAAAAAAATACAGTCCTGTCACAGTCTTGTGGCAAGCTAGATCTTCCAGCATTAAATCACCATTAAGGGCCTCTGTGAGTTTGATAGCAGCTTTAGCTGTTGGTTGTTTTTTTTCTCTCCCTTTTTATCCCATTTCAAACTCAGCTAAAGCTTTTCTGCTATCAGCAGTGGGGCTGCTGCAAAGACAAACCATCCACACCCTCTCCTCCACAGGCACACCCACACTCCATAATTAATCTGAGTGGAGAAGTGTGGAGGACTTCCAGGCAAAGCCTTTTCCAGGCAGAGATGCCCTGGGTAGTTGAATATTGGCAGGGGTAGAGAGGGTGATGTGCCTGATCATTAACCCAGTCAGCATCTGCATAGCCATTTGTGAAATGCTTTCACATCAGGTAACTCATTGGATGCTAACAGGAATCTTGTTAAAATAAATATTTATTATGCCCATTTTAAAGATAAAGAAACCAAGGTCCAGAGGCCTGGACTACTTAAGAGAGACCCCAGGTTGGAACACAGGGCCTCTGACTAGGAGACTGGAGATCCTGAGGAACTTTTCATATTGAGAGGGGTTTTTTTCTTTCTCGAGTCTTCTGCACATGTGGCAGGTTCTGAAGTTAGACACACTTGGTTCAAACCTTAGCTCTGCCATTTACTAGGTAGGTGACCCTGAGGAAGTTACTTATTTATCCCTTTACCGGTTTTCTAGTGCCACAATAATATTGCTTAACAAACAACTTCAGCACCTCAGTGGCATACAGCAATAAACATTTATTTTTGCTCAAGAGTCTAGGGGTTGGCTGGGTGGTTCTGCTGAACCTGGCTGGGCTCCCTTATACTTCTGTGGTCAGCTGGTGAGTCAGCTGGGGGCTGGCTGGTTGAAGATGATCCCAGCTAGTATGACTCATCTCTGCTCCGTGAGCCTCCACAATATAGCAGGCTTGCCCAGGCTTTTTACATGCAGCAGCAAAGTTTTAAGAGAGGCAAGAGAAGCATGCAAGCCCTCTCAAGATATAGACTCAGAACTAGCACTGTTCTCAGAGCTCAGAACTGTTGCTTCTATGAAACTGTTTTGTCCAAAGCAATTATGAAACCAGCCTTGATCCAAGAAATGGGAAAATAGGCTCAATCCCTTGATAAGAGGAGCCACAAAGTCACCAAAGAATGTGCCTATGGGGGCTTTTAAATGGGACCATCACTATAACTGATCTCCTAAAAGCCCTGAGCTCTTTTGTTAGCTTGATTTTTAGAAATAGGCGTTAAAATACTACCAGTCATATGGGGACATTGTAGGAATAAAATGAGCAATATATATAAAGTGCTTAGCTTAGTGCCTGGTGCATAGCACATATAACAGTACTCAGGGTGGTAGCTCTTCGATTTGTTATTTTGGACTGCCATTCTAGAATAAGGATCCTCTTTCCTGCCCCAATTATGTGGGACTTTTTTCAGTCTCCTCTTACTTATTTGAAACACTTTTGCCTAGAGGGTAATGCCAGTACATCAAGTTCTTCCCACAATACTCTGCTGTAGATTGAAATTTTCTATGAAATTTACTTGGATGCAATTTCAGGGACTTTAGTTACTAAATGCTATCATGCACTTTATTCTAAAAAGGTGTCACATGTAAGGTGGCCAGCAGGCATGGGCAGTGTGGAGGGAAGCTCTGGCATCTTCTGGATGACATTCCTGTGCTAGTCTTCATGACAGTCAGCTGCCAGAACAATCTGTCCATATGTCTCTTAAGTTCAAACATACCTAGATTTGACCTGTCCATGTTTCCATGGAAGTCACATTGTTGCCCCTCTTAAATGTCTGTGAAGCTGGTTTACTGTCTGAACTCTGACCAGGATAGGAACGTGGTGCTTTGCACTTAGGCACTTCCTTAATATACTTACTCTGGTGAAAGTATTAGCTAATTCTGCTTCCAATTTGGGATTTGAAAATAAAAATAAATAGCAGTTGAGAAATAGCCTTTTGTCCTTCCTCCTTCCAATATAGAACATCTACCATACATGAAATGAATCTTAGAAGACTGAAGGAAATAAGAGCTGAGCCCTGCCCTCAGGGGATCTGTTGTAGGGTAGGTATGAAACTATGACATGATGGCAAATGTGATCAGAAAATGAAGGGTGGGGCATATGAGATTTAGGGAGAACTTAGAGGGGAAAGACTGGGCTTCTATGGGGGTGATTAAGAGAGACTTTGAGCTGTCCCGATGAATAAATAAGAAGGTCCCAATAACTTTTTTCTTATATGAAATTATAAAAGTTTTTATTTAAGAAATTAAGAAAATATAAATAAAAGAAGAAAGTGAGGGTCATATTTTACGGCAGATGGTGTTGGTTGATTATCTAATATCTTTTTTCTCCTTCTTAGAAACTCAGCCTTAATTACATTCAGTGCAACAATGTGCTGCTAAAAGACTACATTACCCAGAACCCTTTGCAGCCAGTTATCAATACATTGGCTGTGTAACTAAATTCTGAGCAATTTAAGTTAAAACATTGTGTGGGACTTCCAGGAAGACTCCGTAAGGGAGATGACTTCACTAGGAAGTTTGGCCCTTTTGCCCTTCTCTAGTTTTCCTTCTTGATGGGACATGAAGGTGATGGCTAAATCTCTAGCAGCCATAGTGGACCAGGAAGTGATTTTGATGATGCCTATATGTATTTAGTCAGAATGGACCAGGTTATGCTATAATAACAAACAGTCCCCTAACCTCAATGATATTCTATTTCTACCTCACCTAAATATCCAATAGACTTCAACAAAGAACCTGTGCTAACTAGAGTCACTCCATCACCCAGGCTGATGGCAGCTTTCTCTCAACATGTGCTTTCAAAATCACAATAGTAGGTGGAAGGATGTATAATGGATTGTGCACTGACTCTTAAAGCTTCTGCTTAGAAGTGATTCATGTTACTTCCCTTTATAGTTCACTTTTCCAAAGCAAGTCACATGACACACCAACATTCAAAGGGGAAGGAAGTGAAGTCCTATCATGTTCCCAAAACGAGGGAAGAAAAAGAGTATTAGTGAACATAAATAATGACTTCCATACTATGTGCTATGATGAAGAGCAGGAAGTTAGAATGCACTTGAATTTCTAATGACTTTGTGACTTGCCATCCCAGACTTCTTCTACTTGAGAGAATAAACCCTCCTGTGTTGAAACCATTGTAATTTGGGGTTTTCCATCTCATGGAGCCAAATCCAACTGTAATGAATTTATTTTTCCCCCATCCTTCTGTCATAACCACAAATATTATTTTGATGAATGTACTGGAAAAGAATGTGTATGAGTCTTGGAGTGCCTGCCCTGCTTTCAGCCCCATTTCAGAGAAGCAGCCTCAGCACTTCCTGACCTCTACAATTCCATGTTCTGTCATGCAATCATGCCACCCTGCACACAACTGATTGGATCAAGGCCAAAAGCACCAGTGTATGGGCTGAGTAGCCCACTGGCCATGAAGTAGCCTGGCCTGAGAGGTTTGTCCAGTGCAGGGGCTCTGTATGAGGTGATGACTAAGTGAGTGAATCAGACCCTCTTACTCATATGTGGAATTTGAGACACATACTGGGAAATTAAAAAAAAAAGCTGAGAGGAAAGCAGAAGCTGAGAGAAGTTGCATTATGTGACTGTAACAATATTGCAATTTTGAATTGTGTGTAGGATGTTGTGTTCTCTGTGAGATCTCCATGTTGGTTCCAAGAACTTCCCTGTTTTTCCTTTCTTCTGCGTGGCCTTATAATAAACTCCTTATATATTAGTCTGTTCTCACACGGCTATAAAGAACTGCCTGAGACTGGGTAATTTATAAAGGAAAGTGATTTAATTGACTCACAGTTACCCATGGCTGGGGAAGCCTCAGGAAACTTACAATCATGGGAGAAGGGGAAGCAAACATGTCCTTCTTCACATGGCAGCAGGAGAGAGAAGTGCAGAGTGAAGTGAGGGAAGTCCCTTATAAAACTATCAGATCTCGTGAGAACTCACTTACTATCATGTGAACAGCATAGGGGAAACTGCCCCCATGATTCAGTTATCTCTACCTGGTCCTGTGCTTGACAACGTTGGGATTACTACAATTCAAGGTGAGATTTGGGTGGGGACACAGAACCAAACCATATCACCCTATGACATGATAAAAAATTAGATCCTAACCAACAGTGTGTATCCTTCTCTCATCTGTTTTTATTTATGTTTTATCGATAGATGATTTTTTATAATGGTACTTACTTTTCTCTTTTACTTAGTAGTATATCATGACAATCATTCCATGCCTTTAAACATTCTTTAAAACAACACAAGAACGGGCATGTAGTATTCTATTGTACAACTGCACCTATGTAATCAATCCCCTAATGTTGGACATTTATGTCGTGTCCCATTTTTGTTTGCATATTTGCTTTTGCTTTTATATACAGCAGCAAAGTCAACATTCTTGAAGCTAAATATTTGCATGTATCCATGATTGTTTTTTTCTTAAAGAGAGAAGGTCTTTTTATGTTCTTTGGGCAGGACTTGAACTTATGGCCTCCAGTGATCCTCCTGCCTCAGCCTCTTGAATAGTTGAAATATTTTTATAGGTAGGAATCTGTTAGGCAGATATTGGTGATAAAGGGGACATTTCAGAGCAAGGATATGGCACAAAAAAGCACAAAGTAGTGAAGTTAGGAGAATATAAAGTTTGTCATCAAATAATCAAATTTTGCTAGTGTTGGGTAGGTATAAGAAGACAGTGGCCAAATTATTGATAGACTTGAAAGCCAAGTTAAGGTATAGCCATTAATAAGGGCTGTTTCTGAATATTTGGAAAGAAAACCTGGAGTATTACAAAGTGAGTCTCTTATCCTCTCCAAGGCTGGTGGTAGTGTTAAACAGAGGATCAGTAGAGGTTAACGTGGCCCATTTCACACTATGTGAGCTATAGAAAACAAATACAAAATCCCTTTGTACTTGGTATTGTGCTTTGTAAAAAAAACAAAAACAAAAACATGCACCCTAGGACTTAAAGTATAATAAAAAAGAAGAAGAAGAAGAAGAAAAAAAAACAGAATACAATGAAAAGTCCTGATACTTAGCAGGTAGAGTGACTGGAAAAATTAATGTATGAAAGCTATGAGAACAACATAATTCCATATGAACCTGTGTATCGCTAACACATACCCCCAAATCTGTAAAAAACACATTGTATTTAACAGAATCTAAGATGCCATCAATTGTAAGATGCACCATTATTTTGTGTGGCAATAAGGAAGAAATATTGTTGCCTATTGCAATTGGAAGATGCCAGAAACAGTAAAATGCACCTTGATTTCAGTGTTGCTGGAAAAAAAAAATACTATGCTTTTAAGGAGACTTTATCAGTGTGGGAAGTCTTATGACAAATAATACTCTAAGTCAGGGGTGTTCAATCTTTTGGCTTCCCTGGGCCACACATAAAATACACTAACATTAACAATAGCTGATAAGGTAAAAAAGGAAAATAGCAAAAAAAAAAAAAAAAATCTCATAATGTTTTAAGAAACTTTATGAATTTCATTGGGCCGCATTCAAAGCCCCCATCCTGGGCCACATGTAGTCCCTGGGGCATTGGTTTGACAAGCTTGCTCTAAGTAGAGATAACTATCATAAATTAATACTACTTCTCCATATTGTGTCCACCTTTAAAAATATTTTTTAAATGTATGTACATTGTTTTATTGAATCCCCCAAAAAGCATAGCCAATACAGAACATAAGCTTCCCATTTTTCAGATGAAGAAACTGATGTTAGGTGATTTAAAGAAATAGACTGTCAGAGCTACCACACCTTTCAAGGTCACCTGAGCCCAGCTCTGCATTTTCTGCTGGTGAGGGTGAGACTTAGCTTAGCTATTAACTGTCATTACACAGCTCTTCTGTGAGAGGTAGGCCTGTGCCTGCTTCTGATCTCACATCCCATTTCCTTTCCCCTTCACTACGAGGTCATCCAGCCAGTTAACAGCAGAGTTTGTATGAAGGATCAAGTGGGCTGACTCCAAATTCAGTGTTTTTTCCAATACCCAAGTGGAAAAACTTTCCTTCTTCAAGGACATCTTAGACTTTAATGTGCACAAGAATCACCTCGGGGCTTGTTAAATGCGGAGTTTTCCCATGCCCTACCCCCAGACACTCTAATTCAACTGGCCTGGGGTTAGACCCAGATACATATTTTTAAAATAAACTCCAGGTGATTATGATAAAGATGGCATATAGAGCACGCTTTAAGAAACGCTGTCCGATTTCAATCTTGAAATCGGCTTTGTCCCCTTTTCAAGAGGGCCTGCTCTTTGAAAAGCAGCTTCAGCCCCGCCTTGTTGTAATCCCTTATCAGTTCTATGTGTTTTGCAAATTGCATTTGCTCTTCATTTATGGACAAACCAGGTCAGCACTGCCAGGCCAATAAGAGCTGGATTTTCCCTAGCCTCATGCATCAGTGACATATTTGCCAATCTTGGCCCAGTTCCGACATCCCTGCAATCGGCAATGGTTGATGAGGATGCAGGATACACATGACTCGATTTGCAGAGAGCCGGCTAAGCTTTCAGGGAAGTCAATAAGAAAAATCTCATTTTGATCTGCAGATTGGACTCATTTGATTTGGAAGTCACTGGTGGCAAAAGAAATATGGGTCCAAGGATGTCTCTTCAAGTCCCTCTGTGGCTGTAATCACTCCTAAGAAGCAGTTTTCTCCACCTATCTCCTCCTCCCCTTCTCTGTTCACAAATTCAATGTGTCAGCTGATGGAAAGAGGAGAAAAAAAGTGATAATCACTCTCAGGCTCTCTGATGATTCCTCTATCTCACTCTCCACAGACTATGAAGGGTCAAAACAGCACCACAAACCATTCACCAAAATTATTTGCTACATGGCTCCTAGGAAACCAGTCTTGCCTCTGTGACTTCTCACCCAGGCCTGTGACTTTCAGCTTGAAGAGGTCAAAGGGGAAAAAATAAATACATCATTATGCCTTGTGAAGTAACTCTTGGGTCTGAGTGCTTCATGGGCTCATGTGCATGTCAAGATGTTTAAATCTCTTCCGAAATATCTCTTGACTCCATCGAGATCTATTTATTCTCCCTGCCATTAACCAAATGTTTTCTATAGAATTATTCAGTATCCTCCTTCCCAGTTTCCCTGCTTCTCACATTTTCCGTTCAGATCCATTATCTTCATAGCAGCCTGGTGATCATTGCATCTCATCCCTTGTTATCACCCATTTGTGGCTTTGCGTCATCCTAACGATAAAGTCTAAACCTATTTGGTCCAATGCAATAGCCACATGTGAGGCTGCCAAGCACTCAAGATGTGATGATTCGGAACACAGATAAGCTTAAATGTAAACATCAGATTTCAAAGATTTAGTAAAAAAAAAGTTGTAAAATATCTTATTGATAATTTTGTATTGATTACATATTAAAATAATATTTTAGATAATTGGGTTAACTGGAATATATTATTAATATTAGCTTCAGTTGTTTCATTGTACTTTTAAAATATGGCTACTAGAAGATTTAAAATGACACACGTGGCTCACATTGTATACCTATTGGACAGCACCCATCTAAACTTTGACATGGCTTGCCTTCATCCCACTCCACGCCCTCTTGCAGCCTCCATTTTGACCATATGAATTTCTTTTAACCTGTTGAACTAATCAGTTACCCTCCTGTTTCTGGGCCTTTGGTAGGCAATTGTTTCCTCCCATCACCCTCTTTCACTAACTCTTACTCATATTTCAGTATGTCTTCTCGAGGTCACTTTTCAGATGTTGTATTAGTCAGGGTTCTCTAGAGGGACAGAACTAATAGGATAGATGTATATATAAAGGGGAATTTATTAAGGAGCACTGACTCACACAATCACAAGGTGAGGTCCCACAATAGGCCATCTGCAAGCTGAGGAGCAAGGAAGCCAGTCTGAGTCCCCAAACCTCAAAAGTAGGGAGGCTGATAGTGCAGCCTTCAGTCTGTGGTCAAAGGTCCAAGAGTCCCAAAGCTGAAGAACTTGGAGTTCGATGTTCGAGGGCATAAAGCATCCATCATGACAGAAAGATGTAGGCAGGGAGACTAAGCCTGTCTAGTTTTTTCACCTTCGTCTGCCTGCTTTTATCCTGGCTGTGCTGGCAGCTGATTAGATTATGCCTAGCCAGATTGATGGTGGATCTATCTTTCACAGTCCACTGACTCAAACGTTAATCTCCTTTGGCAACACCCTCACAGACACACCCAGGAACAACAATTTGCATCCCTCAATCCAATGAAGTTGATGCTCAGTATTAACCATCACAGATATTATTGGTGCCAAGATGTTCCTTGACTCCCTGAGTCTGGCCTAGCTGCCCCTCCTTTGGTTTCAGTGGAATCTCTATAATTTCTCCTCTGTGGAATACTTCCACACTACTTTAGATTTGCTTTTTAAAATCTTATCTGTCTATTCCACTAAATTGTAAGCTCCCCTATGGCAAGGAGTACGTCTGTCTTGTGCACCTTGGTGCCCCAGAGTAGAAACTCAATAAACATTTGAAAGTGAATCGAGGCATCTCATTAAATAGGCAAGGAAACTGAGGTCTAGAACAGGGAGACTTTTTAACTAAGGTCACATAGTGAGTTCATAGCAAACCACCTCAGGCCAGTGCCATCCAGCAGGGTCACAAATTTCTTTCTTTGAATAATGTTTGACATTGGGAGAATCTTTAAAGATGCAGTGGACAGAGATTTGTGCTGGCCGGTTTAGTCTTACCGAACAAGGTGAAGATAGGGCTAGCTATTTGATGCAGAAGCAACTGGGATACCATGCCTGGCCTACACTGGGTCATTCTCCAGCTTGACTCTGACTCAAATACTTTACTTCTGGCACTGTCATGTTGGGGTGAAATGTGGACAGAGGAAGGAAGTGACAAGTCCCTGGAGACCTAAGCTATATATAGGGGGAGCAGATCTATAGGACAAGCTGACTCAGAGCTTTGGTGTGCTACAGGGAAATTGTCCATGTGGATTACAAACCAGAGGTCATTTCCTGAGATACTAGCCCAGTCATTCCTCACATTGACGTGTTTCTGAACAGAACCAAACACAAAGAGCAATTTTTAGCATGAAACCTCTAGGGCTCTGGTATCATCCTTGGCCATACTTGCACCTGGAAGAAAATCCTTTCTGGTCCTAGCAGTATGTAACCTAGTACATCTGCAAAATATTCCATGTCATAGGTCCTTTTGGAAAAAGTGATATAAGGAGAAATCTGTTTTTGTAAGATTCTCTACTGTAATTGTGTCTAACTTTTTTTCTAATTAAATGACATCAGCTCAATGCAGGATAACTGGCAAACAGAAAAGCACAACTAAGGAATATTTTCCCCATAATTCCACCACCCAAAATAATCTCACTATTTATACTGCCTGTGTCTTTTTAATATTCTTCATGTTTATTCACTTGTATAGTTGTATAAAAGTAGAATACTAATACCATTTAATAGTACTGTCCCTTACATATGTTATAACTATTATAAACAACTTCCTGTGTCAATGAGTACTCTATAGTCCTATGATTTTTATTGCCTACTTAATATTCCAATATATTTAAGCCCTCTCAACAATCATTCGTTATTGAACGTTTAAATTGTTTCTAATTTTTTAGTATTATAAATCACTCTACAGGGAATCCCCTTACACATATATCTCTGGTTATTTCCAAAGGATAATTTGAAAAGTGAAATTGCTGACTGAAGATAATGCAAGATAAGGCACAATTTTAAGGATTTTGGTATCTATGTCTAATTAGTCTCCTAAGAGTTTTAACACAGACTGATTTCAAAGTTCCCAAGTGTTCTCTGTGCACAAATCCTCTCATGTTTGGAAGCTGTACCATCTGCTGCCATGAAACTCACTTCTCATTAGATTGATGATACAAACAAAAGACAAGGAATTCCAAAAAAAAAGTCAAAATGAAATAAATTCTAGACCCCAAGTCATATTGATGCCTATCTATGTCCGTTTTTCTCTAGATCCTTAAAAGAGGCCTTTCCCAAAATGCCCCATGAGAAAAGAGTTCTGTAGTCAGAAAGATTTGGGCAAAATTGCAACCTGTATCTCTATGCTGATCCTGGAAAGTTCTGCAGTTAATTTGAGCAGATTCGACTCTGTTTAAATCAGTGTTCCTTTCATGAGGTTATTTGGCTACTGAACTCTTAAAAAAAAATGAACCTACAAATATTCCATGGCATATACTGAGAGAAACACTGGCCTAGAGTGAGCTGAAGGTGGTACATTTTGGGGGCTGTACATGGTTTTCTTTATAGCCTACATACTTGCCCACTGGTGGTAGAACCAGATTAGTTTGAGTTCTTTTGTTCATGATCACATGACAAAGCATACGGCTTTAAGGTCTGATTTCACACCTTAAGGAATTTTCCAGTTAGTCAAGACCATTTTCTGGTGAGCAAAGACTAGAATTAAGGCTTTACTTCAAAAATTCTTTTCTTGTTTCTTCTCCCCCACCACAGCAGATTTGCTTATGTCTGTGTTACTACAAATGAGGTGTTCATCTATGTCTCTTCTTCATGTGTAGGAGTGGGAAACCATTAATGCTACTTGATTAATTTCTGCCCAAACTATTTTAGACTTAGAAATAAGTTAAAAAGACACTTTTTAAAAACCTCTCAGGCCAATTTTCTTGGAACCAAAGAGGTCAATTCACTATAAAAATCAAACAAATTAAATTGTTTGTTGCCCAATGTGTCTGTGTTTCTCAAATATTAGAGTTTTACATTTTACTGTGACCTTTTTTTTAGTATTATTTTTGTAGTATTCTTCCTTAAACTGACTCAGAGTTCTCCTTGTTTATCTTATTTAACTTGTCCTCACAACGATAACAAAAATCTACAAAACAAAACTGCATATTGGCAGTTTTATCTTTTTCTAATACACATTAAAATGAACACTTAACAATTCAAATAAAATAATGTTTGCCTAAAATTATCTCAGATCTTGTGTTGACAAACTTTTTCAGGAAAGGGTCAGATAGTAAATATTTTAGGGTTTGTGGGTCATGCCATCTCTGTCACCACAACAGTGTGAAAGCAGCCATGGGGGCATGCATACAAATGGGCATGGCTCTGTTCCAATAAAATGTTTATTTATGAAGATAGGTGGAGGGCTGAGTTCAGCTTACGGGTTATAGTTAGCCAACTCCTGCTCTAGATGAAACAATGAGCGTATTGATATTTTCACTTTCTAGGTGACTATATTGATTCATTTTAGGTACAGTCTAAATGCAGTAACCTGGACAATAATTGAATAGCAAAACTTCTTATTTACAATTTACCTCTATTTTCTGAGATAGCCCCAATTTTAAGACATGTGTCTCAGATTTTAGGATCAGGTTCATCATCCTGAGCTCATAGAATAAAAATCAGGAACCAGCCTCTGCAACAAAAGAAATGGCTATGTTAAGATAATCTACTAACCTCCTCTCACCTTCCTAATAAACTTGCAGAAATGCTCTGCTCAGTGATTTTGCCCTTGCAATATTATTCTTCATAGGAGGGGGGAAAAACCAAACCACAAGCTAAGCAAACTAGGCTCCTAAATTATTGACACATTAAAATTTAAAATGTTAATTAACAGAGGCTCTTATCTGAGAGAAGCAAGTTTCCCATTAATTCCCAACCCACTGAATCTAGACTCCTGTACATCCATTGGTTGACTGAGTTGTTCCAAGGTTTACCCTAGTGGCCTCAAGATTTACAAGAGTTCCTAAACTCAAACTTCCTAAGCATTACCGAGAGCAAAGCTCATCTTTGCCAGGCTCATGCTTGGGCCATGTCATTGACCTTTGTAGACAGGAAGAATCTATGTGCTTGTGTAAATATGATAAGCCCATTTCCACTTACTATTCACTGTTTTCCATGCTAGACATTCACAAGTAATAGTAAATCTAAATCGCATTTTTCACGTTTATAATGCTTTTCCAAGTATATGGTCCCATTAGAGCCTCTCAGTAATTCCAGAAGCTGGGAATTATTTATTCTCACTTTGTAGATGAGGAACTTGAGGCTGAACTGCCAGCCATACTTTAGGGAGAGCCCTGGAGCCGTGTTAGACAATTCTCACCTGTTAGACAAGGCTTGCTAAATGCTCCATAAGGTGCCTCTTTTTTCCCACTGTGCCCTGCCACATTCTACTCATCGTCCTAGGTCACACCCTTGGTTCAGCCCTTCATCTACCATGGAGGTAGATGCCACTTTCTCTCAAATAATTTACAGTCTAATTGGGATGGACTCATTCAAGGGAGCCTGGCTGAATCAAGGTCAACCCATCCCTAGAACTGAAACACACTCCAAACTAACTTAACAACTGATAATGTCAACTCCCATCTCCTGATTGAACTCACATCTTCTCATTCTATGTCTACTGTTTTTTCATACTTTGTAGCTGCTTCTGATTTATAGAGAAACCCAATTAAACTAGTATTGGCAGAATTGCTAAGTCAGCTTTCAGTTACAAAGGTAATTAGAAAATTAGACTGGGAAATTGTGAAACAGCATACAGTGATGAATCCATTTTTTAAAAAATATGCAAAATACCTGAATACATTTACCCATAATCCAAGAATATTATAACTTAAAGGTGCCTTAAATATTACCTTGTTCATCTCTCATATTCAATGTAGAAAACATGGGGAAATTTTTATCAAGATAATGATTAACAATGATAAATAGTGAGAATAGTTATCATCTCTTTAACACTTAACCATGTGCCAGGTACTGTGGTGAATGTAATAAATATATACGACAGATGTATTTGTTACTCCAGCTTGCCAATAAAGCAAGTGAGACCTGGAGAGAACAATGGACTTGCCTGACATTACACATGAGTAGGTAGTGGAGACAGCGTGTGGGATCAGGCCATCTGACTCTAGGCCTACCATTACAGCATAGTTCTCTCAAAAGTAAAGCCCAAAGATCTGAAAGGAATGGCACCATCCTGTGATGAGAAAGGTACCTCACCTCTGCCATCTTTCTCTCCCAACCCATCCATGACCCCATGAAGGAAAATGTCAGACAAACCCAAATTGAAGGATGTTCTACAAAGAACTTGTCTAGCTTTTCCCAAAACTGTCAGGGTCATCAAATACAAGAATCTGGTTGTTGGAAAAACTATCACAGACCAGAGGAGGCTAAGAAGTCATGACAACTAAGTGTAACATAAAGTCTTAGATAAGATCCTGGCACAGAAAAATGTCATTAGAGGAAAACTAGTGAAATCTGAATGAAGTATGGAGTTTAGTTAATTGTAATGTATCAGTGTTGATTCCTTATTTTGATAAATGTACCATAGTAATGTAAGTTGTTAACCACAGGGAAATCTGGGAAAGGAGTATCCAGGAACTCTTTGTAATCTCTTTGTGACATTTCTGGAAATTTAAAACTGTTCTAAAATGTAAAAGTTTATTTTATTTTATTTTTTTAAAGCAAACCTGGACTAGGCTTCAGGTGTCTGATCTCTGTAGGGATCATTGGCATGCATTCATATAATGGAAACTGGTGTTAAGGATACAGTCTGTAAGAAACTAAGTCAAGTTCAGCAAGACGCTGTGGGAAAGTGGCTTTGCCAAGAGTATTTGCATCTCCGCATAGTGTGTAGGGAATAGGAGCCTCACCTTGGCTGGGCCAATGGTTGCAGAAGCTTCTACATATGTTGCAAAGAGTAAATTACAGATTCATTTCCATTAATAGGCGTTTAATGAATATCTACTCAGTGCCAGACCCTATGCCAGATATTGCCTGAAGAATGCAGAGATAAGCGAGATGCCATCTTCTCTCAAAAAAATATACAGTCTGGTTGGGATGGAGACAAGGGGAGTGGAGAAAACAAAGCTACCATGGTGAGATCTTAATACACATTGCTGCTTGATTCTCCTTTGTTTTCAAAATTAGAATGGGTATTGTTTTCTGCCTTTTAGAAAATCAGATTAACTCCTGATTAAGTGTAAGGTTTTTTTTTTTTTTAATAATATATCTTACTCTTGAAAAAGCATGACAGTGAGACCTCAAGACAAACTTTTACTCAAACATTTCTTCTTCAGAATTACCCTGGCCCAGAGCTCTGACCCCCTAAAATGGTAGATCTGAACATGTTACACATTAGAGTAACCTGCGGACCTCAGGACCTGCCTCCATGAACACAATTTTAACTAGTATTAGTGAGGCCGAGGTACTTACATTTTTTAAAGCTTCCTAGGTGATTCAAATGTGCAGTCAGGATTAAAATACCACCGAGCAGGCACTTTGTCCACAAAGAGAGGGTTACTGAGTGCACTAGGAGGGAAAAGGAGCTGTGAGATTGGGGCTGGATGAAGAGTTGCATCTGGAAGAGGGGTTTTTGCTGCCACAGGTGGGCAGATTCCTCTCATCCATGAAAGAATTAGTAAAGAAGACACAGGGGGCTAGAGTGGAAATGCTTGAAGGCTGCCAATCTAACCTTTTCTAATCATCAGGCTTTTCAGAACAACATTTAGGAACCACTTTGGCTGTAACTATCAGCACATCCGTTGCTCAGCAAATTCCTGGTTTCCCCTGCATTTTCTCCTTGGAACATTTCAGGGGATTGTTTAGAATCAGCCCCACACCAAAGTGGACACTTGTCAGTTATACACCCGAAAGGTGTGTGAACAACCAGCCTCATCAGCTAAAAAGGAGGTTGACTTCTTGCATTTAAAATAAATATTGACTGGAAAAGAAGGGGGTAGGGGGAGAAAAAAATTAAAAAAAAAATGGCTGACTCAGGCCAACCACAATGCCTATGGTGTAAAATAACATCATTAAGAGAGTTTTGCCAGGGTTGGAATTATGCAAGATACTCTTTCAGCAAAACCTAAGATGCTTGGAAAAATTGTTCTAGAAACTTCTGCGTTATAAGATTAAGAAGTATTGGAAGGTCACTTGAGGAGCTACACATACTTTAGAGTACTTAAAATAGAGACTGTCAGTACTACAAATAAATTAATGTTACATTTTTAAAGACTTTAGTGATCTGATAACCCCCAGTCTTTTGAGCATGGCAGATGTGAGTTCATACCCCAGCCCTTCCTTAATTTTTTTGAGCTTCAGTTTATTGCACCTGCAAAATGGGATTCATTATGCCTCCTGGAGTGGTTAAGAGGATTTAACGAGATAATTTGGTGCACAGAGATCAGTGACTTGGTCCAAAATAATGTAAATTGAAAGTGACTAGGATGTGTTTGAAACTGGCCCCTAGCCCTGTACCTTTCTGTTTTACCTCTAACCCTCTTCTTGACAGGGATGTGAAGGGATGAAGAACTCAGTTATCATTATGTGTGTTGTGCTTGTGGCTTAGGAAATTGCATGGACGTATGATTTTAGAAAGGACATTGGAAGGTGTCCCTGCTGCCACCCTGTTCCATGAGGGAGATTTTCTGGGGGAATCTGAATATTCTTTAGTGACAGAAAAGCATGGCGAACCCCTATTCTTACACAACTTGAGCATGAGTGAAAAGAGAAATCTTACATCTGATTGGCACTCGCTAATTATCAACATGCTTTCCTCCACATTGTCTCCTGATGGAAACTTGGCAATCATGCCTCACCTTCATCTCCCTGAATCCAACCAGTCCAAAGTCCGTTCAGTTCAGCCTTAGCAACCTTCCTTTCCCCTGAACCCAACCAGTCCATAGTCCGTTCAGTTCAGCCTTAGTGACCTTCCTTTCCAAATCCGTCTTCCTGAAGCAAATCTCTGACTGTGTGGCTTACTCTGATTGCAGGGCTCCTAAAGGCCATCTCTCCCTATGGGGACCTCAGCTTATGTTCTCATCCTTACCTCCTACTCCTGCCGCTCTCTCATGCATTCCTGCAGCCAAACATAAGTACCCAGTTGTCCTTGAACACTGTTGCAGCCCTCTTTTGCGTGTGTATAAACTCTTCCTACTGGTTCTATTGTCACCCCCTTTCCAACTAGCTGGAAGCAGTACATCCCCAGTGGTTAGGAACACAAGCTCTGTATTGAAATCTAGGCACAACCTTACAAGATGCATGTTCTTCAGCAAGTTATTGAACCTCTCTCCGCCTTGTAAATAAAATATGCTAATGATACCTAAGTCATGGGGCTGTGGGAAGGGTTGAGTGACATTGTACAAGTCACCTGCTCAGCATAGGCTCTGGCTTGCAGGAGACATTCTAAAAGTGTTAGCTGCTATTGCTATTGCTATTGCTGATTTCTTCTTATTTTTACTGCTGCCTGTTGAATCAAACTCTTCATTAAATATCACCTTCTTCAAGGAGGCCTCCTGATAACCCTCTTCCCCAGAGAAGTAATCTCTCCTTCTTTAATTCCCCCATGGCCCTTCGTAGATGTCTCATGAACTCACTGCTCAATGTACCTATTTGTGTCTTTGTCTTCTTCTTCCATTTAGAATATAAATTAATTGATCATGGGATCTTATTTTGATAATCTTTGTACCCTCAAGAGCACTTATCACAGAGAAAGTAATAACCCATTTCACATTTGATGGTTGAAGCACAAAGAAAGGGAAGTAATTTGCCCAAGGTCATGTAGCTAGTGCAGGGCAAAACCAGGCTAAAGACCCCCTCTAGGTCTTACCATATTCAAAGATCTTGATCTTAAGCAATGAATGGGGACCATTAGATTTTATGCCCAAGTAGCAGATGGCAAAACTGACAAGCTGAATGTTCATACTGGGTTGACTGGCTCTGTGGGTTATTCATAGAAAGGGGAGGTCTATAGATGAAAGCAATTTTAAACCTCAACTTGTGTCAAACTCAAGTAAAAATCAGTTAGATTTCAACAAAACACTGATCAAGGTGCCAAAAATGGTTTAATTTTTTAAAAGCACATGCAACTTCTTTTAATTCGCTTGACTGGTCAAGCCAGTAAAAACAGCAAAAGCAGTTTCTTCAATGAAAAACACCCACACCCTTACTGTGGTTTGTTGAGCCAAGTTGGCCAGCCACACAGACGGTTAAAATTGTCAGCCAGGTGTGGATAGCGTCTCAGAAGGAAATGCTAAAAGAAGCCACTAGCAAAATGCTTTAATGTTTAAGAATATTTAGAGTGTACAGTGAGGTATCTGACCAGAAAAAACGATTGCTAAGCAAGCCCAACGGAGGGGGAAGAACATTTGCCTTGGAGCCTGAAGATCTTCTAAGAGAGTCATGATGGAGCCCCTCCTTTTCTCTATAATTCTAGGCTGTCTCCATCTAGTAAAGTGGCCAGGGTGCCTTTTACTGACTCATTGGTGAAGGGAGGTTTCAAGGCTCCTAAAACGAATGACTGAGGGTTATTTATATAATTTGGAAAGACACAGATCTAGGACTTCAACCCTCCATTAAAATGGTAAAGGGAATGGTTTTTCTGGGCCCAGGGAACAGAAGAACCCAGAACATGCACAGATTCAGATCTTCTAGGTGCAACACTAAACCTTGGGAAGCAACTTTTTCAGTGAATTAAAACTCACATACACAAACACACACACCCCAACTATAATTTGGGCATTCAGGGCACTTTTGCCATGAAACAAATTGAATGTAGCCATTGAAGAAAGACCTGTTGAATCTTCAGTAGGAACTTGCATTGGCAAGGAATGCAGCACGCAGAGCCCAGTGAGATGTAGTTCATTCTGGGGCAATGAACTTTTTATAGTAGTAGGGCATTTTCTAGCCTCGGGAAGGCACATCAAACTTTTGGATCCACTAGGTAAAAAAGACCAAGGATGACTTGATCTTAGAAGCCCAGATCAGGGGAAAATGATGGTCAGGAAATAAAGAGGCCAGGTTCCTCCTAGTCCAGCCATGTAGTTCCATGCATATTGAACTAAGGCAAGGGGGAAATCTTACTAGGGGGAATGTTATTCATACCTAAGTTTATAAAGCTAGACATCCGGTTACTGGCGACTTTTCAAAATCTCAATTAAATCCAAAAATACAGATGATAGATAGATGGCTAGATGGTAGCTAGGTAGGTAGGTAGGTAGGTAGGTAGGTAGATAGATAGATAGATAGATAGATAGATAGATAGATAGATGATATAAGCTAAGGGTAGAATACAGACCTGTTTCGAAATGAGGACAAGCCTGAAAGAAGAAAGCCATTAGAAAAGCTACAAAATTGATGTCACTTCTAAGCCTGTCTTTAATGAAAGAAATGAAGAAAATGAATTTAGTCAATTAGGAAGTAATGAAGACCTTGCAAAAATAACTATTGACAAAAGGCTGGTAAGGGAATTCTTCAGTAATTTGAGCATAACACATACTATATGAATCAGCAGGTCAGGACAATATGCCTCCTAGGAGATTAAAGGTGTTGATACATGCCTGTGTGATTTTGGGTAGTTACTTCTTAATTTAGCAAGCAAAATTGTGATCTAAGATGAACCCAGAAGCCAAAAGAATGGAATTCTAAACTGCAAAACTAGGGAGAAGTCATATAATGGCGATTATTCAGTCCAGGCATGGCTGGTTCCTATCAAGGGGACTGGGCATGAAGGAGGGATGTCCTAAACCAAAAATACACAAAAAAGATTGCAAAGGGCGGGCCACAGTCTATTAAGGTAAGTTTGTGGTATATTCACCTGTTTTTATAATCAGAATATTAGAAAATAGCATAAATCATTCCAGATAAATAGTTCCTTATTTAGATTATCAGAGGGGAAGGCAGTGTGCCACCTTCTTATCAGAGTGAAGGACAAGGACACCATTTCTTTTTTCTTGCATATCCAGCAGGAAAAAAGATACAGAGCTGAACTTCTGTGGGACTGGATTTCATAAATGCTCACTTTCAAAGCTAAGTGTGTGTGCATGCATGTGTGTGCATGAACACACATGTACATTTGGTATGGACTTTGAAAGAGCCTGGATGGTCACCTCCTGACAGATGCAGAATATGGGTAATGAATGCAGGCTTGGCGAGATATTACAGGTGTTGGTCCAGGACTTCGTTTGATTTTGAGCCTATGAGAACTCAGAAAAGATATTAACCAGACCATTAAGAAATGATACTGTGGAATGTTAGAACTGAAGAAGTCTTAGGAATCACCCAGTTCTGTCTTCCTAACCGCTTGCTAGGCCCAGAGACATTAAATCCTTCTTTAAAGCCAAATAGTGTGTCAGTATCACAACCTGAACTAAAACTCTACTGGGATATGGGGTAGGGCGTGGTGGCTAATGCCTGTAATCCCAGCACTTTGGGAGGCCGAGGTGGGTGGATCACTTGAGGCCAGGAATTTGAGACCAGCCTGGCCAACACGATGAAACCCCATCTCTTAAAAAAAAAAAAATTAGCCAGGCTTGATGGTGTGCACCTATAATCCCAGCTACTCTGGAGGCTGAGTCAGGAGAATTGCTTGTGCCTAGGAGGTAGAGGTTACACTGAGATGAGATTGCACTACTGCACTCCAGCCTGGATGACAGACCAAGACCCTGTCTCAAAACAAAAAAACAAAAACCTCTATTGGGGTAGGATAGTCTTCCTGTTATACCATTCCACTCCTTGATGATGCCAGTCCACAGCACCTGGTGTTAACTACCAGACTAAATAAATAACTCCGGAGTTAAAAATAATAATAAGAGATTCCATAGGAGGATAAAAAGTGAAAAATTAGCTATCTATAGAAAAATAAATCAAATTGGATAGTCTTTATGATGAACAAATGCCCCTACAAATAAGCATGCGGGATGAATCTAGAGATAGTTTCATTCTTTTTTGAATCATTTGACAAAGAGAAAGGAGTCACTGGAACTGGGTGTAAAGGGTATCACTAAAGAGGAAGAGCAGGTTTGTCAGACCATATTGGTTTCCCACACTTATATTTTGGAAACATTCTGGGTTAAGGAAAAAAAATCCTAGACATTGGAGTGATTCCAGAGAAAACTGGCACATAATTAAGGGAATGGAGTAGAAAAACTGATTTACAGAGGGAATTAAAGCAACACATTTTTATGGCTTTGTCACAGATAAGGGCATGTCTTTGACATATATCAAGGACTTTAATTGGAATAATGAGTTAATCCAGGGAGACATGATTTAGGCATGATACCAGAGGACAGAGTAACACAATGAGATTGGGGAATTACCTGAGGAAATGATGAAATTGTCATCTTCCCCACGAAAGTGAGACAAAAACAGAACAATTAGGAAGATAGTGCTTAACAGTAATTTTATATAAAAAGATTTAATTTCTCACTTTTGACAAAACTGTGAGCCAGTGGAATTACACTTTCCATGTTTCCTTAATTTTTAGAGAAACTTTAACTTAAGATGCATCATCAATTTAATAGCAGCTATTATGTGGAGGGGGAAAACACTGTGTTAAATGTACAGGTTGATTGCAGTCTTATGTCTCAATTTGAAAAATGTTAAAATGTGAAAAATATATTCGTTTTAGAATTGAAGAACTATAGTAATTATTTAAGTAATATATGTCTTCAAACCTGGGATAGGATATATTTTCTGCAAGTTCAATTTCTGATAATTTTAGGGCTGTTCATAGAGCCTGACATGATTGTGGATATTCCAGTCAATTTGCTTGCCATGTCCTCATCCCTTTCTCAGAGAATCTGTTTTCATCCTGATCCCTGGTGATTGGGAAGTTGACCAATTCTTCTGGCCATTACTGATTGGGCCAGGAATAAATCCTTGATCCAAACCAGGACAACTTGTTCCAAAAAACAAACAAACAAAAAACAAAGGGGAAAGGCAAAGTCAATTAGATGGGAGATAAAGTTGTAAAGTTAGGGCCAGTGTTGGGCCATGACAAACCAATGCTACACATAACCTAAATTAGAAAGGAGCAGCAAAGCCATCAGTCAATCAGAAAGAACTGGCATGGATTAAGAAACCATACGTCCAGTGAGCCTAGAAAAATAGATGACTAATAGAAATGTACTCTATTCACATATAGCCCCTTCTTCTAAAAGGCCTACATGTGACTCTGTGTGAAGCAGAAAAGGAGGGGAGACTCCCTGCCCCATCTTCCAATAGAGTTTTCTAAGTGGCCTAACTGAACTTGGTCTCCAGTTGATATGGTTTTGCTGTGTCCCCACCCAAATCTCACTTGAATTGTAGCTCTCATAATCCCCAAGTGTCATGGGAGGGACCTAGTGGTAGGTAATTGAATCATGTGGTGGGGGGTTTCCCATGCTGTTCTCATGATAGTGAATAAGTCTCATGAGATCTGATGGTTTTAGAAAGGGCAATTCCCCTGCACATGCTCTCCTGCCTGCTACCATGTAAGACGTGCCTTTCCTCCTCCTTTGCCTTCTACCATGATTATAAGGCCTCTCCAGTCATGTGGAACTATGAGTCCATTAAACCTCTTTTTCTTTATAAATTATCCAGTCTCAAGTATTTCTTCATAGCAGTATGAAGATAGACTAACACAGTAAATTGGTACCTGTAGAGTGGGGTACTACTATTAAGATACCTGAAAATGTGGAAGCAACTTTGGAACTGGGTAACAGGCAGAGGTTGGAACAATTTGCAGTGCCCAGAAGAAGATAGAAAAATGTGGGAAAGTTTTGAACTTACTAGAGACTTGTTGAATGGCTTTGACAAAAATGCTAATAGTGATATGGACAATAAAGTCCAGGCTGAGGTGGTCTCAGATGGAGAGGAGGAACTTACTGGGAACTGGAGCAAAGGTAGTTCTTGCTATGCTTTAGCAAGGAGACTGGCAGCATTTTTCCCCTGCCCTAGAGATCTGTGGAACTTTGAACTTGAGAGAGATGATTTAGGGTATCTGGCAGAAGAAATTTCTAAGCAGCAAAGTGTTCCAGATGTAACTTGGGTGCTCTTGAAAGCATTCAGTTTTATTCATTAACAAATATATGGTTTGGAATTGGAACTTATGTTTAAAAAGGAAGAATGTAAAAGTTTGGAAAATTTGCAGCCTGACAGTGTGATAGAAAAAAAAAAACCACAACATTTTCCAAGTAGAAATTCAAGCCAGCTGAGGAAATTCACAAAAGTTACAAGGAAATAAATGTTAATCACCAAGACAATGACAATGGGGAAAATGTCTCCAGGGCATGTCAGAGGTCTTCATGGCGCCCCTCCCATTACAGGCCCAGAGGACTAGGGGGAAAAATGGTTTTGTGAGCCTAGCCCTGGGCTCCGTTCCTCTATGTAGCCTCAGGATATGGTAACCTGTGTCCCAGCTGCTTCAGCTCCAGCCATGGCTAAAAGGGGGCAATGTGAAGCTCAGGCCATTGCTTCAGAGGGTGCAAGCCCCAAGCCTTGACAGCTTACGTGTAGTGTTGGGCCTGTGGGTGCACAGAAGTCAATAACTGAGGTTTGGGAACCTCTGCCTAGATTTCAGAGGATGTATGGAAATGCTTAGGTGTCCAGAGAGAGGTGTGAGGCAGGGGCAGAGCTCTCATGGGGAACCTCTACTAGGGCAGTATGGAAGGGAAATGTGAGGTTGGAGCTCCCACAAAGGGTCCCCACTGGGGCACTCCCTAGTGGAGCTGTGAGAAGAGGGCCACCATCCTACAGACCTCAGAATGGTAGATCCGCCAACAGCTTGCACCTGGAAAAGCCAAAGAGACTCAATGCCAACCCATGAAAGAAGCCAGGAGGAAGGCCATACACTGCAAACCCACAGGGCCAGAGATGCCCTAGACCATGGGAACTCACTTCTTGCATCAGAGTGACCTGGATGTGAGACATGGAGTCAAAGGAGATCATTACAGAGCTTTAAGATTTGACTGCCCTGCTGGATTTTGGAATTGCATGGAGCCTGTAGCACCTTTGTTTTGACCAGTTTCTCTCATTTGGAATGGATGTATTTACCCAATGCCTGTATCCTCGTTGTATCCAGGAAATAACTTGCTTTTGATTTTACAGGCTCATAGGCACAAGGGACTTGCCTTGTCTCAGAGAAGACTTTGGACTCTGGACCTTTGAGTTAATGCTGAAATGAGTTAAGACTTTACGGGATTGTTACGAAGATGTGATTGGTTTTAACATGTGAGGACATGAAATTTGGGAGGGGCCAAGGGTGCAATGATATGGTTTGGCTGTGTCCCCACTCAAATCTCATCTTGAATTTTAGCTCCCATTATCCCCACATGTTGTGGGAGGGACCTGGTGGGAGGTAATTGAATCATGGGGGTGGGTTTCCCCATGCTGTTCTTGTGAAAGTGAATAAGTCTCATGAGATCTGATTGTTTTATAAAGGGCAGTTCCCTTGCACACGCTTTCTTGCCTGCTGCCATGTAAGACATGCCTTTGTTCCTCCTTTGCTCCCCACCATGATTGTGAGGCACCCCCAGCCATGTGGAACTGTGATTCCATTAAACCTCTTTTTCTTTATAAATTACCCAGTCTCAAGTATTTCTTCATAGCAGTATGAAAAGGGACTAATACACCAGTCTTGGACTGTCTTAGACTTTCCTTTCAGTAAAGATACGCTTCTACCTGAGCCAGTTTGAATTAACATCTTCCTAGCAATGGAAAGAATGCTGATTGACATATGTACCACCTGGTCCCTTTCTCTCTACTTCTGCCCATTTCATTAATGTCTCATGGTTATAGCATATTAAACAAAAGCTTTTCAGAGCAGATATGCAGTGCTGACGTAGACTGAATTGTGACATGAATTTGGTGATCCTCCAGAATGAATAGACTGATACCTAAATAACTGGCTGTAAAGCCATTGTTTCTGCTATTGGTGTGAAGGTGGTGCATCTTGACCCTTGTCCAGAAGACAGGTCCTAACTCAGCGTGTGTTTTTCTGGATCTTCTTGCCATTCACAGATCCCATGGCAGCCCATCCTTTGAATTGTTCAATCATGAGGCTCCTTTAGACCACAGCCACCCTCCAAGCATGTTGTTTATTACAGGATGCCAGGACCAACATTTATGTTCTTGGAATTTATAAGTCTTTTCTACCCAACAGCCCACGTGGTAGTCATTTGGATAACAGGGCATTTTGATTTCAACAAAACCTTATTTTCTGTTCTGAATTGCAGTGCCTTCTTCAGCAGTAGTTCCCTAAGCAAACGTATGGGCTGTTTGCTTTGCTTTCAACTCTCATGCATTTTTAATGATTTACAAGGAAAATATTTTTTTCTCTCCTTCTTTTTTTAATAATAAATTTAATGACTTAATACACATCAAGTGGAATCATTGGTTTGTGGTGATGGTTTTATAATTCCAAGTTCAATGGTTTTTTTCTATGTAATTATGCACAATAACTTTCATGGAATATAATGCAATAACAAAAACATGCACCAGTGTTGGCATAAGAGCCTGTTGTTTATTAGTATTGGTTCTGTGCTTTATGTTTGAAATAAAATATTTGGAACTAATGTTGGCCATGTTTCCTCCAAACTAGATAAAAAGAAGAAAAAAAACTTTATCCCTGAAAATACCATGCTCCAATCTATGGCGATAAAAGCCAGCAGCTCTTGAGATAGCAAATTAAATTTTACTTGTAGAAAGCACTGTGCTGTGTTTTGTTGCTTGCTCAGAGTTATTTTTTAATACTAATAATTTAATAAAGTGGAAGAGCGATACATTGACCTGTGTTCTCTAAGGCACCAGAGTATTTCCCAGGGTTAAAAGGCATAGCTTGCTGAAAGGTTGTTTGTTTTACATTCTAACCTATTACTTATTTCTCTTGCTTTCTTGCCAGATCTAGCCTTAGCCTTTAGAAATTTTGAATTTTGGAGAACACAAAGTAGTTGAATTATCAGAATCTGCAAGTCAGACTTTTAAAACTCTGATTAATAAGGACTGGTTTTCCTAAGATCCAACACATTCAAGTTTTGTTTTAGTGAGTAGTACAGTACGTAGGCATAAAACCAAAGACAAAAGATAGTACATAGGCATAAAACCAAAGACAAAAGCCAAGCAGTGACTCTAAATGAAGCATTGGTCTAAAGGAGTTAGGTAGGAAGCTTAGAACCAGGTACAAGGGGGTAAGATAGAATCTGGAAGCCCCAGAAGGCAGCATGATTGGAGACAGAGAGAATACATGGTGAGATTGTCTGAGATCTTGCAGAGACTCAGGAGACCCCTTAGAAAGTGCCTGTGTCCCCTCTAGAAAAGAAGTACAATGTGGTGCTTAAAGGCACCAACTCTGGAGTAATGAAACATGCAGTCAAGTTCTAACTCTACTGCTCAACAATAATATCACCGTGGTCAAGTCATTTTACTCTCTAGTATTCAGTTGTTTCATGTGTGAAATGGAGTAAGTAAAACAAACCACTACATAAAGAGTGTTGTGAAATGTAAGTGAGAAAATGCTATTGTTGGTTATGATTAGTGCTGAGTCAGACAGGAACAGCTACTGAGTCAGATTCTTTTAATGTAAAAATGCTGCTCTTAATTCTACACATATGCATAGTATCAATAGAAATATAGATATTTTTTGGCTTTTTTGTGCATAAGTGGCAAGTATCATAGATCTCTATCTTTTTACTTTTAAAATATTTTATTTCTAAACTTTTTCCTTTTATATAAACAATTTTGTTGAGTTATAATAATCATACAGTGAGATGAACTGTAGCGAAGTAACCATGCCCTTATAGAGCTAAAGAACACTTCCATCATCCCAGAAAGCAGCCTTATGCTTCATCCCTGCCACCAACCTACCACTCCAGAAGTACATACTCTTCTGAGTTATCATTGTAGATTAGCTTTGCTTGTCCCAGGACTTCATAATTATGGTTTAAAAGTTTAAATTAAAAGTAATTGCAAAAACCGCATTTTTTTGTGGTATCTGAATTCTTTTGCTAAAAAAAAATAGCTTGGAGAGTCATTCATGTTGCTATGCGTAACAGTGATTCATTCCTTTGAATTGCTGAGTAGTACTCTATTTTATAATTATATCATATTTTTTTCCATTCTCCTGTCTGGAAATTTGGGTTGTCTCAAGTTGGTGCTATTTTGAGCAAAGCTGCTATAAACATTCTTATCCACATCTTTTAAAAGCATATGTTTTCATTTCTCTTGGCTCTATACATATGAATAAATTGCTGGGTCATAAGTAGATGTAAATTTAACTATGAAAAACTAGTAGACTGATTTCTAAACTGGCTATACCATTTTACACTCCTATTGGCAATGTATGAGAATACTAGTTGTTTTACATTCTTAAAAGTATTTGATGCTGTCAGTCTTTTAAATTTTAACCATTCCAGTGGGAACATATGGTTTTGCATTGTGGTTATAACATTATCTTAACAAGTTAACCTTATCATTATGAAATATCCTTTTTTTTTTCCTCTGGCAATGCTCTTTGTTCTGAAGTCTACTTTATCTGATGTGAATATACTCACTCCAGTTTTCTTATATAATAGTATTTTTATGGTATACCTTTTTCATCCTTTTACTTGTAACCTATGTCATTATATTTAAAATGTTTTTTTCTTGTAGACACCATATGTATGAATTTTGCTACTTTTAATTAGTCTAGCAAGCTCTGCCTTTTTTTTTTTTTTTTTTTTTTTTTTTTTTTTTTTTTGAGACTGAGTCTTGCTGTATCGCCCAGGCTGGAGTGCAGTGGCACAATCTCGGCTCACTGCAAACTCTGCCTCCCAGGTTCACGCCATTCTCCTGCCTCAGCCTCCTGAGTAGCTGGGACTACAGGCGCCTGCCACCGCGCCTGGCTAATTTTTTGTATTTTTAGTGGATACGGGGTTTCACCATGTAAGCCAGGATGGTCTCGATCTCCTGACCTCGTGATCTGCCTGCCTCGGCCTCCCAAAGTGCTGGTATTACAGGTGTGAGCCACCGCGCCCGACTGTCTCTGCCTTTTAATTGCAGTACTTAGCAGTTTATATTTAATATAATTATTAATATGCTTGGGTTTTAAATATGTCCTATATTTTATTTAAGAAAGTCCTATATCTTCTTTGGCCTTTTTCTCTTTTTTCCCACTTTATTTTGTAGTAAACCAGTTTTTTGGGGTTTTTTTTTGTTTGTTTTTAGACATTCTATTTAATCTTCTCTATTCACTTTTTAGCTACATACTTCTACCTCTTTTTTTTTACTTTAATTAGCTTTTAATTTATTTCTCAGTCCTTATTTGCACAAGCAATAGCTTTTGATGTGGTTGATAAATTTCTCTTCCTTGAGAGAATTTCTTCTCTTGAATCCCAGGGCATCGTATGTGCCAGGTTTTCTTTTTCTCTTTCAGACCACTCCTTCTCAATCTCTTTTGCAGAGTCTTTCTGATTCTCTGACTTCTAAATTTTGGGGCCATTCTTTAGTTCAGTCCTTTTTTTCTTTATATACACCTTTTTTTTCTCTTTATATACACTCCCTAGGTTGTATAAAGGTTTTAAATACACTCAAATTTGTATCCCCAGTTTGATACCTCTCCCTGGAACTCAAGACCTGTTTATTCAATTGCATACTTAACATTTCCACTTGGAAGTCTAATAGGCATGTCAAACTCAGTGTGCCAAAACTGAGCTCCTGACATTCACCACCCCTCCCTTCATCTCTACCTCCATGCAGTCTAGATCCTCATTCAGTCTTCCTTATTTTAACTACCAATTTTCCCAATTGCTCAGGCAGAAACCTTGGTATTTTCCTTGACTCCTCTCTTCCTCTCACACCTCACTTCTAACCAATAAGCAATTTCTGTTAATTCTATCCTCAAAATATTCATTCACCCATCTCTCATCACTTCCACTGCCAGCCCAGGCAAAGCCATCATCAGCTCTCACCTGGATATTGCAGGAAACTTCTAACTCACCTCCTGCTTCAGCTTCTGTCCCTTGCAGTCTGCTTTTAGCACAGAAGTCACAGTGATCCTATTAAAACACACTTTAGGCCATGCCAGTCCTCACCTTTAACCCCCAAATTCTCTTCCATCTTACTGAAAATAACAGAATGAAGAGCCCTTTCTGTTATCTTCAGGGTCCTGCATGATCTGGACATATGACTACTTCCCACACACATTTTCACATGGCCTAATATCACATATCACCTTTTCAGAGGGGACTTTCCTGACCACACTCTATGTAAATATCACACTTCTCTCATAATTCATTTTTATCCTACTTTATTTTTTCTCTATAGAACTTTCTATTACCTGAAATTAAATATTTACTTGTTTATTATTTGTCTATCTCCCTAAAATAAAAGCTCTCTGTTGGCACTAGAACATGCCTAGTAAACAAATACTTCGAAAATATTTGCTCAATGCATATCTTTTTTCATCTTTGGTATTTTTTTTCCAACCTGGTAATTTGTTTTTTTATGTATGTCTGTGTGGGGTTTTTTGCTAAATTCTGTTAAATTTTTTTAAAATTTTAATTGTTATGAATACATAATAGTTGTACATATTTATGGGGTGCATGTGATATTTCGATACAAGTATACAATGTATAATGATCAAATCAGGGTAATTGGGGTATCCATCACCTCAAACATTTATCATATTTTTGTGATAGGAATATTTCAATTCCACTCTTCTAGTTATTTTGAAATATAGCATAAATATTGTTAAAAACATTCCAATTCCACTCTTCTAGTTATTTTGAAATGTACCATAAATTATTAACTATAGTTGCCCTTTTGTGCCACTGAACACTAGATCTTATTCTTTCTCCCTGACTGTATTTTTATACCCATTAACTGGGTCTTTACTCCTCCTCAATCCCTGCCACACCCACTGCTCTTCCCAGTCTCTGGTAACCATCATTTTACTCTCCAACTCCATGAGATCAATTTTTTCAGCTCTCACATATGAGTGAGAACATGCAATATTTATTTTTACGTATGTATGTATGTATGTGTGTATTTCAATGAAAATTCTCTTCATCTATACGTTTTTGGAAGACAGTGACCTGACTTAAACATCTTTATTTTCAACATATAGTGTAGACTTCCCCCAAAGGATAGCTTCTCAGACAGTATTTCCTGATCCATTGATTAATGATAGATAAAAGGGGCAGATATTTTTCCAACTTGTTTATTTGTTTGTTTTTATATATATATATGTATGTGTACATATGTTTGCACTTAAACTAGCAAATATTACCTTCTTATCTATAGGCTTTTGGAAGACAACAACCTCACTTAAGTATCCTTTGTTTTCAACACATAGCACAGACTTCCTGGAGACTGTTTTTGTATATGTAATTAAAAAAAACAAAAACAAAACAAAAAAAACCCAGAAGACTAACAGTCTAATTTTGAAAAAAAATCCACAGTCATGTGAATGACAGATGATTTTGGGTATGACTGGGGACTGGAATGGACACAGAGCTCTTTCAATTCTGTCTAACAAAGCCACAGACTAATGTTAAGGAATGTTTGTGTGATCTCTCCAGTGTGGAATCAGTACCCAAACACAGGAGTCTTTACAAAGATCCAAAATAATCATAAAACCATTATAACCACAAGCCCTCTTCAGAGTTATCCCCTCAATAGTGAATGCTGCCTTTTCAAGCCAACTCTTATATTGAGAGAAGGGTTGTAATATCTCCAGCCTGGAAGAAATCCCTATTCCTGTGGCTCATTTACTACATCTCTGTGGTTCTTGGAAGGAAGGATGGAGTGAAAGCCACCCCAGGCAGTTGACTGTGAATTCTAGTCTTAAGCAATGTATGGAGCACTTCAATAAACTTTGGCTATTTAGCCAGCCTTCGTTCCCTAGAGAAATACTGCCCAGCTATCCCCAAGCTCTGGTAGATTGTTTGCCACGGACAACTTATTGATTTATGGTCCTGGGCATTCTTAGAACTCTGCTAAGAGAAGGAAAAGGCATGATCACCTTGTAGGAGCTATGAAGGTAAAGCCTGCCTTCGAATCCTCAGGTAGCATAAGCAAGAGTACCGGGGGGCATAGTGTGCATTTCCTATTCTTACAGGGTGCCGGGCACATAGGGGTCACTCCATCAATAAGGGAGGAGAAAGAATGAAATGAACTGGGAGGATAAAAAGCAAGAGGCTCATTGCTCACTGGATGTCTACTGTCTAATGGGGAGGGAGGGACACAAACTCAGCTGGCTTTAAGTTATAAAGCAGGGTGAGAACTTTCACGTCACTGTGAATTCACACAGTTGTAATTTTTTACTTAACATTCACATGCTCTATATTCTTTCCATAAAGGTACAAACTGTATTTCTCTTAAAATGTCAATACTGCCACATTGAACTGCATAAAGAGCCTGACCTTGGAAGCTCTCCTGAGCAAGAAACTACCTAGGACCCTACCCTAAGCTGGTCTAAGGATATTTCACGTTTGTATTCCCCACAGGGTCTAGATTGAGGTTTGGCACATGTGAATGCTTAGTATTTCCTGCATAAACACCTGACTGAAAAAAAAATATGAAAGAGCTTGATACCAATGGCATCTTTGTTGTGTTCTTAGAATTCATTAGAAAAACAACTTTGCTGAATATGAAATGGAAACTCCAAGTCTTTCCCCGTATTGGTTAGCTTTCTCTCACCAATATGGTGCATGGTGCCAGCATAAAGTGCATCAGACGTGATAGTGGGCTTTCAACATGCCACACAGCAAGGTGAATTTTTCAGAACTCCCAAACCTCCCTTGAAAACACTTCTACGCAGGTCACATCATGATATATTTGCCATTTGTAAAGTGAAATACCATCATGAAAGAGAATATTTAATGCCATAAAGAAAAACCCTACCTTTCCCAGCTTATAAATGTCAGATCACCAATTCCAACTGCATAGGGAAAGAATCATAAAGTAAGATCATAGTCTCCTGCGATTTTTGAATCAAAATGGAAATTAAGAAATGAAGGTTTAATAATCCTTAACGTTTGCTCTTTGGGAAGGCTGCTGTTTGTTGAGAGTGGGGCTGGCCTACATTAGGGGTGGACAGTTGAGAGAAGCTTCCTTTTCATCATCCTGTCCTCACAGTGTGCACTTTTGCAAACTTTGTGGCTCCGGGATTGTACAAATACAATGTTTCCCTGATGGCCTCACAGCATGAGACAAGGCAAAGCATTCGGGGATGGTCCCTATGGTCCTGAGCCCAGTTTTAAGATGTAAGCAAGAATATCAAGGATAAATAAGTGCTTTGGATTGCCCAATTACTTCTACTTTCTCTGGCCTTGTGGCTTTTGATAGTCATGTAAAATTCACTACAAATGGATAGAAATGCCTCTTCTTCAAATGTTCCAGAGGAAAAAAATTCAAAGTTCCTTTAGCTGTATATACCAGGGCATTGGCAGCACTCAGGCACTTTGGAAAGCATGTTGGTGGTAACTACAGGGCGGCCACCCTGTCTGAAAGCATTTTGGTACATTTCATACAATGAATAAATGTTGGACTTCTATTATGTATATTAATTCATACCAAATAGTTAATTCATATGATGATATTATTTATGATGAAATTATTTGTTTCCGGACCTTCTGCCACATGTTTTATAATCTTAATGTGCTTACTCCATAAGCCACATCTCCACTTCTCAATTTTTAGTTGCATTCTTGCTCAAGAGGCACAAATAAGGATGTTCATTTCAGAAATGATTGGACTGGAAAAAAATGTTAGTCAGATTCTAAATGGTCGGTAATAGAGATCTGGTTAAATAAATGTTACGCATAATGTAATAAGAAGGACACTCTCACACATAACAACTATAAACTGTAGACAAAATACAAAAACTACCCAAGGGCTCTAGAGCGTGAACAATAGTTAGCAAATTTGGGGAAGAAGTCAAAACTTAAAGAAAGAGACCAACATGTGTAAGTTTCTGATTTTTGTGGCTCTGCCACATGGTGAGCAACAGTCAGGGACCAGAGACAGAGCCTGTAGTTTAAACACTGGTGTTTACCTGTTTACCTGGATGGCCATTTTTAACAGCAGGTCATAGATTTCTGCCATGCTTTAATAATTTGTGCAAAGGTGCAAATTATTGATGACTGATTTTAATCTTTGAAAACTTAATGAACTTAAATTTCCCTTGGAGGGAACAAAAACAGCATAGTAGAAGCACACAAAAATCTTCAGTAGTTTCATGTCCTCTTAGAAGCCATTCATAATCTACAGGTTAAAAAAAATCTCTGCTATAGGCTAGATTCCCTTCATGATAGAGACCAACATAGGATTGGTAGAGCAAGTAATATTATGAATTTTTAAAATTCAGGATAAGAAATATCTTTAAGGATGGGGATCCTCTGAAAACTTAACCTGAAATAAATGTAAAATTTTGTAGTTAAGTCTAAATAATTAATTGCAAGTATACAGAATGACAAAGGTATGATACAGTAGCCTCATAAACAGAAAAAAGATATGAAAGCTTATTGATAATATGCTCCATTATATGCCATAAATATTATGTGCTTCCCAGAGAAACGAATGTGATCTTCTGTTACTTTAATGGAGTATCGGTTTCTAGAACTGCACTGCACAATATGGCAGCCCCTAGCCATATGTGGCTATTTAAATTAAATTTACTTTTTAAAACAGCTCAAAAATAAAGTGCTTCAGTTGCATTAGCCACATGTCAGGTACTGAATAGTCAGTCACACATAGTTAGGTAGCTGTTGCACTGGACAGCATAGATAGAGAACATTTCTGTGATTGCAAAAAGTTCCGTTGGACAGCATTGTTGGGAACAAGGGAGGTTAAGAGTCATGCTGTGCTCTGCATTGGACAGAACACACCTGGCATCGTAGACACATGCTGTTTGCTGCCCAGAATCGATTGCTCTCTTTTCTTGGTAAGAGAATGCTGAGTTTCCTATGGGAGAACATGCTGTTCCCATTCTCAGTCACCTGATTTGGGAGGGATTGGTGCCTCCCAATCAAGGAGGGGACCCTCATGACTCCCTGTGGGCAGTGTGGTGTAAAGAGGGAAAATACAGAACTATAGCAGGTCTTTTGGTCACATAAGGGGAGAGTGTGGACCTGCTGGGCAGCCACTTTAGGATGAAGACATCACTATAGGATATCCAACAGAGGGAAAGTGCATACTATGGGAATATTTAACCTCTGGATCTCACTTCATCTGAAGCCTACCCTTCTTCCTCCTGATTACATGAATTCATAACCTCCCTTCAGTGTTCAAGTCACTGAAGTTGGGTTTCCTATCCCTAGATGATACCTAAATGAGCTCCCTGATAAATTGAGTTCAGCTGCTTGTGTTTCTGTTTGGACAATGATACAGCACAATGGAATGTTTTCATAGGAGAAAGACCAGGAGGGCGAAAGAAGTTCAAGGAAATATCCCTCTTCTATTCCCATGGCCAAATTAAGTCTTTATTCCCAGGCCAGCCCCAAGTGGCTGATGTGACCATTTTGACATTTCATAAATTCCCTTGGGAAGAAGGATTCTAAAAGCTTCCAGTCTTAATTTAAAGTAGTATGGTAGAGGTAATAAGACCATCTGATGAAGTCACTGAATCCACAAATCTCTCTGTATTGCTAGGACAAAAGATAAGAGAGCAAATCATGTAAAATTACTTTCCTTTTAAATATAAGTGACATTCATACCGGCACAGGGCTGCATTTTAATAACTGTACTACTGCAAAATGTGTCACTTTAGTTGCATGATATTATAAAAGAAAACCAGTGGATATTATTTTTGTGTCATTTTCTAATCCAGTGCATTTTTATAAAATTCTACAGATTGAGTTAAAATTTTAAAGGAGTATATATAATGAAATTTGAAATATTCTTTGAGGGTAGTTCTTCTGAAAGGTTGATGGAAGCATCCAATAAAGGACTGCAGAGGATTGTTTTCAGAGGCTTGAGGAAGATGGCAGAAAGACATTCTATGTATTCTCAAAACTGTTTTTAAACTCCTATTTTATGGCTGAATTAACTAAGATGTTCATTTGTTCCCTGCCACACACGCATGGAAACGAGAAAGTGTAGATTCTTCAGAGTTTACAAGTTCTAATACAGAAGTCCACAGCCTTGTCTGCACAATAGAATCACCCGGGGGCGGGGCGCTTTAAAAATATGAATGTTATTGAACATAATTACAACATGATCCAGCAATTCCATTGCTAAGTATACACCCCAAAGAATTGAAAGCAGGGACTCTAATAGAATCATGTTCTTCTATGTTTATAGCAGTACTATTTACAACAGCCAAAAAGAATAAATAACTCAAATGTCCATAGAAGGATGAATGGATAAACAAAATGTAGTATATACCTACAATGGAATTTTATTCATTAAAGAGGAAGAAAATACTGACACATGCTATACCATGGATGAACATTAAAAATATTATGCTAAGTGAAATAAACTAGACAACAAGAAGACAAATATTGTGTGATTCCACTTATGTGAGCTACCTAGAATGGACAAATTTATGGACAGAAAATAGAACAGTGGTTACCAGAGGCGGGGGTAGGGAAGAATGGGGAGCTATTGTTTAATGGGTGCAGAGTTTATATTCGGAATCATGAAAAAAACTTCTGAAGATGCATGGTGGTGATGGTTGCACAATATGAATGTATTTAATTTACAGAATTATATATTCAAAATGGTTAAAATGCCGAATTTTATGTTGTATGTATTTTACCATATTAAGAAAAATGTGGATGCCAGAGTTCCACCCCTAGGATCCTTATACAGTTGTTTTGGGGTACAGTCTAAATATTGGAACTGTAAAGGCCACCTGGGTGTTTTTAATGTGCAGCCTTATGCCTCAGGTCCGAAAGGTGACATAAAAAAGTGAAAACAGCTCAGGTGAGGTCTGTGAAGACATGCGAAGAACATGAACTGTCTAAAGGGGGCAGCTGCCACCACTTGTCCCTGGTTGATGACTGCCCTGAGGGAATACAGGTCTCAGAGTGGGTACATCTTCTGAATTGTTTAAAGAGGCATGTATCTGGAGGGTAAAGAAACCTAATTCTTAAATGATCGTAACTTACTGAAACTTAAAAATAACACCCAATGACAAAATAAAATATGTCTGAGAGCTGCGTGTTCTCTAGGCCATAGGATATCAACCATCTCAGTTTGCCTGGGATTGTTCCCAGGCAACTAAAAAGTTGCCAAAGCACTGGTAAATCATTTGGGAAATCACTCTGTCCCAGGGAAACCACTATGGTTGGCCACCCTAGTGGGCTACCTTTTTTCTTTTTCTTTTTTTTGGTCTGAAGAGGCAGAACAACACACGTTTCTTTGATTCCCTTCCATGGTCCCAGACTGGTGACAGTGCAAGGTGGGGGCTTGACAGTGCAAGGTGGGGGCTTGAAAGTGTTTTACCTCCTATAACATTGGTCAGCAGTCCCCTCACCATAAGCCATTCCAAATAAACATTCATTCTAAGTAAAAACAGCAATCTTGCTAAGCAAACCCAGCCTTAAGACAAATCTCATTCCATTCCTCTTGGTTAGGTTTGTGCTTTTAGACCCTGCCTATAGAAAACTTGGAGCCACTATGGCATAGACAGCTACGTAAGGAGCAATTCTGGGAAGGGAAGAAAACCCCACAGTCATGGCTGTGGCTTCTCATTCTTCTTTCTTATAAATGATGTCCTAGAAATGTGAAGCAAATAAGTGGTACTTATTCTAGAACAGTCCCTGGATGTTGTTTAAGGCCTCTCATTGGTCAGGTTTCTGTCAATCTTTGCAGCTCTGACATTTTTTTTACACCTGTGGTCAATTGTTCTGGTTGGACATCTTGGTGGGTAATTGATTATTAACATAAGTGGCAGTCTTTAGGGTTATACACAAGTATTCTGGTTGCAGTCTCTCTTTCTGGTGACATGAAGAGATACTTTCTTACTCTCTTGACGGTGGCTGTGTGATCTGCTTTGGCCAACAAAATGTGAACGGAAGTGATGTGTGTCACTTTCGTCTGAGGCATTTAGCTGCTGGTGCTCAGCACCAACCTTCTTTTTTTATCTGTCTTGGCAGTTAAGGAAATGTTTGTCAAGATGATGTCTTCACTAGCCTGGGTCCCTGAGTGACCACCCATGTTGGAAATGTAGTGAGCACAAGAAATAATTCTTTGTTGTATTAAACCATGGAGATAAGGGACTATTTGTTACTGCAGCATAATCTAATCACCTTAACTGACAAGGTAGAGAAATCACATATGTGAATCATGTGATTTGGTTCACATCCAGAGCAATAGTCGATGCATAGCATACTATATGAAAATACTTTCCTAAAATTTAAAATTTATGTTGACTTTTCCTACCAAATGTCTAGATAAGGAATAAACCTCAACTCTAACTACTTCTTGTTCCTGTTCCTCTCTAGTCTACTGTTGTCCGATAGAACATTCTGTGATGGTAGAAATATTCTATATTGGTGCTGTCCAATACAGTGGCCATTAGCCACATGTGGCTAATCTATGTAAGTTTGAAATATGGCTAGTGCAACTGAGAAGATGAATTTTAAATTTTATTTAATTTTGGTTGATTTAAATTTAAATCACCTTGTGGGCCTATTAGCTGTTATATTGGGCAGCATAGCTCCAGACAATCTAGTTCTTGCCATGTCAGAAAGCCCCTCGCTCCTAGAACTTTTTCCCTCCATGACTCTGTGCCCGTTGCTTCCTAAGCTGAAACACTTCTTCATTGAATCTGTCTTTATCTTAGGGTCATGTCAATTGTAATTTTTGACCTGGAACAGAATGATCCTCCCCTGCGGTTCCATGCAATGCTTTATTTGTGTGTCTGGTGTGGTAATGACTTCCCTCTGTCTTTTGAGTTAGGTGGGAATATCTATCTTTTCCACCCCTACCTTTGTATATATCCTATGGGCAATAGCCTTGTTATTTATTTGTGTATATCTCATAGGCCTTGTTCCTGGTAGGTGCTCAATCAAGAATCAGGAAACCTCATATTCATTTAAAAATGGGTCCTCAGACAACCCCATAAGTGAGCCTTAAGTTTAGCACCAAGTTCCAAGGATTATTTCAAGTGGAAATGCATTTATGAGATAATGCCTGGGAAATGTTTGCTGGCCCAAGACTCTTGTTTGTCCTGGGTTGCGAAAAATGAAAAATCAACCTTTATGAGTAGTAACTTTATCACATGGAAGGGAAAACACAGGTGTCCCTTTTGTACACTCAGTGGGGTCACTAAAATTTGGGTGGTAAGCTTTAAAACTGAGTCATCACATTTCCCCAGTCCCTTAGTGGCATGGGAAAGGCTAGTGAGGCCTAGCAATAATAGGTCAGCTGTGGGGAGAGTGAGAACACCACCCCATGCTTTGGGGCAGGGTATCCAGGATGTGTTTCCTGGCCTTCACTGAGTAGCAGAAGGAAGAGGGTGAGATTTGGAGTGAGCTGGACTTTGGATGGACATGCTCATGTCCTGCTCATGTCATAGTCAAGAGTCTTTCATCTGAAGGAACCAGAAACCATCTCAAGCCAATGCAAAAAAAGGATTCCAGAATATCTTGTGAATACAATCACAGCTGGACTGCCTACGTTTTATTTCAAGAGTAGCACAAAACAATTGAGGGATTTTTAGGTAAAAGTCTAGCATGTAAAAGTAAGCTTGAGAGCCTTGTATTTTTTCAAGCCATTCCCCCTCTTTGACTGGCATTCAGGGCCCTGCTCAACCAGGCCTCAGACCCTAGCCTTTCTTTCTAATACAACCCATGACACAGCCTCACAGGACTCAAACACGGGACCATCCACACCTCCATGCTTTCACTTCTCTGTTCCATGCCTGGAGTATCGTTTCCTTCCTCAGGAATTATCTTACTCTTTTTTTTTTCTTTTTGGAGCCACTATCTATTTTCAGAATTCTTTTATCATTCCAAACTCTGTACCAATCCAATAATAACTCCTATGTTCTCTTCCTACACAGCCTCTGGTAACCTTTATTATAATTTATGTGTGTATGCATTTGCCTGTTCTAGGGACCTCGTATAAATGGAATCATACAATATTTGTTTTTTGTGTCTGGCTTAGTTTACTCAGCATAATGTTTTTCAAGGTTCATCCATTTCTTAGCACACATCAAAATTTCATTTCTTTTTATGGCTGAATAACATTCCATTAATGTATATACCACATTTTGTTTGCCCATTTTTGAATTGGTTGTTCATTTTTTTGTTGAGTTATAGGAGTTTTTAAAATACTCTGAAATTCAATCTCCTATCAAATGTATGCTTTTCAAATGTTTCCTCCCATTCTATGTGTTGCCTTTTCATTGTCTTGATAGTGTACTTTCATGCACAAATGTTTTTAATTTTGATAAAGCCTAATTTATTTATTCTCTTTTGTTGTCTGTGCTTTTGTTTTCATATCCAAGAAATCCCGGTCAAATCCAATGTCATTATTTTCCTCTATGCTTTCTTCTAACGGTTTTAGAGTTTTAACTCTTTTGTTTAGGTCTTTGATGCATTTTGAGTTAATTTTTGTATATGGTGTGAGGTAAGGGTTTACCTTTATTCTTTTGCATATGGATATCTAGTTTTCCCAGAACCGTTTGTTGAAAAGACTATCCTTGCTCTCATTTAATGGTCTTGGCACCTTTGTCAATTGACCATATATGTAATTAATTGGCCATATATATAAGAGTCTATTTAAAAATAACATGTTTGTTATTTTTATCTGACACCTTAAATGCTATAATAGCCTATTAAGAGGTAAACAACATTTACTCATAATCAACTACTCAGATTAACATTTTGGTGGTTTTTCTTTTTTTTCTTAAATACATAACAAAATGCAGATAATAATTGCATCTATTCATCAGGTAGGTATAAATAGAAGATAAAATAGAAAAAAGTGTCTGCCTTATATTTTGTTTATGGTTTGTGTAATCAAATTCAATTGTGCTATAAAATATTTAGTATATACGTATTTCACTCAGCATTACACCCTGGGCATTTTTCATGTGATTACAGATTCTTGGAAACTGACACCATTGTTTAAGGCATTCATCAATATCACACTTCTGAGAAACTTTCTCAGTTCTCCCTGACCCCAGGTAGAATCTGGCTATATTCTACACTCCTAGTGCTCTTGGATACATTCTGTCCTCCCTTGTAATGGCACTGCCATATATAGAGTGCATAGCAAGTGCATAGTAAATGTTTGCTGATTTAAAGATCATGCCTCACATAGATCTTGTGTTTAGTAAATGGTTAGCTTGGACATGTGACATTCCTCCAGCCCCTTTTTCTTTTTTAATATTATATCTCTGCACAGCAGTAAGATCTTGGGATACATCTGACAAGTTCTGGCTGCCCAGCAAGCATTATGGAAACCAATGTGGTGCATGTGGCCCAGGCATGATTCCCAAAGCCCTCAGTGACCCCAGAACATGGAAGAAGCCTGCTTCAAGATACCCACTCAATTCTATTCCATTTTGCTGCCAGGAAGATCCACAGGCACACTATTCACAGCAAGGCCAAAATGCAATAGTAATTCTTTTAAACAGATGTTAGCTGACCACATTCTTGGTACCTCTTGCTTTGAGGGCACCTGCAGCCTAGGGAGTAATGCTGTCCCCATGCATTAGGGCAGCCTGATATTATGCAACCCTCCTTGGCTTCTTAGGGAGAGGAAAGAGCAAATGCATCCCTCAGGTAGCTCCAATTGTTTCCATTTCTTTTCTCTCTCTACACCTTTACACCAATCCCAAGAGGTGAGAACGGATGCAGAGCTCCTTGACTCTGGCTACACCACTTACTCACAAAGATTATGAAAAATCATAAAAATGTCAACTTCTGTATTTCAATTCTGTAAACTATACATGCAGTAGTCTCTGCACTTAGTTCCCATCATTACAGCTTGAGCGAGAAGGCTTCAGCTTTATGCTTGAATAACAAATAGAATGGTACCCGCCCCTTTGACAGGTGGTCTGTGAAGCGCGAATGTTTCTCCAGCCTGCTTACCAGAAACAAGTCCCAGGCTGTGTCTGAAAAATATTTTGGCGCTGTCATTGCCTTAGACATTGGCATGGACAAGGTCCTTTGAGGAAAGTTATCTGGTCAAACTGAGAAATATCAGTGGCAGAATGACAGAAGGCCTAGAAAATATGTGATTTGGTTGTATTTCTACAAGTAAGTAATGCTAAAGGAAAATGATGGCAGCTAACACATACTGAGCTTCAACTCGGTGTCAGGCACTTAGCTGAATGTTCTTTGCACTTTACAGTATTTTATCTTCATGACACTGTGATCATTTTACAATTGAAGAAATAGAGGATCAAGTGTTTGTTGAAGGTTGCAGAGCTAGTGAATAGTGATTTGAAAATTGGCAATCTATCACCAGAACCTATGCTCTTTTTCTCATACCATCTTTCCTCTTGCTAATCTCTTTTTAAGCTCCTGAATTTATAGATAATATATTATATATGAATATATGTAATTTATAATATACATATTATATATATATATCACTTCAAAGTTAGAGATACAAGCTGCTTTAATAGTTAGAACTATCTTTGGATGGGCATTTCTGCAAGAATTTTTTTTGTAACCTAAGAAAGAAATGTTAATAATACTGAGACCTCATAGTTCATAGTTCGTAGAGACCCTTGGTTCACATGATAAATCACCTCTGAAATGGCTTTGGGGATGAAACTCATGAAGCCTGTCTACTACTTTGCAGGGAAAAACTCAGGGTCACTTTTTGAGCAAACTCTTTCACTGGGCATACTCAACCAGGAGAAACATTACCCCAGAGAGACAAATAATCATCCCATTCTTGAGGAAGTCTGGACTGTTTTTCTAGCACACATGGACAACTCATAATTATTCTTAAGTAACCCTGAGAATTTTAACATGAATTGAGTTGTGTGTTTCTTGTTAAATGGATCATAAGGTGTAAACTCTCCATCCTCATGAGGGGGAATCAAGCAGGGCTGAAGGATTATCAATTATTAGTCAAGTATGTGGCAGAACTTATCCCTACCATGAATGGGTGGTTGGGATAAATGAACCTAAAGTGCTATTTTGTTTCTAGGATCATAGACATTAGGATTTTACAGGTTTCCTTTTCAATTTCTGCCCAGTTTGCTTTCTCAGGGATGTTCCTTCCCACCATCCAGGAAGGAATGGAGACAAGCTCCCAGAACTCATGCTGGTCCAGCTTGACTCTATCCTTAGCCACAGATGACTATACCAGAAGAGGTTACAGATCTACAGTGAGTCAATCAACCTCCCTTCCTTGGGAATTTGGAATCGCGACGAAGAAAAGCAAATCTGGGCTGACCTTTGAAACAGAAAATTTAAACAAGAGAATACTGTGTTCCCCATGTAGAACTGGGTTAAGAAGCTAGTGCATGAAGTGAGAGAAGCAAAGATGAAGAGTGGTGAGAAAACACTGCCTGTGTACTGATGACCTCTGATTTCCAGTTCTCATTCTTTCTGTGGACTTTGGGTTCTATGACACACTCCTGTATCTTTGCAATGAATACCCCTAACTAATGGGTGTGTGTTACCTGTAACCAACAAGAAGAGGCTCAGCTAAGAAAGAGATGAATAGGGATCGGCCTTTTTTTTTTTTTTTTTCAATATTGGTGGAACAAGAAGCATTTCCTGACTTGCAAGGCCACAGCGGAGCTTCAACTCGCAGGCTGGAGTGGGTCCAACCCCACTTCTCCATGTATTTCATCTTTGCTGCTTGTGAGTCCGTGAACGCTCAGGGGATTCCATTTCTGTGTTAGAGAAGTGGTATGAGTGCAAGGGAGATTTACGGGGTTTCATCTGATTTAGCTGTAGCTTAGAGGGTTTAGTAAAAAAGAAGGGTACAAGTGAAGGAAAGGCTAGCCAAGAAAGTAAGCTCAGAAAACTATGATTTAGATGAAATCCAACCATTACATCTCAGAATTCAGCCCAAGTCTCACTCTCTTTAGGTGTGTGAGACGTTATGTTGTCATTTCCATAGAAGTTCATAGAGACCCTTGGTTCACATGATAAATCACCTCTGAAAATGGCTTTGGGAGTGAAACTCATGAAGCCTGTCTACTACTTCGCAGGGAAAAACTTGGGGTTACTTTTTGAGCAAACTCTTTCACTGGGCATACTTAACCAGGAGAAACATTACCCCAGAGAGACAAATAATCTTCCCATTCTTGAGGAAGTCTGGACTGTTTTTCTAGCACACATGGACAACTCATAATTATTCTTAAGTAACCCTGAGAATTTTAACATGAATTGAGTTATGTGTTTCTTGTTAAATGGATCAAATTTCAACAAAGCCCGGGAAACATCTTGAAAATCACATGAATGCAATTTCCAAAGAAAACAATCCAAGAATTACTGCCAAAAAGTTTTATTTCCACTAGGAAGGAAAAGAAGAGTTTCATTTTGCCCCCCACACAGACTGTATGTTCAATCTGTGGTCTGCAGTGGAAAATTCTCCTGATTTTGCTCAATTCAGGGGAGGAGAGAAATGAAGGAGGCTATTGTTATTTGAGTGAGTGATAAAACTGTCTTTCTTTCTCTAGTATTAATATGTTATTAGCATTTTCAATTTGATTCTACAAATATTGAGTTTTACTGGTGTGTGTGGTACAATGGGAAGCAGGACAAAAAGCTTAACACGCGATGACTGTCTCATGGGCTTTACAAATTAGACCTACAAGTAGGGCACTGCCAGCCCACACGGAGTCCTTGTGTAAATTAGAAAAAGATGACCCTTCCAGGCAGATGCAGCCTTGTGGGTAACCAGTGAGCAACCAAGGGACATTTGTGCAAATTAGAAAAAGCACCTTCTTCCTCTGGTGGGCACAATCTTGCACCAGAGTGAACATCTTGATTTTATCCTCCCTCCCTGTTGACAAGGTGCTTTTATGCAGGATACAACTTGCCCATGTGACTGCAACAGGACATATAAAGGGATCATCTGAGAATTACTCATGGTCAAAATGGAAACAATGCAACCACCATTCTCAAACTTCAGTGAGTAGAAGAATCATGGCAGCTTGCTAAAATGCCCGAGTCTCATCTCAGATATTCTGATTCAGGATGACTGAGGTAAGGTCCAGAGATATGCATTTGTAATGTGTTCACCTAGGTGTTTTTGATGCAGGTAATCCAAAAACAACACTTTGAGAAGTCAAGGTATGAGAAGCAAAGGCTGTGAGTCATTTGGAAAATGACATCAAGGCTGGCTGAACTTATTGGAGGAGGCCTACAGAAGATGGGGAATTTTAGTTAAATAATAAATGAATAGTAATTTCTACAACTTTTGCCTTAGTCAAAAAATGTTTTTGTTCTCCAAAATGGATGAGAAAAGCTCAGATAGGCTTATTTGCAATTGTCTAGAAAAAAAAAATGACAACTGAAAGAAAATTTTTCTAAGATGAATCCCTAAAATGAGTGTTGTGTGGAGGACTGAAGCCTTTATAGAATTACTGCTAACTTCTGCTTTTGGATAAAAAAAAAAAAAAATAAAGAATCCCTACGTTAGCTGGGACAATGCAAACACTGGCAATGGCACCAAGACACCCCAGAGATATACCTCTGTAACTATCTTCCTGTCTGCTTCCCAGAATGTTCTTTCAGCAGCACCCCTGACTCTCCAAGGTGCCTCTGATAATCCCAGTGCATGCTTAATAGCAGAAAACAACCCTGGCTTCTGGCATGACAAGGTTTTTTTCTGGAAATGGGACTGTGGTACACATGGAATGGGGGTTTCCATTACAAATGTTCATAGTGTGTTTGAGGCCTTCAGCCTAGAGCTTTCTACTTTTCTAAAAAAAAATAATATTCCACAATAATAAGTAAACTATAATCCAAAGCCGTCTCTGGCACTGAAAACTTTGTTTCATTCTTCCCATAGAAATAGCTACCTTTTGGTTGCTTATATGATTTGGGAAGTGGAGTCTTCTCAAATGCAAAGATAAAATGTTAATCCAGTAGTGCCTCTCCATTACTATTGCATCTCATCTTTGCATTTTGTCTGTAGAGGCAATAGTTTTATCTATAAAAACCACAATTTGAGGCCAGGTGCGGTGGCTCATACTTATAATTCCAACACTTTGGGAGGCTGAGGCAGGTGGGTCACCTGAGGTCAGGACTTCAAGACCAACCTGGCCAACATGGTGAAACCCTGTCTCTACTAAGGATACTAAATTAGCCATGATGGCAGGCACCTGTAATCCCAGCCACTTGGGAGGCTGAGGCAGGAGAATTGCTTGATCCCAGAAGGTGGAGGTTGCAGTGGGCCGGGATCGTGCCATTGGACTATAGCCTGGGCGACAAGAGTGAAACTGCATCTCAAAAAATACGTAAATGAAAATAAAAACCACATTTGAGAAAGCCCAGAATGAGAAAAGTGGGAAGGGAGAGGTGCAGTAGCAAGCCATGGTATAGCAATCCGCATGACCTAGCCATCCTGAGGCCGGGGAATAACCGCTGAAAAGCATTGCATCTGTTCATCAGTCATTGTAAGCAAGTGAGGTCCTTCACCTGTGTAAAGCCTTGAGCCGCAGAACATTTTTTGTTGGTTTGAGTCACCCTAGCACAAAAGGTAACACAAAAGTAGTAAGTTACCCCATTTGAAGTGATGGTGGACTTTTCTACTCTCTTTTTCATAAATCAAGGATATCATCCTATTAACAATCGTTCTGTTTTTCTTTCTTTTGGTCAACTTCATTGATTTGTCAATGCTTCCTATTGGAGACCAAAACTGAGCAGATAGTTTGTATGAAAAAGGCCAATGAGACTCTTCCTTCATATTGGAAAGAACTGCTTCCCTCTTCTTGCCAATTTTCCCCAGGCCGTTTATGTGAATTCAATTAGCAAGGTATTCCCTGGTAGGCAAATGATTTATTAAGGTAAACAAATATTTTAAAGTAGTAATTCTGATTCCATTTCAATTCGACATCCAGTATTGAGTCATTTTATGAACCTAGAACTGTTTAAAGGGATGGAGAAACAGTGTAGGATGTGCAGTGGTTAAGAGCACAGGGTCAGACAGGCAGATCTGGGTTTGATTTCCAGGTTGGGAAATTATTGCTTGTGTATCCTCAATAAAATTTTTTTGCCTCATTGGTTTCTGTAGAACCAAGAGAAGAAGATCTAACCCCATAGAGTTGTTTAGGACTTAAAATGTTAAGTGCAGTAGCACAATGATTAATATCTAACGAGCATCCAATATACAGTAAAGAATATATACAAAGATGAAAATCATATAGTTCTGCCTTCATTCACAGACTAATAGTAGGGATCCACAAGCTTTTTCTATGAAGAGTTAGGTAGTAAATATTTTAGTCTTTGCAGGCCATTCAGTCTCTTTCCTAACTACTCAATTCAGCTGTTGTAGGATGGAAATAGCCATAAACATATGTAAATGAATGGGCATGGTTATGTTCTAATAAAATTGTATTTACAAAGACAGGCCATAGGCCAGATTTTGTGACCCCTTGTCTAATAGAACAGCTCATTGCATTAAATTCATTGAAAGTTAGAGCTGGTGCTTGTGCTGCCCTCTCTTTCCTGAAAGAAATGTTTCATAGCCCACTGTTTTCTCAACCTAATTAGAGTTCTCCCTGAATACCTCTTTTACTTTACAAAGGAAATACGTTATGTGTAATGACGCCAGCTTTGATGTTAAATTTTGCTGCTTTAGTGAATGGTGAATTTCTGTTCATATAAGACAATAACTTCATATAAATGTGGGTGACTTGATATCAGTGTCATGTGGAATATGACTCCAGGAAGGAAGCGTAGCTCATGCCAGCAATCAATTATAGCTGCTGAGTCCCCACCTAATCATGACATTTAAGAACTTACCACTCTTTCTTATTAGACTGTTTTGAAAGCATCATCCAGCTGACCAATATATTAGATATCCAATTATGGTTGTACAAATAGTTTTTGAAGAATTCTACTTGGACCATACATTTTTGCAAATGACTGGCATATAATCTAAGTAAACCAAGACAAGGGATCTAATCAATCTCTCCCAGGATCCTGCATGTCCAGAGCCTCCAGCCCAGAATGTCTTTCTGACAGCCTGTGTAATCAGCTCAGTACACAGCTGACTCCACCAAAAACTGGAATCTCTCTGTATCATACCTCAATTAATTTTTGATTGAAATTAGTAAAATTTTAACTCAATCTAACCTAAATGATAAGTGTACTTTATTGGTTCATGAACATGAAAAGTCCAGAGTAAGGACTTGCTTCAGGTGAGGACTGATCCAGCAGCTCAAATCATGCCACCAGAGTTCCTGTTTCTCTCTGTCTTTCTGGTCTACCTTCTACTGTGACATCTTAATCCTAAAACTGGATCTTTTCATATTGAAAACATTTCTGCCAGCAGCTTCTGGTGTATCTGTTTCCTTAGTCACATGCTACAGAAATGGGAATATATTTTTGTCCCAGTGTTCTCAGAAAAATCCAGAGAATTGTTCTTAGACCAGCTCAGGTTATTTGCTTAACCTGAACTAATCATGGTGGCCAGGCAGATGGGGTGCTCAGGTAGGCTTAGTCATAATCACATCTTCTAATGCTGGAGGTCAGAATGGAGTTGATTCTTTAGGGAAATTGAAGCTGTTGGAATGGGGAGGAGAGGAAATGTTACATAAGGCGACAACCAACACAGGACCAGTGAAGGTCCTCTGCATTCGCTAGTGAGCAATTTGTGCAGGTTGTATGGCACAGCAAAATTAAGAATTCTTCCTGTACCCATACAAGTCACCTCTGTTCCCCACCTGCCACCAGAGGATGTGCTGCCTCCTTGCCTTAGAAAGCTTGCAGAGAGCTAGACCCAGCATGCCTACATCCCTTATGCTCTTGGCTACTTCCAGACATGTTAGCTCTTCTGTCATTTGTCCTTTCATGTGCTCTCGTTCCATGCTTTACACCTGGCCAAACACCTTTCTTTTCTAATCCTTCCCACTATGCCCTCCAAAACTTCCACTGGATGAGTAACATACTGCCCTCCCTCCTCAACCTCTTCACATACTCAACCCCAGCCTCTTCATGAGTCCTTCTCACACCTTTGAGCTGAAACTGGCATCTCTGAAATTCTAGATGTGTATGTCTATATCCAAATATTTGTTCAAACTTTCCACTTGATGGTCCTAGAGACACCTACCACCCACCATCTTACAGATGAAATATTTACCTTCCTCAGACTCACTCCACTGCTGTGCTGACTTCAGTCAAAGTTCTCCATATATACACATATATATATATACACATATACATGAGTGTGTGTGTGTGTGTGTGTGTGTGTGTTTATGCACATCACATTTATATTCTGGACATAGATTATTTAATTGAACTCCAAGAAAAACACTAATTGGTAAGATTTTAAAACTATAATACTCTTGATATGCTTAAATTAATACTCATATTAATTACAAGAGCATTAACTTAAGAACATTAAATTCTTATGTCACAGCCAGGCGTGGTGGCTCACGCCTGTAATCCCAGCACTTTGGGAGGCCGAGGTGGGAGGATCACAAGGTCAGGAGATTGAGACCGTCCTGGCTAACACAGTGAAACCCCATCTCTACTAAAAATACAAAAAATAGCCAGGCATGGTGACGGGCACCTGTAGTCCCAGCTACTAGGGAGGCTGAGGCAGGAGAATGGCATAAACCTGGGGAACGGAGCTTGCAGTGAGCCAAGATAGCACCACTGCACCCCAGCCTGGGTGACAGATCGAGACTCCGTCTCAAAAAAAAAATTCTTATGTCATAAGTCAAGAGAGGATATTATCAGTATGTCTCAAGAAGTGATAGCATACATGCTCTGCAGGGTTTTAATAGATATGCTCAGAAGTGCTCCAAGCTAAAAGAGGCTGGGGACACTGGCTTAAACAACAGATTGTTTTGCTGCAGGACTTCTCCAGGCTTTAAATATGCTCATTCACACTGTGACTCTAGAAAACAGGAAAAAGTATGCAGCATTTTTAGACTTTTTTTTTAAACAATGGAACCTTCTCTCCCACTTCATCTACCTCCTCCCCTACACACACACACATACACCCACACACACGCACACACAATTAATTGTCTACAGAATAAACTTTGAGAAATACTTGCACTGGCTTGTCTGGTTCTCTTAAACAAATAGTATTCACCTTCTCCAAAACGTTTCATCCCAGTGATTAATAGTTTACTTCGTGTCTGAGATGAGTTTTACCGTCTTAGAAAGCCACATTCCTCAGATCTTAGAGGGAAATAAAATAAGGAAATTACCATCACATGAAGCAAACAGAAAACAGTTGGAATCATTTCAGCAGACCAGAGAAGAGGGTAGCAGACACTGTTGATACTACCCACCATCCATTCCTCCTTCCTTTTTCTTAGAGGAACCCTGACTTTGTTCAGGTATCAACCTCTCCCCCATGAAGACTTGTGCCTTGAAAAACTTGACCCCATCTCCAGCCCCAGAAGTGGGCCTGATTGGGTTACTAATAATCTCATTCCCCTTGTCTGTGATTAGTTCAGCAAGGGCACATGACCCAGTCCTGGTCAACATGTAAGAAGTCTGATTACCTTGAAGCCACCATGCTGTGAGGAAGCCCAAGATACACAGAGAGGTCATGTGTAGGGTCTCTGGGCATCAGTCCTAGCTGAAGGTCAGCCTTCACGTCATGCCAGCCTAGGCCTTGACATGTGAATGAGGAAGCTTCCAGATGATTTCAGCCCTAAGTTATTTTAGTGACCCTCAGCTGAATTATCCCAGCCTGCTGAGGTCCTGGACATTACAAAACAGAGATAAATCATCTCCACCATGTCTGGCCTGAATTCCTGACCCACGATATTTGCAAGCACAGTAAAATAGTGGTTGCTTTATGCCAGTCAGTTTTGGGGTAGTTTGTTATACAGCTATAAATAACTAGGACACCTGTCATTCTTAGTTTGGTTTCATAACTTAGTGGCTCATGGCCTAGGCCTCCTTTTTAAAACAAAAACAAAATTAAATAATTTTGAGAAGAGTTTAGATATTTTGTGATTCACCCTTTCCAACTCTGATGCAATTGGATACTCCCTGGTTGGAGATGGTGTTTGATATTTTTTCAGTTCAGTTTCCTCCATCTAGAATTCTGATATAGACATATAGATGCAGCTGTTGATACTCTGTATCTGAAAACTGATAGAATGTTCTGAAATTTAATTCCATTCTATTTTCTGTATATCTTTCTTGAGAGGTTTTAATTGTTAGGCAAATTTTAAACCAATTCTGTATAGAATGTATAACTAATTAAAGTCAAAGTAACTCTCGCACTTGAGTTTTGTATTTCATTGCCTTTGCCCTCCTACACTGTAGGAAACATTGAATAGCGCCAGGCTTTTGAGCATCTGGAAATCCTATACAATTCAGGCTGTGAATAAAAATATTCTACCATTTCCTGGCCATTTTGTTCTGTTAAATACCAAAATTGGGTTTATTCCTTTGTAAATGATGAAGAGGGGGCAGAAATGAATGTATATTTCTAAAAACATTTTTATGTTTTAGAAATGACCATACTGTTTCATAAAATAGCTCCACAAATTAAGTAATTTTGAAAATCTGTTTCTGACTAAAACCCAGTTCTAAAAATGAAAGCATTCATTGATTAATTCATGCATTCATTCAATAACTATTTATTGAGTATCCATTATGTGCTAACCATTATGTTGGGTAATGGGAATTCAGAGGTGAACAAACCCAAAGATTTCTCTTGGAGGAATTCTAAAGAGACATAGAAAATGTTTTCCTGGTGATTACCCTCCCTGAGCTTGGTTTCAGTCCCACTTCTGCAACAGCTGCAGAAGGTCTCAGAAGCACATTTGCAATATCTCCAGCTACTTTGTCACTGTTGGCAATAGGCAGGAAGAATCTTAGGTGGAGCTGTTCTTTTGCTAAATTAAACAATGATCAAAACTCTGCTCATTTTTTCCATCACTAAATGTCATCTAATTTCCCCTGGCTGTTAAGACAGTATGTGTGTGTGTGTGTGTGTGTGTGTGTGTGTGTCTGTGTGACAAATGCATAAAGGATCATACACACAGAAAAAAAAGCAAGTAAGAAAATATACTGGGTGAGGCATAATTTACCACACAGTTAAAAAACAATGTGTACTCAGCCCATAAAAGATATTTGCTACTTTAAGATGTTGCAATGGACATCTGTTGATTTGCCTGACCACCATATGTTACTTTTCCTAGTAACATCACCCTGTTTTTGTGTACAGAAACCAATTCTCACTCTGTGTTTTGAGTGTGGTGAACCCTACACCCCAGTTCTAGGAGTAGCCATGTGACATAAGCTGCCAATCACCATAGGACAATCCTCAGGCCACTATGATTGGCTTAGTGGCAACGACATGACTCAAGCTAGTCCAATGAGAGCTTACTCCAAGATCCTAAAACAGCCTGAATAGAGACACCTGGTCTTCCCAAGTTGCTCTGGGATTGTGACAGGATATGATGTATCCTTGGGGTTCCTGGCTGCCATCTTGCTATTACATGGGAAGATTTATCCAGAAAATGGAGCCAACTCAGGAGAAGGTAGATCTGAGATAAAGAGAGAAAATCACATCCCACAATATTTAAGCCATTTTGCCCAGACTGAAAATTTCTTAACATTTCTTTTTTTGCTGTTTTTTTTAATTAGCAAACCTGCCAGTTTTAGTAACTTCTGTTTCTCTAGATGTTTGCAAACTAACCAGTGTATATCTAGTACTTAAACATGCACTTTGCTTTAATAAGCTGCCTTTCAAGTCATTAGAGAAGGATTTAGAGGTTAAAGAATGATGTGGTAGGTAATTTATGTTTGAATCAACCTCCTCTTTTATAGACTATGTTAAAAAGTGCCTATAAATATTTCTTCTTGGCATCTTCAGCAATCTTAATGGGTTAAGTGCCCAGCATGTTCTACATGAGGTTCAATTCACAGTGATGTACCTGAGCAGGAATGGACTTCCCTCTTACTTACCATTTCCGTTCTCTTGTTTCCATCACTACCTCAAAGTCTGTCTCCTCTGCAGTTCAGGCAGTGTATCTCTGAGAAGGTCACTAAAATATATGTTCCTGGGCCAGGCGTGGTGGCTGTATCCCAGCACTCTGGGAGGCCAAGGCAGGTGGATCACCTGAGGTCGGGAGTTCAAGACCAGCCTGACCAACATGGAGAAACCCCATCTCTACTAAAAAATACAAAAATTAGCTGGGCATGATGGTGCATGCCTGTAATCCCAGCTACTCGGGAGGCTGAAGCAGGAGAATCACTTGAACTGGGGAGGCAGAGGTTGCGGTGAGCCGAGATGGCGCCATTGCACTCCAGCCTGGGCAACAAGAGCGAAATTCCATCTGTGTGTGTGTGTGTGTGTGTGTGTGTGTGTGTGTGTCTGTCTGTCTGTCTGTCTGTCTGTTCCTGGCCTTAAGCCCTTGCTCCCACTAGGGGCTTAAAGATTCTGATTCCTGTAAACCTAGGTGGGAATCCAGGAATACCCATTTTTTCACAAGCGACCCAATAATCTCACATGAGGTACTCCTTGTTAAGTACTGGTTTAAGGAATTAGAATCCTAAGGGAGAATGGCTGGAGGGATCTTTACGTATAATCTAGTATAGTCTTAACCTCCAATATTAATTTCAGAGGTTGAGACCCAGAAGTGAAAGTAAATGGTGTCAGCACTGGAATGCAAGTCTGTTAAATTTCTCCAAAACCCTTTCTACTGCACTTGTATGGTCTTCACATTCAAACCTGAAACAGAATGCAGTTGTGCTCTCCCCAATAGTCTGAACTCAATATTAAATTTTTAGAAAAAGAAAGAGGATGCAAGAATAATGTGAGACCTCTTAGCTGGTGGATAATGCTATCCTGATGTGGTCTCTGATCAGTTATTTTGCTTATAGGACAGAGAACATCTGTAATGATAACCTGGCTGCAATTTACTGAGAATATAATATGTGCTACGCACTGTACTCATAGATGTATTCTTTCTTTTAAAGTTCAATCGTGCCTAGAAAAGAGGCACTAGCACTGCCTCTGAATGTGAAAAGTGAAGTGAAGTAATTTGCCCCAAATCACTCAGCCAGGATGCAACTGTGATTTCAATCCCAATAGGCACTGGTAGCATGCCTTTCTCCCTCTCCTTTCTCTTTCTTCTCCTTTCTCTCCATCTCCTCCTCCTTCTCACCAAGGACTAGATCCATGACCTCAGCTGGCAAACCTACAAATATGGACGATTTGTCATAAGACAAGAGTGGCTGGCAGTGTACACCATCCCCATCTAGTACTTTAGAATGGAGTGAAAAGCTTTGTCTTTTCCAACAGAGCACATGTTCTAAAATAAAGCCTTGGAAAGTTCAGCTGCCTGGGGCATGTCAGAGATCATTGAGCTTGAATCTCTGGAAGTAAAAGGCAAAGTCTAGGATATACTTAATGATGAGGATGGTAGTGATGATGATGATGATGATGATGATGATAAAAAATAACACCCATTGAGAGCCAGTGATGTACTGGATATTTCTCAGGGTTCTGTATCCATGATCTCTTTTACTCTTCACAACAGTCCTAAGATGTAGGGACCATAATTAATCCCACTGCTTTTATAAATAAACTGAGTCAGCGATAGGTTAAGGAAATGGCCACAGTTCCGAGTAAGTAGTGGAGGTGGGAATCAAATTTAGGGAACTGAGTCTCCTAAACCTGGGTACAATAGGATGACAGCTACATAACAGAACTGAATTACTTGCCTAATCAGGATGAGTAAATCCCTAATTTAGAGTCTTTGGAAGTATCCAGAAGGAACACGTCTCGTGCTTCTTTTGCATTTCTCCTAGTCCTTAAGGACAATATGGATATGGAGAATAATAACAATAATATTGATTACTAACATGTTCTGAGAATGTACTCTCTGTGTTGGATACCTTTAGCCCTTTGAAAGCGTTATGCCATTTAACCCTACAATCATCCCATGAGTTGGTTATTGTTATTAACTCCACTTGCAGATAAAGAGGTTACATAACTTGCCTAATGTTATTGCCCAAGTTGATATCAAAGCCCTTGCTCAGACACACTTACTAAATCATTCAAGAGTGGTACTTTATCTCTTCCAGTCCAAAAGTGCTGGAAGACTCCATGAATCTTTGTAAGACACTGTAAGAGCTTGGTTATCTCCTTACAGAAATAAGCTATCTTAATATGGCCCTCAATGGCTGAGACTCCTTCTGTGATATTGTGTCTGGAGTTGTCATGAACGTTTTTCTGACACCAGAATGCAATGACATGAACCTGAAAGTGATCCATAGATGAGAGGCTAGATAGGGTCCGGCTAGGGCTCAGCTTTGCCCAAAGAGAAGGGAACTTTGTACTGTTTGTATGTTCCCAGAGAGTTCCTGATATTGAGTCCCTTGGACATAACCACATGACTCCCTTTCAGAGACTGGGTTATAATTCCTCAACAAAAAAATTACCAAAAAGTAAAATTTAAAAGCCATCTAGCCACATATACTGCAAATATAATTTTAATAGATTTCTTTCCATTAAGGTTTTATTCTTTTTCTTTCTGTCTGTTCCTGACAATGCAGCTCTCTTCTCTGATTTCCTGTCTGTGGTTTTGAGTTGGGTTAGAGTGTGTGGGCTGAGCACGTAGCCCACAGCGAGCTCCCTCCCAGTGCCATCTGCACACCTTATTTGACACTGAATCATGCATTCTTCTGCCTTAATGTGTCTCTTATATTGCAGCTTGTAGTGTTATTGAAACTTTTGTGCATTTAATTCTTGTCTCCTCAATTAGCTCAAAAGTTCCTTGAAGTCAGGGACTATGATGTATACTTCTTTGCAGCCTCCATAATGGTGTTAAGGAAATAGCCGTTGATACATGTTGAAGGAAGTCTCTGGTATGCTGGCTGAGTTCTGCCCCATGACTTTCACATTGTGGTGGCTTCAGATCTTTATAAACTTGAAGTGATCTCTTTGTTCAAAGCAAGGTGATAGGACCGAGGAAGGCACAGTAAGGAGTGATGGGTAAGGATCCAAATGCTTTGGTTTGTAGCCCAGCTTCATCACTCATTAACTGTCTAACTTCAGCAAAGTTTTAAACCTCTTCCTAGCTTAGTTTTTCTTACCTACATTCTAAAGTTGACTGAAGAATTGAGTAAATTAACACATGTAAATTGCTTAGAAGAGGCCCTGGTAAATGCTCAATAAATGATAGATATTGTTACTCTCATGACTATGATCAATGCCCTTCAGCCAAAGACCACCAGGAAAATACTGTTGTTGAACAAGTTGGGTTTATTACTAATTTCAGTGAGAGAGAATGCACACCATGAGGAACTATAAGTCATCTCAGTAAGAGAGTGTTAGAAAGGACTTGTGGGACACAAGCTTGCATTAGGTGATTTGGGAGAGAGTTTAAGGAAGCAGTTTTCTTCTGAATTGGTGCTGTCAGGAAGTAGGAATAATCCTATGATTCAGTATCTAAAGAAATCTTATTTAGAGGGAGAGACTAGATGAAGGTTGAGTATCTAAATCAGTCTTATATAGAAGAAGGGAATGCCAGAACAGTTCTAAGGCTGTAATTGATTAAGAAGTAGCAATCATTCACATTAGCCAGGAAGGAGGGGAGATTGAGCATTTTTGCAGTTTGAACAATGCTGAAGTTTCTCTGTGTTCAGACAATATTATGGAATGGTCTAGTCTTTGTCTCGCTCCATCATGGTCACAGAGTGACCATGTCTGAGGTTGATGCTCTTTGAAATTGCTTACATTCCAAAAGGGAACATCAAAGCCTAGCCAACAGTACTAGATCAGCTCCTGGATGTCTTGCACAGCTTTTCTGTTTCTTGGTATGACTAATGTAATAGTAATAGCCACCATATTGAACACTTTTTACTTTCCAGACATTGTGCTGAGCAGTTGACCTGCATTAGCTAATACCATTCTCACAACCACCCAGTAACGTGAGTGCCATCATTAACAATCTACAAATGAGGAGACAGGCTGATATGGTTTGGATCTGTGTCCACACTTAAATTTCATGTTGAATTGTAATCCCAGTGTTGGAGGGGGTCTGGTGGGAGGTGACTGGATCATGGGGGTGAATCTTTCATGAATGGTTTAGAACTATCCCTTTGGTGCTGTTCTCATAATAGAGTTCTCATAAGATCTGGTTGTTTAAACATGTCTAGCACCTTCCCCTTCTCTTTGTCCCCCCTGCTCTTGCCATATAAGAGGGCCTACTTCCCCTTTGCCTTCTGCCATGGTAGTAAGTCCCCTGAGACATCCTCAGAGGCTGAGGAGATGTCAGCATTATGCTTTCTGCACAGCTTGCAGAACCCATGAGAATTATACCTCTTTTCTTTATAAATTATCCAGCCTCAGGTATTTCTTTATAGCAATGTGAGAATGGACCAATACATAGGCCCAGAGAAACTGAACAAATTTGGCCAAAATTATGGAGCTGGGAATAGGTGAAGTTTTATGAAAACCCAAGACTCTCCACCTCCACTTAGTCTCTGATGTTCAACCTTATGAGAGCAAAAGCTGATTGAGGACCTAATTTGGGCCTGGTGCTTTGCAAGCATTATCTCATTTATTCATGATCCTTTGCTATAAAGAAACTTGTAATCCAGCGTGAGATAAAAAACTAATGTCAACATCTGCAATATATGGCAGCTTATCATCCAACTGTTATAAATGTGTAGAGGAAGAAGTGATATATTCATTCATTCAAAAAATATTTGTTGAACTTCTACAATGTAAGGCATCATGTTAAATGTGAGATCTAGAGTTGTATCAGTGAGATATATTGAGTTCATGACCTCTTGAGAATTATGTTTTTTTGTGGGAAAGAGAAACGTTAGACAATTAAACAAATAAATATGTAATTATACATTCAGAAAAAGTGTATGAAGATAGATAACACATCTTAATAGTATACAGTAACAGTACTAGAGCAGGGCAGATGTATAGCTCTACTAGGTGTCCGGGAAGGACCTCTGGAGAAGTAACATTTCAGCCGAGACCTACCAGGTGCCAAGGAGGCAGTTTCCAGAAAAGCCGAGGGAAGAGCCTTCCAAGCAGTGGAAATACAGAGTGTAAGGGATGTATGACTGGAATACTCTAGGGAAATCCTGGAAAATTAAGAAGATCCAGGGTGACTGGGGCATCATGGCTTGGGATGAGATAGGGAAGATAGCCAGGCAGATCATAAGGCAAAAGGATGCAAAATTTTCTTCTCCATTCAATGGGAAACCATTGAAGGCTTTTAAGAAGGGAGATGAATTAATTCCAAATGAGAGTCTAAAGAGGACTCAATGGCAGAGCAACACTGGAGTTGGGCTGTGGAGGAGGAATATTATCAACAAAAGTAGAGAGTGATATACCAAAAAGAAGTAGACAATGTGAAAAAAGGCACAGAGTCCAGGAACCACCAAATTGGTGTCCAGATTGGTGAGTTAGTCTGTGCCCCTGAGAGAAGTGTGCATGCTGACAGTGCAGGGTGGAAGTAAATTCTGAAAGTTGCCCTTGGAGTTAGACTGTTGGACATGAAGTTCGAGTTTCTATAGACAGTGGGGAGTCATAGCATTGAGGGTCATAAGACTGACAAATGGAATAAGAGACCTAATTTATACTTCTCTTTTGTGCTTTCTTATTTTTATGGATTGGTTTGTGAGTACTCCTTGGCTCTTCTCAGACCAAACCCAGTGATAACACAGCCAGAAGGACAGGTTAGGGTTTTTTATAAAAGCAAAGCAAACAAACACAACCTTTGAAGCTTGCAATATTGAAGAGATTCATTTTCCTATGTTGCTAATGCTTTGTATTATGATTACTGTTATAAATTAAGTAGTTATTCTCAAAAAGCCTCAGACTTCTACGTTTTGGCTGGCACTAGATAAGGCTGATCAATACTCTGGACAAATATGTAGCTTTTCTATTTACTCAACAAGAATTTTTGAAAAAAACCCGTCTTTTCATAACATTGTCATTTTTGCCATGTTTAAAAGTTCAAGTAAATATCCAAACTTACTGCAACTGAATGGGGCTTTATCCTCTGTTTGGACAAAATACCAATATGGCTGTGAGACTGGTGTCTTCTGCTCTCATGATAGGAGCATGTGAAACTGCAGAGAAGATTTCTGAAATGTTATTTTGTGACTGTGAGCCATATTATTGTAATTGTTAGAATTATTATTTATTATACTTTAAGTTCTAGGGTACATGTGCACAATGTGCAGGTTTGATACATAGGTATATGTGTGCCATGTTGGTTTGCTGCACCCATTAACTCGTCATTTACATTAGGTATTTCTTCTAATGCTATCCCTCCCCCAGCCCCCCATCCCTCAACAGGCCCTGGTGTGTGATGTTCCCTGCCCTGTGTCCAAGTGATCTTATTGTTCAGTTCCCACCTATGAGTGAGAACATGCGGTGTTCGGTTCTCTGTCCTTGTGATAGTTTGCTGAGAATGATGGTTTCCAGCTTCATCCATGTCCCTGCAAAGGACATGAACTCATCCTTTTTTATGGCTACATAGTATTCCATGGTGTATATGTGCCACATTTTCTTAATCCAGTCTATCATTGATGGACATTTGGGTTGGTTCCAAGTCTTTGTTATTGTGAATAGTGCCGCAGTAAACATACGTGTGCATGTGTCTTTATAGTAGCATGATTTATAATCCTTGGGGTATATACCCAGTAATGAGATTGCTGGGTCAAACGGTATTTCTAGTTCTAGATCCTTGAGGAATCCCCACACTGTCTTCCATGGTGGTTGAACTAATTTACACTCCCAACAACAGTGTAAGTGCATTCCTATTTCCTCACATCCTCTTCAGCATCTGCTGTTTCCTGACTTTTTAATGATTGCCATTCTAACTGGCATGAGATGGTATCTCATTGTGGTTTTGATTTGCATTACTCTGATGGCCAGTGATGATGAGCATTTTTTCATGTGTTTGTTGGCTGCATAAATGTCTTCTTTTGAGAAATTTCTGTTCATATCCTCTGCCCACTTTTTGATGGGGTTGTTTGTTTTTTTCTTGTAAATTTGTTTGAGTTCTCTGTAGATTCTGGATATTAGCCCTTTGTCAGATGGGTAGATTGCAAAAATTTTTTCCCATTTTGTAGGTTGTCTGTTGACTCTGATGGTAGTTTCTTTTGCTGTGCAGAGGCTCTTTAGTTTAATTAGATCCCATTTGTCTATTTTGGGTTTTTTTGCCACTGCTTTTGTGTTTTAGACATGAAGTCCTTCCCCATGCCTATGTCCTGAATGGTATTGCCTAGGTTTTCTTCTAGGGTGTTTATGGTTTTAGGTTTAACATTTCAGTCTTTAATCCATCTTGAATTAATTTTTATATAAGGTGTAAGGAAGGGATCCAGTTTCAGCTTTCTACATATGGCTAGCCAGTTTTCCCAGTACCATTTATTAAATAGGAAATCCTTTTCCCATTTCTTGTTTTTGTCAGGTTTGTCAAAGATCAGATGGTTGTAGATGTGTGGTGTTATTTCTGAGGTGTCTGTTCTGTTCCATTGGTCTATATCTCTGTTTTGGTACCAGTACCATGCTGTTTTTTACTGTAGCCTTATAGTATAGTTTGAAGTCAGGTAGCGTGATGCCTCCAGCTTTGTTCTTTTGGCTTAGGATTGTCTTGGCAATGTGGGCCCTTTTTTGGTTCCACATGAACTTTAAAGTAGTTTTTTCCAATTCTGTGAAGAAAGTCATTGGTAGCTTGATGGGGATGGCATTGGATCTATAAATTACTTTGGACAGTGTGGCCATTTTCACAATATTGATTCTTCCTGTCCATGAGCATGGAATATTCTTCCGTTTGTTTGTGTCCTCTTTTATTTCCTTGAGCAGTGGCTTTTAGTTCTCCTTGAAGAGATCCTTCAAGTCCCTTGTAAGTTGGATTCCTAGGTATTTTATTCTCTTTGAAGCAATTGTGAATGGGAGTTCCCACATGATTTGGCTCTCTGTTTGTCTGTCAACGGTGTATAAGAATGCTTGTGATTTTCGCACATTGATTTTATATCCTGAGACTTTGCTGAAGTTGCTTATCAGCTTAAGGAGATTTTGGCCTGAGACGATGGGGTTTTCTAAATATACAATCATGTCATCTGCAAACAGGGACAATTTGACTTCCTCTTTACCTAACTGAATACACTTTATTTCTTTCTCTTGCCTGATTGCCCTGGCCAGAACTTTCAACACTATGTTGAATAGGAGTGGTGAGAGAGGGCATCCCGTCTTGTGCCAGTTTTCGAAGGGAATGCTTCCAGTTTTTGCCCATTCAGTATGATATTGGCTGTGGGTTTGACATAAATAGCTCTTATTATTTTGAGATGTGTTCCATCCATACCTAGTTTATTGAGAGTTTTTAGCATGAAGGGCTGTTGGATTTTGTCAAAGGCCTTTTCTGCATCTATTGAGATAATCATGTGGTTTTTGTTGTTGGTTCTGTTTATGTGACGGATTATGTTTATTGATTTGTGTATGTTAAACCAGCCTTGCATCCCAGGGATGAAGCCCACTTGATCATGGTGGATAAGCTTTTTGATGTGCTGCTAGATTCAGTTTGCCAGTATTTTATTGAGGATTTTCGCATTGATGTTCATCAGGGATATTGGTCTAAAGTTCTCTTTTTTTGTTGTGTCTCTGCCAGGCTTTGGTATCAGGATGATGTTGGCCTCATAAAATGAGTTAGGGAGGATTCCCTCTTTTTGTGTTGATTGGAATAGTTTCAGAAGGAATGGTACAAGCTCCTCCTTGTACCTCTGGTAGAATTTGGCTGTGAATCCGTCTGGTCCTGGACTTTTTTTGGTTGGTAGGCTATTAATTATTGCCTCAATTTCAGAGTCTGTTATTGGTCTATTCAGCAATTCAGCTTCTTCCTGGTTTATTCTTGGGGCGGGGGGTGGGTGCATGTGTCCAGAAATTTATCCATTTCTTGTAGATTTTCTAGTTCATTTGAGTAGAGGTGTTTATAGTATTCTCTGATGGTAGTTTGTATTTCTGTGGGATCAGTGGCGATATCCCCTTTATCATTTTTTATTGTTTCTGTTTGATTCTTCTCTCTTTTCTTCTTTATCAGTCTTGCTAGAGGTCTATCAATTTTGTTGATCTCTTCAAAAAACCAGCTTCTAGATTCATTGATTTTTTGAAGGGATTTTTGTGTCTCTATCTCCTTCAGTTCTGCTCTGATCTTAGTTATTTCTTGTCTTCTGCTAGCTTTTAAATGTGTTTGCTCTTGCCTCTCTAGTTCTTTTAATTGTGATGTTAGGGTGTCAATTTTATATCTTTCCTGCTTTCTCTTGTGGGCATTTAGTGCTATAAATTTCCCTCTACACACTGCTTTAAATGTGTCCCAGAGATTCTGGTATGTTGTGTCTTTGTTCTCATTGGTTTCAAAGAACATCTTTATTTCTGCCTTCATTTTGTTATGTACGCAGTAGTCATTCAGGAGCAGGTTGTTCAGTTTCCATGTAGTTGAGCAGTTTTGAGTGAGTTTCTTAATCCTGAGTTCTAGTTTGATTGCACTGTGTTCTGAGAGACATTATTTTATAATTTCTGTTCTTTTACTTCTGCGGAGGAGTGCTTTACTTCCAACTGTGTGGTCAAATTTGGAATAAGTGTGATGTGGTGCTGAGAAGAATGTATATTCTGTTGATTTGGGGTGGAGAGTTCTGTAGATGTCTATTAGGTTCACTTGGTGCATAGCTGATTTCAGTTCCTGGATATCCTTGTTAACTTTCTGTCTCATTGATCTGTCTAATGTTGACAGTGGGGTGTTAAAGTCTTCCATTATTATTGTGTGGGAGTCTAAGTCTCTTTTTAGGTCACTCAGGACTTGCTTTATGAATCTGGGTGCTCCTGTATTGGGTGCATATATGTTTAGGATAGTTAGCTCTTCTTGTTGAATTGATCCCTTTACCACTATGTAATGGCATTCTTTGTCTCTTTTGATCTTTGTTGGTTTAAAGTCTGTTTTATCAGAGACTAGGATTGCAACCCCTGCCTTTTTTTGTTTTCCATTTGCTAGATCTTCCTCCATCCCTTTATTTTGAGCCTATGTGTGTCTCTGCACATGAGATGGGTTTCCTGAATACAGCACACTGATGGGTCTTGACTCTTTATCCAATTTGCCAGTCTGTGTCTTTTAATTGGAGCATTTAGCCATTTACATTTAAGGTTAATATTGTTATGTGTGAATTTGATCCTGTCATTATGATGTTAGCTGGTTATTTTGCTCCTTAGTTGATGCAGTTTCTTCCTAGCATCGATGGTCTTTACAGTTTGGCGTGTTTTTGCAGTGGCTGGTACTGGTTGTTCCTTTCCATGTTTAGTGCTTCCTTCAGGAGTTCTTGGAAGGCAGGCCTGGTGGTGACAAAATCTCTCAGCATTTCTTGTGTGTAATTGATTTTATTTTTCCTTCAGTTATGAAGCTTAGTTTGGCTGGATATGATATTCTGGGTTGAAAATTCTTTTCTTTAAGAATGTTGAATATTGGCCCCCACTCTCTTCTGGCTTGCAGAGTTTCTGCCTAGAGATCCGCTGTTAGTCTGATGGGCTTTCCTTTGTGGGTGACCCGACTTTTCTCTCTGGCTGCCCTTAACATTTTTTCCTTCATTTCAACTTTGGTGAATCTGACAATTATGTGTCTTGGAGTTGCTCTTCTCGAGGAGCATCTTTGTGATGTTCTCTGTATTTCCTGAATTTGAATGTTGGCCTGCCTTGCTAGGTTGGGGAAGTTCTCTTGGATAATATCCTACAGAGTGTTTTCCAACTTGGTTCCATTCTCCCCGTCACTTTCAGGTATACCAATCAGATGTAGATTTTGTCCTTTCACATAGTCCCATATTTCTTGGAGGCTTTGTTCGTTTCTTTTTACTCTTTTTTCTCTAAACTTCTCTTCTTGCTTCATTTCATTCATTTGATCTTCAATCACTGATACCCTTTCTTCCAGTTCATCGAATCAGCTACTGAAGCTTGTGCATTCATCAGGTAGTTCTCATGCCATGTTTTTCAGCTCCATCAGGTTATTTAAGGACTTCTCTACATTGGTTATTCTAGTTAGCCATTCGTCTAATCTTTTTTCAAGGTTTTTAGCTTCTTTGAGATGGGTTCAAACTTCCTCCTTTAGCTTGGAGAAGTTTGATCATCTGAAGCCTTCTTCTCTCAACTTGTCAAAGTCATTCTCCATCCAGCTTTGTTCTGTTGCTGGCGAGGAGCTGCGTTCCTTTGGATGGGGAGAGGCGCTCTGATTTTTAGAATTTTCAGCTTTTCTGCTCTGTTTTTTCCCCATCTTTGTGGTTTTATATACCTTTGGTCTTTGATGATGGTGATGTACAGATGGGGATTTGGTGTGGATGTCCTTTCTGTTTGTTAGTTTTCCCTCTAACAGTCAGGACCCTCAGCTGCAGGTCTTTTGGAGTTTGCTGGAGGTCCACTCCAGACCCTGTTTGCCTGGGTATCAGCAGCAGAGGCTGCAGAACAGCGAATATTGCTGAACAGTAAACGTTGCTGCCTGATTGTTCCTCTGGAAGCTTTGTCTCAGAGGGGTACCCGGCTGTGTGAGGTGTCAGTCTGCCCCTACTGGAGGATGCCTCCCAGTTAGGCTACTCAGAGTTCAGGGACCCACTTGAGGGGGCAGTCTGTCTGTTCTCAGATCTCAAACTCCATGCTGGGAAAACCACTACTCACTTCAAAGCTGTCAGTCAGGGACATTTAAGTCTGCAGAGGTTTCTGCTGCCTTTTGTTCAGCTATGCCCTGCCCCCAGAGGTGGAGTCTACAGAGGAAGGCAGGCTTCCTTGAGCTGTGGGGGGCTCCACCCAGTTCGAGCTTCCCAGCTGCTTTGTTTACCTACTCAAGCCTCGGCAATGGTGGGTGCTCCTCCCCCAGCCTCACTGCCACCTTGCAGATCTATCTCAGACTGCTGTGCTAGCAATGAGCGAGGCTCTGTGGGCATGGGACCCTCTGAGCCAGGTGTGGGATATAATCTCCTGGTGTGCCATTTGCTAAGACCATTGGAAAAGCACAGTGTTAGGGGTGGGAGTGACCCGATTTTCCAGGTGCCGTCCGTCACCACTTCCCTTGGCTAGGAAAGGGAATTCCTGACCCCTTGCATTTCCCGGGTGAGGCGATGCCTCGCCATGCTTCGGCTCACGCTTGGTGGGCTACACCCACTGTCCTGCCCCCACTGTCTGACAAGCCCCAGTGAGATGAACCCAGTACCTCAGTTGGAAATGGCAGAAATCACCCATCTTTTGCATCGCTCATGCTGGGAGCTGTACACTGGAGCTGTTCCTATTGGGCCATCTTGGAACCGCCCCCTCTTTGTCTCTTTTGATCTTTGTTGGTTTAAAGTCTGTTTTATCAGAGACCAGGATTGCAACCCCTGCTTTTTTTTTTTTTTTTTTTTTTTTGCTTTCCATGTGCTTGGTAGATCTTCCTCCATCCCTTTGTTTTGAACCTGTGTGTGTCTCTGCACGTGAGATGGGTTTCCTGAATACAGCATACTGATGGGTCATGAGCCTTTCTCCAATTTGCCAGTCTGTGTCTTTTAATTGGGGCATTTAGCCCATTTACATTTGAGGTTAATACTGTTATGTGTGAATTTGATCCTGTCATTATGATGTTAGCTGTTTATTTTGCCCATGAATTGATGCAGTTTCTTCATAGCATTGATGGTCTTTACAATTTGGCATGTTTTTGCAGTGGCTGGTACTGGTTGTTCCTTTCCATGTTTAGTGCTTCCTTCAGGAGCTCTTGGAAGGCAGGCCTGGTGGTGACAAAATCTCTCAGCATTTGCTTGTCTGTAAAGGATTTTATTTCTCCTTCACTTATGAAGCTTAGTTTGGCTGGGTACGAAATTCTGGGTTGAAAATTCTTTTCTTTAAGAATGTTGAATATTGGCCCCCACTCTCTTCTGACTTGTAGGGTTTCTCCTGAGATATCCACTGTTAGTCTGATAGGCTTCCCTTTGTGGGTGACCCAACCTTTCTCTCTGGCTGCCCTCAACACTTTTTTCTTCATTTCAACCTTGGCGAATCTGACGATTATTTTTCTTGGCGTTGCTCTTCTCGAGGAGTATCTTTGTGATGCTCTCTGTATTTCCTGAATTTGAATGTTGGCCTGCCTTGCTAGGTTGGGGAAGTTCTCCTGGATAATATCCTGAAGAGTGCTTTCCAACTTGGTTCCATTCTCCCTGTCACTTTCAGGTACACCAAATAAACGTAGATTTTTGTCTTTTCACATAGTCCCATATTTCTTGGAGGCTTTGTTCATTTATTTTTACTCTTTTTTCTCTGACCTTGTTTTTTTACTTCATTTCATTCATTTGATCTTCAATCACTGACACTCTTTTTTCCACTTGATCGAATCAGCTATTGAAGCTTGCGTATGCATCACAAAATTCTCGTGCCACGGTTTTCAGCTCCGTCACGTCATTTAATGTCTTCTCCATACTGTTTATTCTAGTTAGCCATTCATCTAATCTTTTTTCAAGGTTTTTAGCTTCCTTGTGATGGGTTCAAACATCCTCCTTTAGCTCAGAGAAGTTTGTCATTACCGACCTTCTGAAGCCTACTTCTGTTAACTTGTCAAAGTCATTCTCCATCTAGCTTTGTTCCATTGCTGGCGAGGAGCTGCGATCCTTTGGAGGAAAAGAGGCACTCTGATTTTTAGAATTTTCAGTTTTTCTGCTCTGGTTTTTCCCCATCTTCGTGGTTTTATCTACTCTTGGTCTTCGATGTTGGTGACCTACAGTTGGGATTTTGGCGTAAATGTCCTTTTTGTTGATGTTGATGCTATTCCTTTCTGTTTGTTAGTTTTACTTCTGTCAGGTCCCTCAGCTGCAGGTCTGTTGGAGTTTGCTGGAGTTCCACTCCAGACCCTGTTTGCCCGGGTATCTCCAGCAGAGGCTACAGAACAGCAAATATTGCTGCCTGATCCTCCCTCTGGAAGCTTCGTCCCAGAGGGGCACCTGCCTATATGAGGTGTCTGTCAGCCCCTACTGGGAGGTGTCTCCCAGTCAGGCTACACCGGGGTCAGGCACCCACTTGAGGAGGCAGTCTGTCTGTTCTCAGAGCTCTAACACCATGCTGGGAGAACCACTGCTCTCTTCAGAGCTGTCAGACAGGGATGTTTAAGCTGCAGAAGTTGTCTGCTGCCTTTTGTTCAGCTATGCCTTGCCCACAGAGGTGCAGTCTAGACACAGTAGGCCTTTTTGAGCTGCGGTGGGCTCTGCCCCGTTTGAGCTTCCAGGCCACTTTGTTTACCTACTCAAGCCTCAGCAATGGCAGATGCCCCTCCCCCAACCAGGCGGCTGTCTCACAGATCGATCTCAGACTGCTGTGCTAGCAGTGAGCAAGGCTCCATGGGTATTGGAGCTGTCAAGTCAGGCACGGGAGAGAATCACCTTGTCTGCCAGTTGCTAAGACCTTGGGAATAGCACAGTATTTGAGCTGGAGTGTCCCGTTTTTCCAGGTAGTCTGTCATGGCTTCCCTTAGCTAGGAAATGGAAATCCCCCAACCCCTTGTGCTTCCTGGGTGAGGCGACGCCCTGCCCTGCTTTGGCTTACCCTCCGTGGGCTGCACCCACTGTCCAACCAGTCCCAATGAGATGAGCCAGGTCCCTCAGTTGGAAATGCAGAAATTACCCACCTTCTGCGTTGATCCTTCTGGGAGCTGCAGACTAGAGCTATTCCTATTTGGCCATCTTGGAACACCCTCCCATTAGAATTATTTTTAATTGTAAGTACCAAACCCATTTAATCTAGCTGAGGGGAAAAATCAGGGGCATTTAAATAATTAAGAGTAGAAGACACCTCTCATTTTTTTATCTGTAGCATCTTTCTACCTTGCATATGACAACCATATATCAATGTCCTTTGGGAAATCAGCCCTTTCTATATTAATCCATGGGCTTCAGCAGAGCTAGCTTTCCCCGAACATGAGTCTGGCCATATGATTCAGGTCTGCCAGCCAGTATCATCTTCTCCTAAGCCCCAGGTATTGGCTCAGGATGGTCAGTTTGAGCCATTGAGAAGTACTAAGATTTTTACTGGCAGTCCTGAAAAAACGGTCTCACTTTACTACTGAGAATAAACCCGACAGGGTATAGTGCAGGGAGTTTCTGGCAGCTATCTCCTGAATGCAAGGAGTGAGCCTGCCAGAGAACTAAGAGAAAGGTCTGCTAGAGAACTAGAGCTCAACAGTGGAGAAAGAGAAACAGTTCTGTTGCTTGAGCCCCGGATCAAGCAGTACCTGATCAAGCAGTACCTGAGGCTGGATACACCTCAAATTGTTCACTAATATGAAACAGTAAACTTTCTTTTGCTTAAACAAATTTGGATTGTCTTTTTTGTCCTTGCAACTAGAGGATACAAGGGAGTGGAGGAGATCTTATGAAATCTAAGAACGGAAGTCCTGGTGGGCATCAGAAAGGGTCTGAAAGCAGAAAATAGAGACCCATACAGAACTCCATGCAGCCTTCTTTCTCTTTCCATCTCTGTTTCTGCCTGGGTGCCTCTTCTTCCTTCTCTCTCTGCAGACTGACTTCCTCTCTTCCACAGTCACCTTCCCAAGACTCAAGTGCCAACAGACCCTAAACTGTCATTATTCCCCAGTCATTAGAAGAAATTAAGCAGAGTCTCTCTAGATCCCAATTCCAAATCACCTGGAGAGAAGACCTGAATGGCTTGAGTTGGGTTGGGTAGTTTTAAGAATAAACTCTTTTATCTGAGCTCTTTGGCTGTGAATGGTTCCACTCCAAAACAAATTTATTATCCTCACCCTAACACCACCTTTCGTTTGTCAGGTGTTTAGGGACAGAGGCATGATAGGCATGGTCAGAATGTTCTGTTGACATATGGGCAGTCATTTCCATCATTGAAGTGTTTCTTAACTTTGAGAAGAGCTATCTGTGGCCATCCCTGCACAAGCCTGGACTGGAGAGCTGAGAAGATCAACTCTCAGTTTCCCCAGGACTGAGGTGTTTCCTGCAACAAGGAACTTTAGTGCTAAAACCGGGACAGTCCTTGGCAGACCTAGATAGTTGCCCTAGATTTGCTGGTTACAAGTCACATCATTATACCTAGACTGGGGCAGAGTTTTAGCTTCATAAGACTCCAACTAAAATTGTGATGTCAGGAGCCATGCAGAGAAATCCAACCACCCTCTCCTTGTTCATGCCTCTGATCAGTGGCTCCTGTGTCCTATATTTTTGGACATACCATAGTAATTGCTTATTAGCATTTCTCTGTGAGGAATGAATATTGATAGGCTTATGGATTCATAGAGAAAGACCACTTCCTGATTTAGGCCAGGGATGTAAAACTCAGTGAGGTCGCTGCACAGAGTAGGGGCAGAGGTAACGTATCATGGTATGCCTTTTCCCTGAGCCCTGGGTCCACTGCAGGAAACCTGGCTGTCACTGACACTCTCAGAAAATGCAGGGGTCTGCTAGAAGAGAGGATATCCAGTTCTGCTTCCCTTTCCATCCCCTTCTCACTACCCTTTAACCACGAGGCTTATATCAGCATCATGGAAGATTTCAAGCTAACAGTCTCGTGTTTCAATTCAGGGATTGGTTCTCAATTCTAGCTGCATATTAAAATCACTTGAGGAGCCTTAAAAATACACCAATGCCTCCTTCCTCCCCCAGACTAATTGGATCAGAACCTCTGGAGTAGGAGCTCAGGCTTTCGCAGTTTAGAAAGTTTCCCAGGTGATTCTAACACACATCCAGGCTGAGGATCTCTGGAGCAACGAACTGTTTAGAGAAGATGAGCTTTCCTGGTTGGTGAACCAAACTCCTCAGCAAGGCTGCATTCTCATCTCAGGGTTGGTTGGAGAAAGCACAGCTAGTGTCCAGGTGTCCTGGGATGGTATTTCATCCTCCTGTCCCAAGGTCCCTGAAAGCCTGTCTCCCTGACCTGACACTCATGCTTCACGTGTCACTTCCCTCCATGACACATGATGCTAAGTTGTCTGTATTCGCTTCTCTTTATCTTGCCCACTTAAGGAGAAGTAGGAAAAAAAGTTAGGGCTGTGATGTGTGAAAACCATTGCATTGCAGGTGGGCAGGGGTCCAGTCTCTTAACCATGAAAATATTCCAACTTCCCAGCATGGCACATGTGTCCATTGTGTACTGATCAGCCATGGCCAGAGGGGTAGGAGTCACTTAGGGTTGCCGGCCTGGGCCCCAGCCTCACCCTGTGTATCAGAGTGAACAGTTTCTAGTGAAAGGGACCATTATAAACCCGATAAACATTCCAAAAGCTGTCAAATATAGTCATTTTTTCCAAAAAGAAATGCCATAGGCAGAGACAAAAGGGGCATTAGTAGGATCTGATCCCCTGTACTTGCCATCAGTCAAACTTAGCAGTCCTTCCAAACTCTCCCTCAACAATTTGATATTTGGTATGAAGGAAACAGTGTGTGTGGGAGAGGAGGTATATGGCAAATATGGGAAAATGCAGCGAAAGAAGTATGTGTGAGGAGCTGAGAGGGCCTTGGGGAAGTGTTGGAACTTGCTTACAAGCAAAATGTTTGGAGTTCACATTGTCAAAAGAACAAGGAGGAAGAAACTCCATCCCTTATCCCAACCAATGCCATAAACTTTAGAGTGGGGTAGGGATCTGACTTTGTTTGAATAGCTGGAATAAGGAGTTGTCTACTTGATCTGTCTTGGTGTGCCCCTCCCAAGAGCAATTAAACTCTTAGCATCAGAGAATGACTGGCCTGCAGAGGGCCTTTGTGCTATGTCCTCCAGTAGCTCACCTTACCAGTGGGGAAACAGAGGCCCAGGGAAGGAGAGGGACTTAGTATAAATGTCTCAGCTAGTTAGGTGTGGGACAAGGACTAGCTCCAATGTCTCCTGACTCTGTAGCCTAGCAAATTTTCTACTTATAAATAGGACTTACCAAAAAGACTTCCAGGAAATTCTTGCATCCTTACCCGCTGCCAAGTGAACCCTGAGCCCCTTCTCCCAAGAAAGATGTTTCCTTCCCAGCTGCTACCCACTCCCAACAGGATCAACTCTAATTCAACTCTATCAATGAGTGTAAGAGAATCATTGAATCTATGGACAGATTTCAGTTTTGAAGACAATATCACACTCAATAAAAAATGCCAAGGACTTTCCCCAGCTCTGCTATTCTGCAGTGTGGTTATTTATTATATACTCATATGTCATTGCGGTTTTTTCTTCGTATGTTTAAATTCTTTTTTTCCCCACCAGTAAACCACATTATTTCAGACCAGTGAGACATATCCACATGGACTAGTGAATATGACAAATTCAGTCATGTTTTCGAAGAAAAGCGTTTTCGTTATGTGAAAGTAACTCCATAAACCCAGTTAGGAGACTACATTTCTTATGAGAAGTCCTTAAAACATCTGCTTTAAGGAACATACATTCCACAAATGTTTTTGAGTGCCTGCTGTACACTGCTGTGATGATTGTTGGAATAACAAAGATGAAAACAGTTACTCCCCTCCCTGAAGAAGTTTATGGTGGAGTGGGGGTATAATAATTAGCTAATCAAGATGATAGTGTTTGTCAGACACCAGAGTCTCTAAGACAATTGATAAAATGAATCTTTTTCATGCAGCTTAAATATCTTACAATCTTCTGCCTCAGAATTTTCTTTATGCTTCTAATATTCTCAGCAAACCTTTTCATGGTGGAAAGTAAAAGGGCAAGCTCAGCCCAGCTCCAGTTCAAGGGATTGCAAATTCTGACTCAGTAAAGCAAGACTTGATGAGGTATTCCTTGCACACAGCAACCCCCCACTGAGCACATAACCTTTCTTGTACCAAATAATGAATCCACATGTATGCGCTGGTCTGATGAAGGCAGAATATCTTATTGTCCTAACCTCCGCAAAAGACACAAGGGTGTGTCTTCCATTGGCCCCATCTCTAAATCACCTCTAACCCAGAAGTCCCAGTCTGTCCCCGGGCAGAGGTCAGGGGAAAAGGGCTCCTGTTATCTGGCTTTGCTGATACGCCAAGCTAATGGCATGAAGCTCTCTTGGCCTTCCAGAATGGAAGAAACAGAACACCAATTTAAATCATGAAAAAAGTCAGTGAATCTATCATCATTAATCTTGCTGTCAGTTTTAATTTTGGGGACATTACCTCACTCAACACCAGTTGAAAAGAGCTGCCAAAGCCGATGATGTCATCATCACTAGCCGCGTCTGACCCTGCCTGCTGATTCTCAGAGCTTGGAGCAAGTTAATAAATCCCCTGGCGCTTGGACACACAGTGGAGTTTTATTACAATGAAGGTATAACCCATGATGTTGTTTCAATTAAATGGCCTGAGAAAATACTTTCTTGTGTTTAACAAAACTGTAAAACATAATTATCCTCATGCAGTTGAGTCTGTTCATTGTGCTGACATGATGATTATATATCCTCTTCCCCACCTCTCTCTCACACAAAGACAGATGCACATCTCAGAGAGGAGAGGAAGGAATTTCAAACATGGATCTAAAGACAGCTGAAGATTTTGCGTATGTATCTTTTCTAGGTTACCACCTCATTGGTTGCTGCATATCTGCATAACCACACTGAAGCATCCAGGCGCTTTCTGTGTGAAAGGCAGTTGAGAGAAGTTGGGGCTTGGCATCTGAGCAGAACCTTGACTCTCTTCAAAAGGGGGCTGACACACTGGAGAAACCCTGGAGACCAACAGCTGGCTTGCACAAAACTCGGACCTCATTGCTCTTCAAATATTTATGAATAATTTTCTTCAACGTGTTTGCTAACTGTTAAGAATATTAGTTTTTGCTGGTCTTCTTACTCATGGCCCATCTGAAGTCCCCTGGCCTGACCCTCCTGTGAAGTCATCCCGCTGAACGGGCGCCACCGGGTCGGGGCATTGCCATAGTGTCAGCCCACGGGGCCATAAACACAGGCTTTGCTGGATCCCTGCCCCTTCAACTGGGGGAGGCTGGGTGGTAAGATGAGAAGGCGCCTTCCTTCCAGCCCATTTTCTCCAAAGCAGCAAGTTTCGAGAACGTCACATTTGATACATGGCATAGAAGAGGAATATCCTCAAACACAACTTTCGGGTGATTATCTCCTATCCTAAGTGCCATCTGTATGGTATTATGCTTATGTGACTGCATGAATGTATATATGGACACACACACATATACACATTTTTAAGTTTTCAAGCAAAATGAGTATTAGTAAGTATGAGAAACCTGGCCCAAGTCCCCATGAGTCTCCTCCCTCTGACTTATTCCAAGTGACTCCTGCTAAACTCTTTTCCCCCCATCCCAGTGAGCTTCCCTAAATGGCTTTCATCAGTCATGCCAAATGGTACACTTGGCTTTGCACAGAGCACAAATGAGGATGCACGAAGCCCCTAAAGCTCATTTTCCATGCCCATCTCAAACAGGAAGTGATCCTAGATCTCCAAGGGTAAGTGAGCAGTACACAAATTCACTGTCCCTTTAGCCCTCCTAGGTGGAGGCCCTTTGAGATTCTTATGATTTCTTAATGGTCTAATATAAAGTGTATCCATGCACAAGATACATCGCCTGATGTAAGAATCCATAACTGCGTCCTGTTAACAGTTCCTGCTGTTTGTGGAGTATTGTCTTGACATACTCGTTAAACCTCAATAAATATGTTTTTAATAACCATATGGTATTTAACATATAATAACTGTCTTATTAGCTCTAAATTAAATCCTTGCTCATGACACTTAATTTAAAGTGTGACCAGCATTTCTCTGGCTAAGAAAGGATTTGAAACACCCATGGTGAGGACACTTCTTTTGGAGAGAAAAGAATGTATAAAAATCATGTGCTTTCAAAGAAAGGAACAATAGATACTGAGGCTTAGGAGGGTGGAGGGTTGGAGGAGGGTAAGGACAGAAAAACTACCTATTGGGTATTGTGCTTATTAGCTAGTGACAAAATAACCGGGAACCAAGCTTGTCCAACCCACAGGCTGCAGGCTGCATGTGGCCCAGGACAGATTTGAATGTGGCCCAACACAAATTCATAAACTTTCTTAAAACACTGTGAGGTTTTTTTGCAAGATTTTTTTTTTTTTTTTTTTGCTCATCAGTTTTCCTTAGTGTTAGTGTGGCTGAAGATAATTCTTCCTCTTCCAGTGTGGCCCAGGGAAGCCAAAAGATTGGACACTCCTGCCACCAAACCCCTGTAACATGCAACTTACCTATATAACAAACCTGCACATGCACCCCTGAAACTAAAATATATATATATATATATATATATATATATATATATATATATATAAATCAAAATCCTGTGTTTTCATGATGTGATTAAATTGCATTGTTTCAAATTCATTATATGGGTGGTCTGAGTGAAAATAACTCACAGTGGAGTTATAGCAATGTAGGAAATTGACTAAAGGGTCGCATTCAGAGCCCAAGTATTGCAAGCCTGAAGCACATGGATCTTTAAGGTATGCCAAGACAAGGGTTGGGCTTATTTTATTATCTTTTATTTTGTTCTTCATGCCCCTTTTCACTACCCAGCATGAATGTGACAGACAGTGCTGATTCTGGATAAAATAGTAAAGAACAAAAATCAGATTGCAAAGCACTCACTTTCTTTGTAGGTAACCCCTGCCCTTTTTATTGTTGTTATTTTCACTTCACTCATTTTGCCCATTGGTTACTCAGTTTCCCACCTAGGTGCTTGAAGAAGGCTTATAGTACATGCCATTATGCTTCAATACTTTTTTTCTTAATACTTTGATAATCCCCAGTGTGTAGGGGAAATGGACTGAAAGAGGCTTGCAGAGACCTGGCTGGGAAGACAGGTGCTGCGGCTGGGTTCTGGATGATGAAAATTGCTCAGGCAGGGAAATTGCCCCAAAGAGCTTTGGAGCAGAAAGGGGCGGAGGGTGGGCTGGGCGCGGTGGCTCACTCCTGTAATCCCAGCACTTTGGGAGGCCGATGCAGGTAGATCACGAGGTCAGGAGATCGAGACCATCCTGGCTAACACGGTGAAACTCCGTCTCTACTGAAAATACAAAAAAATTAGCCGGGCGTGGTGGCAGCGCCTGTAGTCCCAGCTACTCGGGAGGCTGAGGCAGGAGAATGGCGTGAACCTGGGAGGCGGAGCTTGCAGTGAGCCGAGATTGCGCCACTGCACTCCAGCTTGGGAGACAAAGGGAGACTCCGTCTCAAAAAAAAAAAAAAAAAAAAAAAAAATAGGCGAAGGGTGGGTGTAGTCTCCGCCCGGGAAGCACTTTCTCTATGGGGCTGGATGAAGTGTGAAGAAGGGAAAGTCCAAGTGAGAGGGAGAACAAGCAAGCAAGAGAGATGGAGAGGGTGAGGCCAACTGCTGGAGGAGTTAAGGGAGGCTGAGCTGATATCAGAAAAGACTCCAAGAAGCAGGTGGCACTTGACCTGACCTCATGAGCCTTAGGATGGGTAGCATTAAGCTCTGATAAATATTAAGTAGAGCTCCGTTTATTCCAGGCAATGGCTCTGTAGTCCCCCAACAGCAGTTCTAGCCTCACTCACGAACTTGTTAGAAAAGCAAGTTCGTGGGCCCCACTCCAGATCTATGCAACCAGAGATCCTGGGATACGATTCAACATTCTTTGTTTTAGAAGTCCTTCAGGTGGTTTAGATGCATGCCAAAATTTGAGAACCACTGCTCTAGGCAGGGTTTGTTAACCTCAGAACTATTGGTTCTGACCGTTTAGGGTGGATAATTCTCTGTGGTGGGCAGGAGTCCTCTGCACTGTAGGATGTTTGGCAGCATCTGGCTTCTACCCAGTAGACACTGGTAGCACCCCACCCCATCCCCTAGCTATGAAACCAAAATGTCTCCAGACATTGCCAAAGATCCCTAGGTAGCAAAATCACACTCCCTGGTTGACAATCACTACTTCAAGAAAAAGCACAGCATATACAAAGTTATGGTGGTAGGAATCTCAGGGTATGTTTGAGAAATAAAAAGTACTCCAGTATGATGAACATTCTTGGCATGAGCACAGGAGTGTTAGAAAAAGCTAGAAAGGTAGGCCACAGCCTGGGTTTGGAAACCGTTGAATGGTGTGTTAATTTGTTTGGAATTAATTCAGAGGGCAATAGGGAGTCACTGAAAGTTTTAGGTAGAGGGTGACATAACTAAATCTCCACTTTAGATTGTGTTAGATCTGAGCAGTGACTTTCAAACTATTGTAACGAATATACAGTTGGGCCTTGAACAATAGGGTGGGGGGGTTAGGGGAACCAACTCCCCAGCGGTCGAAAATCCACGTATAACTTTTGACTCTCTAAAAACCTAACTGCTAATATCTTCCTGTTGACCAGAAGCCTTACCAAAAGCATAAACTGTCAATTAACTCATATTTTGTATACAATATGTATTATGTACTGTGTTCTTACAAGAAAGTCAGCTATAGAAAGGAAAATGTTATTAAGAAAATCACAAGAAAAAATATATTTATGATTCATTAAGTGCAAGTGGATCATCAGCAAGGCCTTCATCGTCATCATCTTGACATTGAGCAGGCTGAGGAGGAGGAGGAGGAAGAGAAGGGGTTGGTCTTGCTGTCTCGAGGTGGCTGAGGTGGGAAAAATCTACGTATATGTGGACCTGTGCAATTCAAACTCGTGTTGTTTAAGGGTCACTTGTATTTATGTAATGTCTCAGGACACACACATATACATTTAACAAAACTTTTACACATATTTTTTATGTTACTTGCAATGCAGTCTGATTTTTATCTACTCTATTCCATTTTTTAAGCTGTTCATAACACATTAAATAATTTCATAACCCACTAATGGGCGTGGTCCACAATTTGAAAACACTGGACTAAAAATTAGAGGCATTGAAAAGGAGGGAGCAGAGAGATTGGGAGAGAAGTATTTCAGTGGGTCCAGGCAAAAGATAATGGAAGCCTGATAATCGGGTGGAAATAGGACAGAAGAAATAGCTGGCAGGGACATTTCAGATATAGCACCTATAAGGAAGAAGGAGAAATCAGGAAAAAAACAAAAGGCATGGATTTTATCAATTTTTGTAATTTTTTTGTGCCACCAACATAAATAGATGCCTAAATAATAAATAGATTTGAAGAAGGTTATTTGGTTTTTCTTTCTTCACTAGTTTTTGGCAGGGGGAAGATAGTGTTTCTAACTGTGGACCTGCTGAGTTTGAGCTGCTTAGCAAGGTAGAAGTGTCCAGCAAACAGCAGCAAAAGTGGGCTGTGGCATGGATGAGGGTCAGGGTTGGTGTTGTGGATTTATGAGTCATGCCCATGCAAGGCCTGGTGGATGAGGTCACCCGAGGAGGGAGAATGTGGTTTCTGAGACTAATAGCTTCCCTCTGTATATTGATATCTATCTGAGTAATAATATTCATTTCTAGTGTAATAAAGACCCACTCAGCAGATGGTATCACATCATAAATAAGTCAAAGCAAGCCCAAGACATGATCCTTGCCCTCTGAGAGGCTGTGATTCAACTAGGCCCTCCTGGTTTGATCTGAGCCATATTTTCTTATTTATTGAGCACCATCTATTAGCTATGCACTATTCTAAGTGCTGAGAATAAAGCAGTGAACAAAATAAACACCCCTGCCAGCATGGAGCTTATTCTCTAGCAGAGGGATGTGGACAATAAACAAAACAAACACAAACACAAAACAAATGAAATATTTATGATGTCAGATGGTGGTAAGTGCTATAGAAAAAAAATAAGCAGGGAAGAAAAGAGGGATGCCAGATGGGAGAATTGCAACTTTAAATCAGGGGAGCTTTCTTGAGAAACTGGCAATTGAGGCCCCTGGTAATCCCTGGTTTCTTGGGATGATTGATATGACTGGGGATGAAAACATAGTGAGGCTAGTTCTGATCATCTCAAGGCAGAGCATGATGCAAGGCTGTGCAGGGTGGGGTGGGAGGGAGGGAGTGGAGGTCTTACCAGCAGCACTTGGGGAAGACCCCACTCCTCGGGGTCTTCTTTTTACCTCTGCTTTTGGAGACATTTGATCTCTGTCTTCTTCATCTTACTACAATTCCATTTGTGAAATTTCTTCCTTTCCAAAGCTCTTTCTCATCTTATTTTTCATTTGAAAGTCATAGAACTTCTGGACCTGGGGAATCTTAGGACTCAGAACAGGTGAGAGGCACTGGTTCCATCTTGTAGGTGTCTGCTCTTAACTGACTATGGGACACTGGTTCTGTGGCATGTTAGTTTTTACATGAAAATAAAATTCTGTTTTCAAACATGTTTGAGAAGTACTGAGCTAAACACGTTGAATGGATTACGACTGTAGGACTTCACAAAATCTTTAATGTGCTACTTGGCATTGGCAAATCCCCAAAGAAGGAAACAGTATGCATGGTTTCCCAAACTTATTTGGCCATGGATATGCTTTGTTATGGAAAATCTCTAAAGGGATTATTGTTCCTAGGTACACACTTTGGGAAACAGCCTGCTGTATTATATGATGATGGGCAAATCATTTAGCCCTTCTGAATCTTTGTCTTCTCATCCATAAAATGAGAGTGTTGGCATGCTGCCCAAAGAATGTTAATACTGCCACAGGGCTCTGTCCTTGGCCTTGAACTTGCTTAGAATTTTATCAGTGACCTCGGTGAAGAGAAAAGAGGTAATTATCACATCTGGAGATGGCACAAGGTTGGCAGGGGTGGCTGATAGGTCAGATGACAGAATCAAGACTTAAACTTATCTTGACATGTTAGGATGATAGGCCAAACTATCTGCAGAAAATCTAATAAGGATGATATATGGTTCTGCTTTTAGTTTCAGAAAATTGATTTTCGAAGTATAAGATGTAGAAGAGCAGCCTTGACAGCAGTTTATGTAAAAAAATAAGAAAAGACCTGAAGATTTTGATTTACCACAAGCCCAAGATGAGCCATCAGGGGATGTGGCTGCTCTAAAACTGAACCCAGTGAGGTTTTATTAGTAGAAATGATTCTGTTCTGAGGGAGCTGTGGGTTTCCCAGGGGCTGGCTCTTCTGATTACTTGCCACCTGGGGTATTAATATCCAACGTTTTTGAGAGCATATTACGTGCTTATCACTGTATCCTGCAGGTTATGTGTATCCTCTGATTTAGTCCCCACACTAGACATGTGAGGAATTATTATTATAATAATACATATTGTACAGATGAGGACACCGAGGCTCAGAGATTGGTGTGGAGCCTGGATTTGAAAGCTGTAGATTGTGTCTAGAGCCTGGATTATTTTGACTTCCACCAGGATGGCAAGAGATCTGGGAACCATAAGATTTGAAGAGGGAATGGGTGATGTGCTGTTTAAAAGGAAAAAAGGGCTGAAAATGAACATTATCTTCTAACAACAAAAGCTTTTCTGTTGAAGAGGAATCGACTCTTGCCGTGCCCCTTTATAGGATGGAAGTAGAAATGGTTGTTAGAAGTCACAGGGAGACTTTTAATTTAATATAAAGAAAAACTTTCTAAAGACTAGACTGATCCAAAATGGATTGGAAAACCTCATTAAGTAGCCTTCTGTTTCTTTCTCTTTCTCTCTCTAAATATTTAGGTAGAGGTTAAACAATTATGGATGTTAGTACTTGGTAAAATGTCAAACTACATTAATGGAGCTACTAATCAATTACTTTAGTAACTTTGTCAATCTGTTTGTCTATAATGCTCAAAAAACATTGGGATACACAAAATAATGTGACACACTCCTTGCTTTCAAACAACTTCTTATCAAGTCAGGAAGACAGATATGAAACAAATGACAAGTGATCCTGGACTTGACAATGACTTAATTTGTGAGCTCTGCCTTCATGGTTCTTTTTACCTTAAGTATCATATACCCGTCAGGGTCAACCAAAGCTTGTGTTTTGAGTGGTCCAATGGCTATGGAAGACATATCCTTTTGACAGTCAGGGATCACCTGCAATTCAACAGTGGTCAGGGATTACCTGCAATTCAGCAGACTCTGGTACAAATGGGAGAGCAAGAGAACATTGAAGATGTGGAGAAAGAGGAGGAAATGGAAGCAGAAGCATTAGCCAAAGAAGTCTAAGTGTAGGGCCATGCCACCAAGAAGCTGTTTGTCCCTGACACTTTCAAAGGCATTAATGCATGCTGAAACTTAGGGAGTTTCCAAGACTGATGACCCTAGTGTGAATACCATGTCAGTTATGACAGCAAAGAAAAGCACCTATACTTCCTCCAGGGAAATTCACTTGGAAAAGAAAGAAGGCTGGGCGCAGTGGCTCATGCCTGTAATCCCAGCACTTTGGGAGGCCAAGGCAGGCAAATCATGAGGTCAGGAGATCGAGACCATCCTGGCTAACAGGGTGAAACCCCATCTCCACTAAAAAATACAAAAAAATTAGCCGGGCGTGGTGGCGGGCACCTGTAGTCCCAGCTACTCAGGAGGCTGAGGTGGAGCTTGCAGTGAGCCAAGATTGCGCCACTGCACTCCAGGCTGGGTGACAGAGCAAGACTCCCATCTCAAAAAAAAAAAAAAAAAAAAAAAATCCTACCCAAGCTCATTGGATTCTTGTTTTAAGAAGCCTCATTCAGTCTAATCCATGATGAAACAATTCCCAGAAACAACTTTTAGAGTATAGCATTTGTGTTCAGTGTTTTATGTTGTAAATACTTGCACAATTATTTTTTTCTGGTCACTTATTTCATATTAGGTTTGGAATTTGTATAGATTAGTGGACTTACTTAGAATAGGCTTTGCTTTCTATGTCAAAGTTGGACTCAAAGTTAGAGGTCCTTATATATAATGTAACGTTTACAATTGCAATGTGTATAGGATACAGTGGGGTGCACCAGCAAGGGGGAGACATGTGGCCCCGGAGATGGACAGGAGGTCGGAAATGGTTCATGATGAGGTGAAGCTTGAAATACTAGTAGGAATTATTCACACAGACAAAAGAAAAAAGGGACAACACTAGCAAAGGAAGTAATGGGCTCAACACCACAAAGCCTATGGTAGTACACCTTCCACCTCTCAAATTACTCCATGACCGGATCATCCTCTACCATCATTCTAGATAGCCATTACCTATCCAGGGTGATTTTAGGTGACTGCGCAAACTTGTGGCGTCAAATAAGACTGAATCTTAAAATGAAAAAGTCATTCTTTTAAAAATTCTCTTTTAATCCTTCTAATTGCAACAAAGAAAAAAGTCTTAGGTTCATGCCACTATGCACATGAATAGCCTTTTTAACAAAGAGGGGGAATATCTCAAGTTTATTTTCCTGTTCCTCAGTTCTCTCATCTGCAAAATGGGGACAACAATAGAGACTAGTTGATAGACTGGTGTCAATTAAATGAAATATTATCTATAAAGCTTTCAGAACAGTATCTGGCACATATTAAAGTCTCAGTAAGTATTTCCTATTATTATTTTTGTTTTTGTTGCTATTGTCTTCCTAGGCAAGCAACATTTATCTGTTTAGAATGTAACAATATGGTTTTGTTTTGAATAAATTCATTTTTATAGTTAATAGTTGCCCTCTAAATTTTGTAACTGATACTGGTTTCTTTTAAAATTAAGAACGTGGACAAGCCAGGCAGAATGGGAATGAACACATTTTGGGAAATATAGCCCCAGATGATTTGTCAGGGTTTCTGCAGCTCTAAATGTCAAAGACTGTACTGATGGAGGAGGGAGGCCCAGAGAGGACAGAAACTTTACCCAAGGTCACGGGGCTCATTAGTGGCAGAGCTAGGAGCAGATCCAAGACCTCCAGATGCTCAGGCTCACGTTCTTCTCTCTGGAACTTGTTCATGGTCCAAAGCCCTGGGACTCTTCTCAGCTGACAGAGCCCTGTATTGGCCTTGACCTGGCAAAAGGTACACAGCCAGGGTTGCAGCTCTACAGAAAGCTCTGTTTACTCCCTCTGACTGCACTGAACCCTGAACCATGTCCTAAAACCAACAGTTGCTTGCTGTAATATTCCTACATTCTTACTGAGCCCTAACACCACGTTCAACACTGGGAATTTGGGTGGGCCCAGAGTGCCTTTAGTATTACTGTTATAATTCAAAACATCCAAATTATTATTTTCTCCATGAGATGAAGCCAGGAGAGTGCTGTTAAGTGGAGAGAAAAGTGTTTGTTACACTAGGCGTTCCAACAAAATGTCCTCCTTTGCTATTAAATCATAGCTTTTCTAAATGAAATGATATTTTGCAAACTTTGGCAGTGACCAAAGTTTGGACATTGTGCAGGGTCCAAACTTTCTCTCTCTCTCTTTCCCATTTTGTGCTTTTTCTCCATGTGGTCCAGAGAACTACTATTTGCTGGCTTTACTTTTCTTGTATGTCTTTCCTTATGACCCAAGTTGTCTACTTTCCCCAAAGACCTCAGATAACTTGATTTTCTACCCACAACTTGTCATTTTAATAAAGAATGAAACGGATAAATAGAGGCTAGAGACTGCAACCCATTACCCAAATGGGTTGTTTCTCAGAATCCCCCTTTCTTTCGAGTTAAGTGTGAATGGCTACATGGAAAGACATGTGCTTGTTACCCTAATGCCCCCAAACAGAAAATTAATGAAGGTCTATGGACATGGGAATTAAATCTGCAAAGGCTGAAGGTGATCAATAAACTCTATGAAAAAATGGCTTCAACCATATAAAACCCTCTACTGGACTCTTTTGTTCAGTCCTGTTTCCTGTGTGAACTGTACTAATGGGTACCTACCCATTTCCTAATCACCTCCACTGCCACCGAGAAGCTGTTAGTGGAATTGGCATTCTCAGGTCCCATCTTCTCTTTCATTTCTTGGTCTTCACTGACATGGCCTGAACAATTCAAGAGCGTGGCTTCCACATCCTTAGCTCCACTTTTGGAGCTCAAAGCAGGATTCAGAGCCGAGGAAACCCATTGACAGGCCTGGGGCATGCATGAGCCTGCAGCTGGGCTGCTGTTCTTCTACAAGACCCGGGGGACATGGAGTAGTATTGAGATTGCAAATCAGAAAAACTCTTCCTGCAGCCTGGCTTACATTGAGGAAAATTCCTGCTGGTGCATCGAAAGACAGGAGTCTGCTCCCCTGCTCACTGACCACAGAGCACACCCCATGCCTCTGCTCTCAGTATCCTTGGGCAGTGTCTCTCAGTAGGCTTGCCTGTATCTCTCTTGGGCGTCTTGGGCCCCCTTTCTCCCTTTCTTGCCAAATCTCCTTCCTTAAGCAGTTATCTAGGCCTGTAACGTAACTTTGAAATGTTTCAACTAAGAGTTCAGGGCACAGAAATGGTAAATGAGAGCAACTCCCTGTTTCCTGAGAATGGGAGCTTCTCATTATTCGAGTATCTTGGTATTTATGCATTCATTCATTCATTCATTCATTCATTCGTTGATTTAACAAATATTTATTAAGACTAGTACAAAGCACCATTCTAGGAACTAATTGTGAACGAGACAGGCAAGAATCTTGCCCTTATGGAACTTATATTCCTGGGATCAGGTCTGGCTTCATAATTTGTGAGGCCAGTGTAAATGAAAATGCAGAGCCTTTGTTAAAAAATAATTAAGATTTTTCATGACAGTAACAGCAGAGCATTAAGTGAGGCATGGGGGCCTTTTAAGTGTGGGGCTCAGTGCAACTTGTTCAGGTTACACACCCATGAAGCTGGCCCTGGTAGGGGTGACTGGAAAGTAAACATGCATGTCTCTGATGGATGAGCAGTCCAAAGGATGAGACCCAATTCATTGACTTCCTACAGGACTGACAACAGTTGGATTGTTCTTTAATGATTCAGAAATCAAGACAGAATTTTTCTGGGTCTCAGGTCATCATTAAATATAGTTTGTTGTTGCATAATTAAAGAATTGGCTTTGTGAGCTCTGAGTAACAGGATGATGGCTTATGGAGAGTCAGTGTGTTTGGAATAATAAGCCCAAGAAAATGATACTTTTGAAGATTAAAACGAGTAGAGTTACTTCTCATGATTGCTTCCCACAAACTCCTGAAAATCCTCTAAATACTCAAACAAATAAAACTAAGCATGCTACCTGAATACAGAAACTGTTACAGCTGCAGATATAAATTATTCTGGTAGTGCAGGATAACCTGTTTTAAGGGAACCCAGTGGACTACCAGTGCAATGAATAGGTTTAGAGGTTAATTTCTCAGACAATTCATGTAAATTCTGAATGTGATTTTGAATGCAGTGTTGGCAGGTATTTGCGAACGGCTGGCTATTCCACAGGTTCCCAAATTTCAGTCCCTAAGCTTGGCCAGTCCCTTCCTTTACCCCTGTTCAAATGTCTCTTTTCCATCCAAAAGTAACGAAAAGAGAGCCAAGGATCTGACAGTGGATTCTGTTAACTTCATTGTTGAAAAAAAAAAAAATACCAAGAACATGATTCTGACTTTCAAGCCCAACTGACAAGGAGGGAAACTCTAGTGAATGTGCTGGCATACACGTACTGGACTTTTATGAAAATTAAAAACAATCCTGTGGCCTTTGGAAATGAAAGCCAATTGAGTAATAGCACTGTGTAGGAAAGATTTTGTTCTCAAGGTGAGTATTTCACAACTGGGGCCGTTCGGGGGCCCATGTGTTTCACAAGTGATGTGTGTCATCATCATTAACTAGTCTGGTGTATAGAAAGATCACTGAATGGAAACATGGGTTTTTATTCCTATCTCTGCCGTGAAGTCAGGTTCCTAGCTCTCTCAGTTTTTCATCTGTAGAATGGGGGAGATAATAGCCCATCACTAAGAGTTATTGTGAGATTCAAATTAGCAACATATATAAAAGTCTTTGTAAACTGCATGTTGTTTTACAAATATTGGGTTTATTATTACTCTAATTGCCATTTTATTTATTTCTGTTTTCCAAGGTGAGCTCTTTGGGTGTAAAATGCAAAGATGGGATGAAGAGACATTGCAGCCCTCTGATTACTCACTTGGGGGAAGTAGATCAAGGCTATGATGTTGCCTGACAGTGATGGTTGAAGGCAGCTGAGTCCTGTCATGGAAAATGTAAAGGCCCTCCCCTTTTTCATTTCCCTCCAGGAACTTCTGCCTGTAGTAATAAAGAATCCTGTGTTCATGCCTGTGTTGCTTCATTTTAGGAGCTTGACTTTTATATGAATCTTTGTCCATGTGCAGGGCTGTCGACTATTGTTTCTGCCTCAGCTTACCCATGAAGAAAGGGAAGTGTGTGACATTAAATGATTTGCCCAGGTCACCCAGAAAGTCAGTGATGGAGTCTACAAAAGAAAGGATAAGTTGTTTTTCTTCGTTCTCTACCTCAGCCACCAGAGGAAATCGCAGCAAAGTGTCCAGGATGGTTCAATAATCAGCCCTCCTTCCTTCCCATGACCAGAAGCCACAGTTATTTCCATGAGGATGCTGGTGTTTGGCTTCCTTCCTGCCTCATTTGACTGAGTTGTCTTTGCTGTAGAGCTTGCTTTTCTGTAAGGCCAACGCTGTATCAGAACCCATGGATTATAAGCAATATTCACTGTGTGCCGAACCCTTAACACTAGGCACTGGGAGACACCATGAGGGGACCTAACCCATCTACAATATAAAAATAAGCCTATGGAACAGAACTGGGGGAACCTAGAAAGACCTGCTCTGGGGAGCCATTTATACCTGGCTTTGAATCTCAGGGCAGTCACTTATCAGCTGTGTAGCTTTGGGGAAGTTACACAATCTCTCTGAGCCTTGCTTCCTTCACTTTCAAAATGGAACTTGTAGCATCTACCACAAGAAGAGTATTCTGAGAATTTAAGAAGCCTATTTATACATGTATATCTAAATGTGGGCATACAATGGCAAATGAGATGAGAAACAGAAGGAAAGAGAGAAAGGGAGGCTAGCACATGTTTATCACAGGTTAAGAGTGCAATAAACATCACCTTAATCTTTCTTTTCTCTAATTGGCCTACTATTAATCTTGAAATCTTGACCTCGGGACACTTCTCAAGGGCTGTCATAAAACATTATTGTTTTTTCTGAATTCAGCACTAAGTCATGTTCAGAGAGAACTGTTTGTTAGTTCTTAGAGGGAAGAGTTAGTTTATGACTTCTTAAAACAGGATTAATGCCTGAGGCCTAGTTTGCTCCAGAAGCACTGTGCTCCCGTAGCACCCTGTACTCTCCCATCGTAACCCGGAAAGGGCTAGATGCTATCACTTGTTTCAATTTCTGTCTTCCCTGCCTGGCTATCAGTCCCCTGAAATCAGGGAGAGTGTCTGTCCTGTTCGATACCCACACCTAGCTTATGCCTGCCCATGCTAGCAAACCAATAAATGATTGTAGGAAAAGCTAAAAGGAGCTAAGTTCATGGGTGCTAGGTTTGAAATGGGTTATTAAAAAGCTGTATGCATTTCAGGTATATTTCCATCTTTTTGATATTGATGTGTATAGGACAACCTGGCTCTCAATGTTCTTCCCATAGAAGGAAGAACCTTGGTCTTGCAGAACCATTTGTTCTTTCATTTACTTAACAAAATACATTTAGCATCAACTACATGCCAAGGATTTTTCTAGGTGCTGGGATATATACAGAAGTCACCTAAAGAGACCTAAGGTGACTCTAAGAGATCACATTCTAGTTGGAGAAAGCAGGCAACAAACACATATACAATATGCCCAGATCTGTGAAGGAAGATGAAGGTGGATAACAGGGTGGGAAAATGAGAGGGGTGCTGTTTTAGATGGGATCCTCAGAGAGGCCTCAGATAAAGGGAAGTTTCAGCAAAGGCCTGCAGAAGTGAGGAACTGAGCCTGTGGGTATCAGAGGAAGTAGATTTGAAATAGCAGGATCAGCCAAAGTTGACTGTCATCATTGGCTTCCACTCTGATGGTGGTTGGAAGTCACAGGGGTGAGGGTAACTGTTGGAGCCAGCATGGTGATTGTGAAGGGAGCCTCATGCTTCTCAGTGCTCACTCAGGGCAACCCTGGCTCCTCTTTCAGGCAAATGCAGGTGGATATGCTAGTCTTTGGGCAAGAGAAACAGGTGTGGCTTTATTTTATATCTTGGCCAATATTCATACAAGGTTTTTAACGATGGAAAATGCAAACCTGCAGGAACGATTCCCACACTACCTGAAGGCCAAACACCTCTTTACATTACCCAGGTTGCTGAAGGGCCTGGCCATGACTCCTTGGCTCTGAGTGGGTACTGGCCAGGAAAACAGCTCTTGGGAGCCAGCGAAGGCAGATGCCAGTCCCTGGCACCTCTAGTCCATCACTGATGAGGAACAGAAAAGTTATGATGGGGCAGGGGAACATGACACTCGTCCACAGAGCACACACAGCAGCAGAGAGACAGTTAATATTCCATCTAAAGGATTTTTGAGGCTGCTTAGAGAGAGGACATATTTCCAATTTCTCCTGAGAGGAGAAACTGTTGGGAAAGTTGCACCTTCAGTCAGTCCCCAGCTCACAGAGAAGAGCCTGAAAAATCACACACGAGGAGATGTGAAACAGAACAACGGAGCTGAGAGCTCCTCTGAGAAACTTGGAGGCGCAGTGGCAGCTGGAAAGCCTTGTTTTCCTCAGGTTTCCAAACTTCCCTCAACGAACTTCACTGTTGGTCTCCGTGTGGTGTGAAATGATTAATTCTTTCAAATGACACATGGAGCCGCCGAGACCAGGGACAACTTTTCTCCATTTTAGAACGAGCAAGAAATGGATTTCTGCCACTGCTTTCTGGTTGTTTTGTTTTGTTGTTGTTTTTAAATCTGACCCTCCTCCCCATCAATATTGACGCTGGAAATTGAAAATGGGCGAATGATGCTGTATTTATCTGGGGAAAGCTTGCCCTCATTTACTGTTTTTATTTTACACCCAATTGCTTTGGCCATGGGACACAGTCGTCTGCTGATTTGAAGAGCCAATAGCTGTATATTCACTTATTCCCTAGTTCCAGAGGTGGTGCAGTGCTTGGGAAAAGTCTAGGATGGAAAGAAAGCATCCTAGACTAGGGTGCTATGAGAAGGTCAACCAGGTTGAATGGCTACTCTCTTTTGGAATTCTCTCACAGAGTCTTGGGAATTGTTCATTGATCCAAAATTATTTTTACTAACTGCTGATATGTACTGGGTGTCAGGGTTATATAAATGGATAAAAATGTGATCCTCAAATTTTTTTTATATACATATATATATATATTTTATAGAGATAGGTTCTTGCTATGTTGCCCAGGCTAGTCTTGAACTCCTGAGCTCAAGTGATCTGCCCACCTTGGCCTCTCAAAGTGTTGGGACTATAGGCATGAGCCATGGCATCTGGTCAATCCTCAATCTGAAGGACATCAGAGATTGGTAGGATACCACAGTGAAAATAGAAAACTGAGGAAACAGTGGTGTTGGTGGTGGTTATCTGACTGCACTTTATTTTTAATTTTTTTTTATTTTGAGACAGGGTCTTGCTCTGTCCCCCAAGCTGGAGTGCAGTGGTGTGATCACAGATCACTGCAACTGCTGCCTCCTGCGTTCAAGTAATCCTCCTGCCTCAGCCTCCTGAGTAGCTGGGGCTATAGGTATAAGCCACCACGACCAACTAATTTTTGTATTTTTTGTAAAGACGGGTTTCACCATGTTGCCCAGGCTGCTCTCAAACTCCTGAGCTCAAACGATCTGGCCCCCCTCAGCCTCCCAAAGTGCTGGGATTACAGGTGTGAGCCATCGCACTGGCCTGCCTGCACTTTTTTTCCTTCCTCCTTCCCTCCCTCCTTCCCTCACTTTCTTCCTGCCTCTCTCCCTCCCTCATTTCCTTCCTCCCTTCCTGCCTTACTTCCCCCTTCATCACACATTATTGAGCACTTAGCCTGTGGCAATTACCAATTTACAAACACATGAGACCAAGTCATTATCCCCAATCCACCGGCTTTTTAGTATCAGTCAATATTGAGTGAGAAATGGTCAGCTTTAGAGGACCATTGGCTCTCAAACTGTTAGTCCTTCATTTTTCACTCCTTCAGCCACAGTCTCTAGAAATATCTCAGTGGACGGTGAATGCTTCCTTAGGGCAGGAACCCAGGTTTTCTGACTCATCTGTACCTCCTGTCTACCTGGCACAGCACAACAGCTCACTAAGTACTGAATGAGTGAGTGAATGAATAATATATTCAAATCACCATCAAGTGGCTGGGAGATTTGACAATCCACTGGAAAATTGGATCTTCATAGGTGTCCACACCAGATAACTCTAGCCACAGTTGGAAATTTACTTTGGGGTTTGAATTATATGCCATACACATAATTCACTAAAAATATGTGGCTTTCCTGTCCAGGAGGTTCTGAGACCCATCTAGGAATGACATTTACTCAAAGTATTTTGGCAGTTGTTTTGGCAACTTCTTCCATTTCTTGAAAGCTAGGTTTCAGAAGAGAGAATATTTTACTGACTCTCACAGGGAGGGTCCTGATTAGGCCCAGAGGGAGCTCAGGGATGTCCCAGGTGGAATCTCCTATGCCTACTGCCCATGTTGACCCCATGCCCTGCTGTGACAAGTCTGGACCTTTGGATTCTGGTGGCTTCTCTGTGTCATGTGGCCTGGTGTGGTGAAAATGATGGAAGAAAATTGAATGTGAAGTTAGGGGCTATTAGAGCAAATTGTGAAACCAGCTGTGTGATCACGAGCCCTGTATAGTTCCCTATTGCTGCTGTAACAAATTATGACAAACATAGTGGCTTCAAACAGCACAAATGTATTATCTTACAATTCTGGATAGAAGGCCAAGATGACTCTTAAGAGGCTAAAGCGAAGACGTCAACAGGGTCAGTTCCTTATGGAAGCTCCAGTAGAGAATTCATTCTTTGCCTCTTTCACTTCTAGAGGCTGCCGGCATTTCTTGGGTCCTGGCCACATCCTTCCGGTCTCTGCTTCTGTGCTCACAGCACTTTCTTCTCTATCATAGGCAAATCTTCCTCTGCCTCCATCCTATAAGGACCCTTGTCCTTATAGAAGAGGATAATCTCTCCATCACAAGATCCTTAATTCAATCACATCTGAATGTCTTTTTTTGGTATATAAAGTAACAATCGCAGGTTCCAAGAAATAGGATGTAGAAATTTTGAAGGTGGGGGGTCATTATCTAGCTAATAACAAGCCCTTTAATCTTGATGAAACTGTCCTCATATCCACATAAAATGAAATAAAAATTAATAATTATTTATGCTGTGTTCTATATCACTCTTCTACTGTAAAGACTATTAAAACACACAGTTTTGGCCAGGTGCGGTGGCTCACACCTGTAACTCCAGCACTTTGAGAGGCCAAGGCGGGTGGATCACCTGAGGTCAGGAGTTCAGGACTAGCCTGACCAACATGGTGAAATCCCATCTCTACTAAAAATACAAAAATTAGCCAGGTGTGGTGGCGGGTGCCTGTAATCCCAGCTCCTCAGGAGGCTGAAGCATGAGAATCTCTTGAATCTGAGAGATGGAGGTTGCAGTGAGCCAAGATCACACCACCACACTCCAGCCCAGATGATAATGAGACTCTGTCTTAAAAAACAAAACAAAACAAAAAACAAACAAAAAAACCCCCACAGTTTGTTATTGTCTCTAGTACTACTCTACTAAAGGTAGTTGGACCCTGCTATATTTGACAGTCAAAGCAAGTTTATGGTCCTCAAACAGAACTGTTTTAGTAAATTCCCCCATCCCCATCTGGGCCTCAGTAAACTGGCCTAGCAAGATTTGTTTGATTGTTATGTTTTTTTTTTAAGATGCAACTGACATCCTGTAAAGTACACAAATCTTAGATGCAGCTCAGTGAATTTTTACATGTGTTTTCTCTTGAGGAACCAGATCCAGTTATGGAAAATTCCCAGCACCTTGATAAGGTTTCCTCATGTCTCTTCTGGACCAGTTCCCCCCAGGTAATCACCCTCCTGTCTGGATGCAAGTACCAGAAGTTCGTAATTTCTCCACTGCTGTGTAGTATTCATTGTGTGAATATGCTACAGTTTATTTGCCCACTCCAATGTTGATGGACATTTCTGTTGTTTACAGTTTGGGGCTATCACAAATAAAGCTGTCATGAATATTCTTGTGCATATCTTTCAGTGGATATAAGCAGTCATTTCCAACAATCAAAAAAGTCCATCATAAAGAAAGAAAATATGGAAATGCAAAGTTAATTTTACCTTTAAATATGATGTAAAAAATGATAACACATTCCATCTGTGATAGAGTTTTATAAACACAAAAACATGAGAAGATGTTCCCAAAGGTCAACCCAAATCTGGTGGAAGACCTGAGAAATTCACAGTGAATTTCATGGCCACGATTTTATATCTGGGGCTATAGCCCTGATCAAGTGTTCTAGCTGACCCGCATCAGGTAGGACAGTGAGCACTGGCAGGAAGTGAAACAAACTCACCATGTCTCTGTCTACAAGGTGGGAGGGTATTTGGTAGAGGGCACAATTCAAAGGCATCCAAGGAAGACCCTGGTTGAAGAGAAAGGAGGAGGAGTTACTGGCAGCCGAAGGCTATGGAAATTTTGAAACAATCCATGTCAGTTTATTTTATGATCATTCCTCAGAGTTTCCATCTCACATTGGGTTTTTCTGGGGCAGATTAAGAAGGGGAATCAATTAATGTGAATCTCATGTTACCACAAACAGTTGGAGGTCTTAATTGGGCCAGGAGTGAGCAGGTGGTCCTTCCCCAGCCAGCTATCCTTTCACCTGTTAGTCAAATGAGGAGAGGGCCTCTATCGCTCATTAGCAACCATTTGTCACTTCGCACAGAGCTTTGAAAGGATTTCTTTGAACTTTGTTTGGGATTGATTTTCTGCATATGCTGAGCTGTTACTGACAAACTCTGGGCAACTGTTCCTCTGTAACAAATGCATTAAAAAAAAGGGTGAGTGGATTTTAATAGCCTCCAAATTGCATAGCCTAGAAGGGTGAGATTCTTTCCCCACCCCCAATTCACCTCGCAAACCCTTCACTTTCTGTCACTGCATTATAATGAATAACAAGAACTTTATTTTTCTTAAGGGAACTGTCTTAAACTTTTGATTTTTTTAACTGCCTCTGGCTCCAGACTAAAATTGATTCATAATGACGTTTAACTACAAATGGACTTTGTACCTTGACCTTGTCTCTTACTTTACAAGGAACATTCAGGTCTTTGCATTTTCAAGGGCTGGATTGGAGCACTGCCCAGATGGTCCTAGAAACCTTGTAGCCTCTTCTGACCTCTCTTCAGGGCAAGGGGCTATGACTAGCTTGCTCAATGCATTATGTATCTCCAGTATGCTCCACAGTGCCTAGCACAGAGATGATACTCAATAAATATCTCTTGAATTAATTAGTCAATTCAAAAAATAAGTATTATGTTTGCCTTATGGTTTAAGGATAAAGGCGTATGGTAACTTGCCATAGCCAGGGAGAATAGCTATTGTTCATTAGTTCCTCCAAAAAGTTATTGAGAGGAGCCAGTTTTATTTATGTGCTTATCTATGTGTTTGTTTTACTGAGTATAAGTATAAAACTTATTTGTTGTGAAAATTTTAGAAAACATATAGTTTTACAAAGTTATAATATCCCCTCCCACAGAGCAGGGCCATATTTTAAAAAGGGGTGGTCCAACCAGAAGTAACTATCTTCACCCACATTTCTGTCAAAGATAGACATAGAAGAACTTTTTACATGAGAATTCTTATTTTATTTTATTGAGACAGTCTCACTCTGTCACCCAGGCTGGAGTGCAGTGGTGTGATCTTAGCTCACTGCAGGCTCTGCCTCCCAGGTTCAAGCGATTCTCCTGCCTCAGCCTCCCAAGTAGCTGGGACTACAGGTGCCTGCCACCATGTCCAGCTAGTTTTTGTATTTTTAGTAGAGACAGGGTTTCACCATGTTGGCCAGGCTGGTCTCAAATGCCTAACGTCAAGTGTTCCACCCGCCTCGGCCTCCCAAAGTGTTGGGATTACAGGCATGAGCCACCACGCCAGGTTGAGAACTCTTATTTAAATCCCTTGTTCTCTTTGTTCTTCTCTAGAATGAGAAAATTTCCAGGGACATTTTCTTTCCCTCCTCTTCTCTGTCTTCCTTCTGTCTCTCTCCCCTCCCCTCCTCTCCCCTGCTCTCCCCTCCCCTCCCCTGTCCTTCTTTTCCCTTCCCTTCTCTTCCCTCTCCCTTCCCTCTCCCTTCCCTCTCCCTTCCCTCTCTCTTCCCTCTCTCCCCAACAGAACTCCCGTCCTCGCCCCCCCACCCCCCTGCCCAATCCAATCTTCCTGCTTCTGCTGCTTTTCCCACCATGGGAGGATAATTCCACTTCTGTGACTCCCAGTACATTTTCTAGAGAGAACCTGCCTGAGCAGCTTAAGTCTTTTGTCAGGGAGCAAGGACAGATGAAGGGACAGAGTTCCCCTACCACAGCCCCCCCACCACAAATTAATAATTATCATCCCATCTCATGTAAAAAGTAAAAAAACAAAAATTAAAATCACCTGTAATCTCACCATACAGACATAACCATTTTACACTTTTTTGTGACTATATTATAAAATACAATTTTGCATCCTATTTTCTAACTTAGCATTTTGAGTATTTCGTCACTGAATTAAATGTTATCCAAACACATGACTTAAAAGGGTTGCCAATAGGCAATCTTATGGAGGCCACGTTGTTTTAAACAATTCCTTCTGTTGTTGGGTTGATGTGAGATTTTGATATTTTTCTTCAATTCCATGCTAGAGGGAGGGCATTAACTCTAAGCAGTAGACTTTGCCAGAAGACAGAAATCAGTGTGATGAAAGGGGGGCACTTTCATTATGGACGTAGGTCTCAACATTTGCTATATGCATTTTCCTCTTGCTGGTTTGGCCTCCTGGGGGTCAGAAACTGAAGCTGTAATCAGTAGAAGCCAAGAGTGTGGGCTGCCAACTCCATTCACATTAGGAAGTTTCCAAATCTCCTGGGCTGTATCTTTCTTTAGGACCTGACAGATCCAGGCATAGTGCAAATTAAATAGGATGCACCAAGCCAGATCTTCCTATCGTTCACATTTCTGCACACAGGTCTGCAGCACCAAAGGGACTTTTACCACTGACCTCTAGTAAAAAAATAAAAACTCATGTGTGTTAATGGACCTGGAAACCCCTCAGCTGCTAGAATCAGGGTACAAGGAACTAGGGGCAGCAGTGGCGTTTTGCAGTCCCAGTTTTATGAGTTTGGTTCAGTCTACCAGATTTTTATACTCTGTTCCTTCAGAACTGTGGAATGCCTATAAACTCTAAAAATGGCACTGAACTTTGGGAATTGATCCAACCTCTGGTCACTAAAGAGATAAAAAATAAAATAAAAAGAGGAGCTAGTCAGAAGACAAGCTTCATCTCAGCATTTGATGTTCTTTCTATGCGTAACTCTAGGACCATTTCTGCCTGAGCATATTTGTAGGGGAGATGAACAATTTTCTTGGGGGCATCTGCCATGTGCTGTGCATGTCCCACTGCCGGGTAAGCACTTGCTGGTTGACACAGCCTTTCAGTAGGTGGAATTTTGGGGAGCCAACATAGATCCATATAGAAGTCAAGCTCGTCTGTGAGAGGCCTTCGGTGTTGGTCATTGGCCAAGATCATGTTTCTAGATCACCAGTGAGCACTGGTAATGGTTTTTGGTGCATTTTCTTTTATTCTGGCTAATGTTATGCTATTTGGTTAGGGAAAGAAGGTAGTCATTTCCTTGGTTTGCTTCCAAAGGTGGCCATTCTGGCATGATGTGAAAATAAAAGATAAAGGTAAAAACTGTGACCAAAACTGGGATGGCAACAGTAATAAGTAGTCACATTGGTTTGTGTATGAGACAGGTGTGAATGCGACACTAGTGTCTAACGACTGTCTCTTTGAGGATGTGTTATAATTTCTCGACACTAAACAAGGACAAACTCGAAGGTTGTGTTAATTGGGAGTGACAGCCTGTATCCAGCCTGTACTCATGTTTTGTTGAGGTTGACAAAAGTCGATTAAGCCAGGTACCTTGTACTGGGAATCAGGCATTGCTTTTGACACTGACCTATCCTTTTCTACTAATATCAGCTCTTTAATGAGGTCATGCTGGTATCCATTTTTAATGTATAAAAATTCATAAATACCTGACCTTTTAGCTGCTGAGGAGGACTTCATAATCTTGTCATCGTCTGCATAGATCCCTGTTTTGCATGTTTTCTTCATATCTCCTTTTACTTCTGTGCCTTTTTCTTTTGATTGAAATATTCAAAAATACCAAGATCCATCTTCCTGTTAGAATTGCATGCCATTCTATTGTTTCGAAAGTTGCTCTATTGAAAAGCTGCTGGGGAAGGCGGGGACTTATAGCTTTTCCATCTTTGTATGAGTAAACTTGTATTCTCTCTTTAGTGTGATGGCAACTTGGGAGCTCTATATAAACCATCGGGTCTTCTCTTTCCAGACTGCTCACCCAAGGAAGATCAACACAAAAGGCTTTGCAAAGGCTATTTTCAACACACTTCCAATGATTTTGTCTAATATGGTGTTTTGGCAGATCTTTCAACCTTTTGCATTGAAGCAAATGCTAGAAACAACCACCTCTGTTATATTAGATGCGAAGTATCTGTATCTAGTTTGCTAGGTATGATTCTAGCACATCCATGGTATTAGAAACAGTAGTTCCATTTCAAAATTCTTGTCATTATCTGGACATTTCTTCATTTCCTTCTTTGTATTCTTCTCTTTGGTCTTGTAATGTGATGTCACTATTGGAATTAAACCCTGAAAACCTGGATTCAGTTAAATATCACCGAAGAGTTAAAAAACTTAGATTTTCCCATCTGTACTTTGGTAAGGATATTTGAACACATAGCACCAGGCATTGGCAAAACTATAAGTTAAAAATGATCAGAAAAAATATGCTATCAGGAGATCAGATGAGAGAAGGAATTAAAGAGATGCAGTAGGTAGCTTCATAAGAAAACTTGGACAGAGAGGGAGGAAACTGGGGTAAAATTAATAATGGCTTAAAGTGCTGATTATTCTGAGACTATTTCTAAGTAATAAACAGGAAAGCCTTAAGGAACCAATGGATTGGCTCTGTAACAATAGAAGAGCAGACCAAATGATGGGTGGTGAGGATAATGTGGGGGCAGGGGTTCTAGCACAGAACCCTAAATCATTGAGTAAGCTGTCCATGCTAAGGAGCTTCTTTAAACTGAGAAGTTTTGATAGTCAATGCCCTTGGGCTCAAAGTCTTTGAAATAACTCAGAAAGAGTAATTAGAGCCTTGCTATAGCACAACCCCGGGGGGCCTATGCTTTGGGACCATTTTATAACTGAGGCTGCCCTGTCACAAAGTGCTTCAAGGAATTGTCAGAAACAAATCCTCCTTAGGCATGCTTTTTCCTTAGCTCATGGTTTTCATCTGGTGAAATCTGGGAACCTAAAAGGGTGAGGAACAAGGGGAGCTTTGAGCTATGGAATGTGCTGCTGGGTCTGATTGGAAGTGGGCTAGATCAGAACATGCACAGTGAAGGCTCCAAAACAGGCTCACAAGAAAGTGGAGGGAGACTTTGAGAGGTCTCACTACTAAGCTGTTGTTACTGGACATGTCTGATTCCAGGTCCCATTGGTAGAAACTTTGGAAGATAGATTATCATGGCACCTGGAAAGTCTGGCAGTGAGAAATGAGTGAACATTCCAGACAGAAAGGCAAACACCATCCTTAGCACATTCTGGAAACCTCCCTGGTCTGTCTCCTGCCTGCCTTTTCATCCCACCTCTCACTACCCCCACTTCATTCATTCTAGTTTAATCATAATGATTTTGGAACAGGCCAAGCTGGTTTCTGCCTTGGAATGTTCGGACTTACTGTATTAGATGTCCCACTTCCTGCATATGACTCTTTTTCCTCCTTCAGATTTCATCTTGAATTGCATCTCCTAAAACGGTGCTCCCCTAATAAACCTACCTAAATTACCTTATGTTAGTCAAGCAAAGTATCTGAAATTATCTTATAAATTTGCCTGTATATTTTTTTCTTGCTTCTGGAACATAAATTCCTTGACAACAGGGAGTGTGCCTGTTCTGTTCAGCACAGCCTTCTTGCATAGAACAGTGCCTGGCATATAGTAGCTGCTGAGTAAATATTTCTTGCATGGATAAATGAATAAGTAGACAAATGGGAGAACCAAGATGGGAGCTGAGAGGTAGGTAAACAGATAGAAAGCTTTGGGGTATAAGGACTTGACCTAGTCAGAAAAGAATTGAGCAAGGAAACAGCTAATGGGACCAAGTAAAACATCTAGCCGAGCTTAGCAGCAAATGCTGACTTGAAGAAATGCTACTGACCTAGGTGTTCTTAAATTCTTTCTAATTAGAGGTCAGTTTGGACCTATAGGCTGGAGTATGGCTGAGCCTGCAGTGGGATTAAGTCATTTTTAGAAACCAATGGGTTGACTTAGAAATCTAGGTGGATATTATAAACAAAATCTATAACCAGAATGGCAAACCTCTTGCAAGTATTACTGTTAGATAATAGAATCTTTACTGCTCATCCCAGTTTCAGCAATCACCAACCACTAGAATGCAGACTTCGTTAGGGCAGGACTTTTGTCTTCTTCACTGTTTTATCCCCTGCATCTAGAACAGTGCTTTTATTTGTAAGTATGTGATAAATATTTGTTGAATTAAATATTTGATGATGGGCTCAAACAGATTTGACATATGAGATGTATCTCATTTGCCATCCCTGACCTAAAGCAAAAAGATAAGGAATTAAAATTGGGAATTGTTATCACAAAAAAGAACAACGAATCTGATAGTCTTAAGAAGCATTTCCATGCTAAGGACTGGCAGCTGCCTTGCCATCACCCTAAAGTGCAAAGCCCGAGGCTGTTCTTTCAATTTGCTGTGCATTTGGAGCCACTCAGCTCAAGTCCAAGATGCATTACCCTTCTCCAGATTATACTACTTAGTAAAAAACACTATAGCATTATATGGGGTAATTGTCATATGCCGTAAGTACATCAACTCAATATATATTTACTCCCTGCTACATACCCATACTATCCTTCATCATGAGGTTGTAAGCCTGAATTTCTGCTTCCAAATAGGAAGCTTTCTCCAGCAGTCATTTCTCAAAAAGTGACTGTTCAAAGAGTAGTTTCTCCAGCGTCATTTTATTTATTAATATACTGTTTATCCATCTAAGGGACAAAGCTGGGATTGCACATGAGTTTCATATAAAAGGGCACGAGCTCTCTTTACTCATTCACTGATACTACCAGTGTTTATTGAGAACCTACTGTGTGTTACCACTGTGAACAAAGCTGAGTTCTTTCCGTGGAGATTACATTTTAATAAGGAAGATAGATAATTAATAAATCAAAATGCAAATGTATAGTCTCAGGAATGACAAATTTTTCCTTTCAGTAGAGCAGTGGAGGTTGAAACTTGTTTAGAATGGGTTTGAGAAAGAATATTAGGATCTACAGATGGAATTACAAGGCAATTTTAAAAAATAGCTTTTGTTTTAAAAGAAGCCAAGAAAATTGGTTGTAGGTGTAAGAGTATTGGGGTCAAGGGTTTGATTAAGATGAGAGCTCTTTTCAGAGATGATGAAAATGATCTACTGGATGGGAAAACGTTGCAAGAGAGAGGGGACAATTGCAGAAGCAGTGTGGTGGAGGAGGCACAAGGGGATGGGATGGAGTACACACGTGTACCTCCCTCTGCAGGCACGTGGCTCTTCCTCTAAGGGAAGGGAAGACCCACCTGTTCAGGAAGTGGGGAGACGCGCTTACTCTAGTTCCCATCCATTTCCTCATGTCAGTCTGTTTTCAGCCACTGTGGGGGAGACCAAGACAGTTCAGTAGCTGGCTCATGACTGAGCCCTGGGATGTCGAAAGAAATTAGGCAAAATTTTTGCCCTCAAAGACATCCCAGTCTGGTAGACCCCTGAACAAATGTATCCCTTATTCTCACATTCACAAGAGGGTTCCCTTGGAGAATGACTTCATCATTTAATCAATTGGGTGGAATCATTTTGAATCCACATTTTAAACCTTTCTTTCTTTCGCACCATTCTGGAATATGTTGCCTTGAATTCACAAACTCCAATTAAGTATACTTGGCTAATAACTTCACCATGAAAATATCTCAAACTATTAAAGTATTGAATAAAATATTCTGCTTTTGACACTGTCTGCAAACCTCAGAGGATTTGAAAAACTTGAAGTATGCAGAGGGAAATCACACTAAATGCTCACATATATTTTATTAGAAACACTTTTTTAAAAACATGAAGACAAGGAAAAAAAAAAGACCCAATTCAATTTTTGAGCCTGGCACTTCAACTTCTCTACACTTTATTCTAAACAGGAAAAATAAAATCAGCTTTGTTCCTCAGCATATGCTTTTGACATTTTTTTCCTTGAAGTCTGTGAATTATTAATAAACTAATTTCTCTTTATAGTTCAATCTTTGGAGATTTAAAGTGCTCACTCAAATGCATGGGGAAGAGATAGAGCTTCAGTTCCAATCAGTTCCAATCCTCTCTGGAGATGCTGGCCTTGAGGTATCTCTGAGTCTTTGATAACAATCTTTGATTTGACTTGGAATTTCTGATCATTTATAGAACTAGTTTGTTAATACCACTTAATGCCCTGTTTAAGTTGAGCCCTGTTTAAGTTTCTGCTAGCTGATTTTATGCTCTCACTTCGCTTCTGAGATATTTTATGTGTGTGTTTATATAGCATATATATGTACCTATATCTCTCTATATAGTTATGCTTGATGGATTATTTCATGGTGAGTTGTACCAGAAGGCAGGGCTTTTAATAACAGAGGATGTCCAGTAAATTAACAGCTCTTATAATAAACCATGTTGGATCTAAGTACCACCAAGAGTGCTTCCCCCCTGCTCAGTAGAGCTTAGAGGAAAGACTTGTCCCTATAGAGAAAAGAAGTTTGCAAAAAACCAGAGCTATCCAACAGAAAAACAGATGAGCTCTGGATTAAATTTCTTCCCTCCACTCTGCTCCAATGGCTGTGTTAAAAGGTGGATCCCGGTGACCAATGGTCAGAGGTGAGGGAGAGGGAATTTCTCCATCAGCTGGGAGTTTGGATAATTGAGCTGAAGTCACTTCCAACATTATAATTCTATTGCCTCCTGTAGCCTCAATACATGAGAATTTTACCATTTCTTTTTTCTTTTTTTTTTCGGTAGAGAGAGAAACTGAGACAGACTTTAATTGACTTGCCTGATATTCTGTAAGAGATTGAGCATGCTTTCCCACTTATTGTGTAGATCTTAGGGGGATTCAGATTCTGGGTGAGGTCTTCTGCCTGTGATCTCTGGTCTATATATTGATCCAAAACTGAAAAAAACTTCCAGCAAACATAGGCTAAGCAGTATGCACTAGTTCCCTGCTCCTCTCTTCCTTGACATTCTCTGGAGGAAATGGCTTCAACACTGAACTGGCCCCTGCCTTTACTTTCCCTCTACCTCCTCCCTTAATGACCTGCTGCATTTCCAGAATATAATGATTGAGCGAGAGTCACCAGGCAGCCACGTTGAAAGGGCCGCTTAGCGGGAGCACTGCAGAAATGAGATTCTCCACCTGAACAGACTCTTTCCCGGCATTGCCAGCCCATATAGACAGTGAACTTGCCTCTCTCCTGAGGAGGTCTGGATCAGAACCACAGAGGAAAGGGGTAGGGGAGAAGAAAAGCAGAGATAAAAGGAAAGCTTTTCCTTTTTTAAAAACATTTTAAAGCCAGTTCTATTCTTAGACTTTATTTACTTTTTTGTTTGGCTTCAGGGGTTAAAGGGCTCACAGTAATGGAAACTGGAGGCCACCAATTTATTGCACTTCCTCTGGACTTTCTGGGTGGATTTGTTTGGTGGTAAGCATGAGCTTCCTCAGCCTTTCTCACCCAGGACCTTAACCTTGATCCAGCTGTAGGAACTCCGCACTTGAGAACCTGGGAAAACCAGACAATCTCAGGCTCCAGGGGTTGTGCATATGAAAATGCACTGGCTTTTACCAACATCTCCCCCTTTCTTTAAGGACTGAGAAAGCATTAGAATGAAAGGACCTATTTGTCAAAGAAAAGTGTTTCATATTTTGTGAAATATTTGGTCATTTCCATTTTTATTTAAAGGAGTTGTATTTTTTCCTGCTTCCCTCAATCATACTCCCGTGCTTCGTCTAAAGACATATCTCCCTGTCCCACCATTATTCATACTGAAAAAATGGATGGGCTGTCTGCAACATTTCTTTGTAGGGATGGATTTGATATCCTTTGGATTTTTTTTTTCTTTCTTTTTTTTTTGGAAACGGAGTCTCGCTCTTTCGCCCAGGCTGGAGTACAGTGGCGCGATCTCCACTCACTGCAAGCTCCACCTCCCGGGTTCACGCCATTCTCCTGCCTCAGCCTCCCGAGTAGCTGGGACTACAGGTGCCTGCCACCACGCCCGGCTAATTTTTTTCTTTGTATTTTTTAGTAGAGAAGGGGTTTCACCATGTTAGCCAGGATGGTCTTGATCTCCTGACCTTGTGATCTGCCCACCTCAGCCTCCCAAAGTGCCGGGATTACAGGTGTGAGCCACCGCGCCTGGCTATCCTTTGGATTTTATGGTTTTTTTTTTTTTTGAAGGAACAAGAGTATCTTAAAGATGTCATGGTACGTCTCTAATACGTAGTGTATCAGTCAGGGTTCTCCAGAGAAGTGGAACCAGAAATGGCTCTCACAATCGTGGGGACTGGCACATACGGAGGCTGCATGGCAGCCTGGCAAGCTGGAAACTCAGGCAGGAGTTAGTGCTGCCGCTTGAGGCAGAATATTCTCTTCTCTGGGAGACCTTAGTTTTTGCTTCTTAAGGCCTCCAACTGATTGGATGTGGCCCACTTACCCCATCACTGGTACCTTCCCTTATTTAAAGCCAAATGGCTATAGATGTTAACTGCATGTACAAAATATCTTCACAGAAACACCTAGCTTAGTGCTTGATAGATAAGTGGGTACTGTAACCCAGCCAAGTTGACGCAGAAAATTAACTGTCACATGCACCTCCCTCTCCTCCCATTTGTATGTCCTGGCACTCTCCAATTTATTCACCTGTCTATGTAACTCCAGTCACCACCCTAGTCTGAGTTGGCATCATCTCCCCTGGTCCAATGCAATTGTTTTCTAATGTTTCCCCCTGCCTATGCTTTTGCTTCTGATTACGCTGTTCCCCACTCTGCAGCCAGAATGATTTTTTTTTTCAAGATGTGGGCCTAGTCCTATACTTCCCTGGTTAAAATCACTCAGTTGAATTTGCCTGGATCCAAGGTCAGTCATGACTACTTAACACTGCTTACAAGGTCCTGCTGGGTCCGTCCCTGCCCAGTTCTGCAGCTCCTTCTTGCTTTCTGCATTCCAGCCACACTAACCCTGAAAGTGTGTTCTTGCATTTTATCATGTTCCCTGCTGCCACAGGGTCTTTGCAAGGGCTATTTCTTCGGCCTGAAAGGTGGCTCCCTCCCCCTGTGCCTGGGTAACTCCTACCCTCCTTGCCATAATAGGTCAGATATACTCCCTTAGGGGAACCTTTCTCAACCACCCTGACCAGAGCAAGTGCTCCAATGATGTATTTTCACAGCCCACACCTCTCCTTTGGATGACACATTGCACTGGACACTTTGCATTTATTTGTATAATTATTTGCATATGTCTATGTTCCACACATGAAGATAGCAGTGATAACTTTCTGGTTCATCACCACATATCTAGTGTCTAGCATGGTGCTGATACATAGAGAGTACTCAATAGATAGTATCAACTGAATACACAAATGAATCACCCGAGTTAGGGTGCAAGTCATGGCTAACATCCTCCTCCTGCCCCTTCCCTGGAGCACGTACCTCATGCTGCTCCTCCCACTCTTGAGCACAATCCCAGTTGCCTCTGACTTACAACTTTGCATCACAGTCGGGCACTGAGATCAGGAGTTTTGAAAATGGCCAGGAGATCTTCTGTGTTGACTGCCTCTCCACTCATTTGGGCTGCTCTAAGGAGCTTGTTTAGTACCTGGAGGAGCTATAACCCACTGCACATACCCAGTGTCTTTAGTTCATCATACAGGGTCATAGTTTTGAGGACATCCCAAGTTTTTAAAATCGGAGTATTTCATCTAAAACTGTAAATGTACGACTTATCACAAAAAAAGACCTGTCATTCCATAGGGCAAAAAATCATCTTGAGTTGAGTAGCAGCTGTACACATAAGAAGGGATGGGTGACTCGTAGTTCAGCACATCCCCGTGGGTCCTCTGCACTCACTTGGATGGGCCACCTGAGCCCTGAGTACAGCAGAGTTGAGGCTCCTGCTGTAACTGCCAGTAAGCTACCAACAGGTACATTTGTTCCTCTCTTTCTTCTCCTCTTCGGTCTAATAAACCCTAAGGAACATCTTCTAGGGGGAAAAAACATGCGATGGTTTACAAACAGTGAAAGAGCAATCTGACAGCTCAAATCTCTGGTTATGTCTATCAATGCCACCTTCTATAGGCTGTAGCTGACCAAAGCAATGTCAGCAGCCTGGGACCCACTTAACCCTCTTGATTTGGGTGGGCCATGGATGAAGCAAAGCTATGAATGTACAGTCAATTTCTCTACGAAAGCCAAAACTATTGCTGTATTCATTCACCAGTTGCTTTTGTTTGTAGAATGGAAGTGAATGTAGTTAGCAGACCCAACAGTCAAAATGGCACAGTCTGAAGTCCATGCACACGAATCTTTTATGGCCTGACTTCTCCCGGGAACTTAAGTAAATTCCCTGAGCTTGTGACCTTCCACTGGACACAATACAAAGGGTCGTTATTTGCTTGATTCTCATGCTTGAAGAAAAAAAAAAAAGAAGGAAGTCCAGATGAAAGTTAAAAATAGGGCATGTGAATTTAGTGCAAGTTTCCCTGGGATCATAAGTCTGGTAAAGAGAAAAAAAGAAGGAAGAAAAAATAGACGCCAATAGATGTGAGCTTCCAGGAAGAATGTTATTTGCTCACAAATATTTATCCAGAGAACTCCTCAGACTAATTCCTCATTAACAAGTGTCCTGGAATGCAGGTGGAATTCATCAGAGCAGCCTCAAAGGAAACTTGAGAGCTGAACTCAGAAAAATCCCCAGCGTAGAGACATTTTTCCTGCTCTGTGCGACTTTCCCAATTGCTCTTCTCCTTGTTACTGAGTGTCTTTTTAATAATACCTAGAATACACAGGCACACACACACATATATACATCCCCCACACATCCCCCATACGTATGCCTGGCTTTCTGGAAGTTAGAATTTCGTTTTGGGTCATATGGCTGAGACAGAAAAGAATAAGCACGCAGTTCCCAAATTCCGTGTGTCCATAGTAAGAGGGGACCCTTCTTCTTTGCAGATATGATTCACTTATAATAAACAAAGAGTGTTTTCTATAATTTTGTCTGTGGGGAGGGTTAAATCTAAACTTCCAACCCTGTCTCAGAAGCATTATTCCAATCAGGGAATTATATCACAGGTGGAGACGTGTCCCTGGGAAAGAAAGCATCTGCTTCCATGCAAATGTCATCAGTAATAAAGAAAGATGGGGAAGCCATGTGATCCAGGAATTGGATCGTGTCCATATTAGGTCTGCTTTTCAGTTGTAAAAACAGTAAGTTACCCTCAATTATTCTTATGCACTGGGTGAAAACCTTTTTTTAGCTTTACCAGGTTCCAGAAAGAGGCAAGAGCACTTGGCAAAGGCTTTAGAAAATGATTGTTTCTTAATTCTGCTACAAACTCCAAATGCCACTTCCTGGTTCAGAAGCAAGAGGCTTGGGGGAAAATAAGTTTGAGCTCATAAAAACACTCAAAGGGTATACTGGTCATCAAACAGCTCTGAGCAAACTGTATTTGCAAATGAATCTGAAAACATGTGGATTCAATTTTCCTTGAAATGCCCAGAGGTTAAAAAATTAAAGGGAAAATGTTTGGCAGAAAGAGCCTGGGGTTTGGCTATGTGCATTAGTTTCTGAAAAATAAATTGATTGTTTTGCCAGGGAACAAGTATTACCTGGTTCCCCTTCTCAATCACATCTCTAACTTAATTATCAATGGCCCCATTTCTCATTGTGCCTGCAACGTGGACAAAAGAGTTGAGTTCATTTGGCAAGAAAGCAAATTTTATTCATTGCCAGTGTGTTCTTGTGTGTGGCCGACCCAGAATTTCAGAACTGTCATGGGTTTCAACTCTAGTAACATTGTGGCAAGAAAACCATCTGCTAGCAAAATTGTTTCTTCTCTGCCCATTGCATCCCATCTGCCTTCACCCATCAAAATTTACCCCTCTTTTTCCTTTCTCCAATCCACCAAAATAATACCTTTATTATGACCAAATAAACAGAGGCAAATATGGAAGTGCTTTAGAGCAAATCCAAATTGTTTTAAAAGATCATGAAAATGGAGTGGGTGGGGGAAAATTCCATCTGTGGAAAAGCAGTGATTAGCCTTAAGACCATGTGAGGCCAACGGCACAGAGTCCCATTTACGAGATGATGTGTGTTGCCCGTAAGTGGCTGTTCCTGGTCTCTGAGGTAGCAAAGTTGTCACATGGTTCTGTTGTTGCCATGGCAATAATCTGCAATTGTGCAGAAAATCCACAGAACTCGTGAGCAACTCCTTAGTGGATTGGGCTGAAAGAAAATCAAACCCGTGAAAGCCCTGAATTGATGTGGTTATGAAAGCGCATTGGCCAAGCTGGCTTTCCTTCCTCTGACCCCCATCTAACTATGGTGAACGCCCTCGTGTATGTATATTTTTCTCACTTCTGTGTTCATAACCGGTGAAAGGTATAAATCCTACTCAGCTCGGGATAAGCCTCAGCTCACTCCTTAAAATTCTGAACACACAGTCTGTAATCTACAAGGTGGGAATTGTGGCTTTTTTTGGCTGCTGGAACTTCTTGACCCCAGACTAGCATTGAGGACCAATGCCTGATTTGTACATCTAGGTGAAACAACATTTTAAACACATTAGGGTCTCCCCAAGCCCAGGTGGGTGTTTTCCCCCCGGCAGAGGCCCCGAGAATATGCTGGGCAGGCAAGTGAAGCTCTGAGGATGTGTTGCTCCTGGGTAGCTTGGCAACAGAGTATACACACATGTACAACACACCCATCTGAAGGCATGCCAATACTCCCTGCCTTTAAGCTAGCTAATACAAACCATGCCCAAAATACAGCCGGGAAACGGAGGGTAGGTGGCATTTCCCCCTCCTGCAGGGAAATGCTGCATGACATGCATAGATGCTGTATGACATTTATGCATGTATCAGCAGTCAACCCCAAATAGTTGAGGGCATGAATGAGTGCGGGGGCCCCTGACAGAAAACTGAGCAGGAAGAGAAGCCAGACAAATCACTGTCATGGTCCAAAGAACAGTGAGAATCCCATGGGAATGCAGCTTCCAAGCAGATCCCATGAGAACATCTGGGATGAAGACACTCACGCCAGGCCCTAAACCCAGATTCATTAGTAAGAGTGCGGCATTTCTTCTCATTTTTAAATTTATCTTCTCATACACCACAAGTATGATTTTCTTGCCTTCTGCACATTTTCTTACCGGGAGTAGGAAAAGGATGGTGGAGAATGAACATTAAGCTGTACATTGAGGTGCTTTCTCCCGGATACCTTCTCATTTGGGGTTACTCAACTACAAGCAACAGAAACTCATTCTGCCTAATTTAAGCAGAGAGGAAGGTGACATAGGAGAGTGAAGGGCTTGTGGGTATGGTCAAGTATTGAGAATTAGGATAAGAAATGGAGAGGAAACCAATAGCTTAGGGGTTTAGATAGCAAGAGAGAGAGAAAAAAAATCTGATCATAGTTTCCCACTAGAAACTTTAGCTTCAACTATTTTTCTTTTCTGACATCTTTCTCGAGAGTCAAAGTTTTTGGGAAAAAAAGTCCAGATGGCCTAATTTGGATCACGACTCCAATTCTTTCTTGGTGGGGATGGGGATGTGTGGGAGGAGAAAACGGAGAATATAACCCTTAACTAAGAGTCTCATCGAGATTCCACAGAGTGGGAGGGAGAGAATTTTTCAAAACAAAAATTAAGGTGCATTTATGGAAGGGGATTGTATACTGTGATGGATGGTCGTGGTGTTGGCATGAGAAGAGAGAATCCAACAATAAATCTTGGAGGGAAAGTTGCAAGATGGAAATGCCAATCATTCTATTCATGTTAGTGTGCCTGTGCAGAGATAGGCTAAGCAAAACTGGAACAGAGATGTAGTAGATGGAGAGAGAGTGAGAGAACTAGTCTAGAAAACATTTTGTTTGCCATCCTCTTCCTGAAAGAATCAAGAAGAAAGACAACAACCTGATTTGACACCAGCTATGCTAATGGGGCAGACTTCCTGCTAGTCAAAGCTCCCCGTTAATGTCCACTTCTCAGCGTGTCTGATTATGGGTTGAAGTTGACCGATCAGCAAACTACTCAATTATAAGCCCATCTTCTCCCTGTGGTGCCACTAATTAAAACAGGAACCATGTTGCAGCTCACACACTCCATGGAGTTCTACCTTCCAAAAGCTGAATTAGTCACAACAATTAGCCATTGTCAGTGGAATTCAGCCTCTTTCTTCCTTTCCTCAACCCCACTCCAGTTTGGTGTAAATTCATCTCTGAAAAACCTTCTCTTGGGATTAGTGATCTCCCTGATACCCTTCATGTGAGATAGAAGCACACGTGGTAGGAGATTTGAAACACAACCCCAAAATGCAGCTATGTGGAAATCTCAATGTTCTGGAATGCCCTGACCTTTTGTCCTGCTAATCATCATTTTTTTCCCCTGAAATCACATCTTGAAGGGTATTCCTGCATGCACTTAATTTTTAAGAGGGGAGAGAGGAAAAAAAAACCAACATGGATCAGTACCCTTCCAATAGAAGGAGAGCTGTTCTGCAGACAGCTGGGACAAACTGTAATCTTTTTTCTTTTTCTGTCTTGATAAACATAATGGGCCACTTTGGTAATTTCAGCTGTAAATGCACTTCTCTCTAACAGGACGATGTTTCCCAGTGCAGAAGAGGAGAGAGAAAAGATGTTGAGAATCACTGTGATGACAGGATAGAGGTATAGGGGCTTGCTACATAGCCACAGAGCACATCCCAAACTCACTTGAACATGAAGCCCATGGCTTCTTGACCAGAGAGAGGAACTTCTGTAAACTGTTGAAGGTCCAGTTCAAATCTCCATTAGTATTGAAATCAATATCCCTGGCTGGAAACAAGATGACATTTCTGGCTTTCTTCCAAAGGGACTGCCAATTAACCTCCAGTGGAAAGCTCCCTGCCCACACTTCTCTTAATGTCCCTTCTTCCCTGAAAAGAGGCAACTCTAGATGCTCTTGCCTTTTTATACAAATTTTTCCATTCAGCATTTGATAGCTCCATTGTTTTCTTCCCCAAATGAAACGAAGCAGAAGTTTCTCTATCAAAATATTTTCTTCTCAAAACAGCTGTGCACACTTAAAAGTTTCTAAGAAAATCAGTTTGCACACAATTGTAGAGGAGCAGACCAACCTCAGAGTCATTGCATAAATTCAGTATTGTTAAGTGAGAATAGAACATATCTAAATGTTCCATGGATCACAGTGGTTAAGTGCCTCAACAATGGAGTCAAAAAGACTTCAGTTTCAATTCTGAAATCACAATTAATATTTTGCATTTTGGACAAAACTTCTGAGTATGTGGCCAGTCAACATGGGTAAGAGGGAAGGGATTTCTGGAGCTCTGGGTCTCCTGTGTCATGCTTTCAGAGCACCTGCACTGGGCTCCTGACAATCTGTGTGCCTCCATCTTGGCCAGACCTCTCTGCCCCTTTGTTCCCACCACTTGTCTTTGATAGGGTCATGTCTTCAGTTCCACTTCCTTTACCTTGGGCAGGCTGTCCAAGATGGGGTATGGAGAAGAGCTGCAGATGACTTAGAAAATCCAACTTATTTATCAAGTTTCTTTATCCCACAT